>NC_000005.10:173640111-173943142 GCF_000001405.40 Homo sapiens | reverse complement strand
CCCTCTCCCCTTCCCCACAAAGGTTAGAAATTAAACAAGCTTGGGTCGTCTCCAAATACAAGTGATACATTTAAAAGTTAAAAACAATGTTACCTCTCCTTCGCCCATATGTCCTTGCTGCATGTCAAATGAGAAAAAAACAAAAACAAAAAAACAAAACAACCTTTCAAACATTGTCAAAAGAATCAACTGTGATTTCATCTACCAGCTTTTGAAAATGGAAAAACTGTGACTATATTCTTCATTTCCTGGTAAATGTCTAAAAAAACAAGGAACGGGAGGTAAGAGGTCAATTTTGGGCATTTTTAAAATTTCTTCAAGGACACTGTAAAACTTTATTGAATCTTATTTGTTTTATGGGAAGCTTTTTGCTGTAATTGTTGCCCAAGGTTCAAACTATTATGAAACTAAGGCAGTATACAACATAATAAAAACCAACTATTACCATATTAATAACGTTTTCTCTCAGAATTCCCTGCTAACTAGCAATTTAGTAGATATACCAATATTTAATTCATGACTTTTTCACCACCAGAAGATAAATAACAACTTTACAGTATTCCTCAGTTAATCCCTTATAAGAGAAAATCATAACAAATGAAATCTTTAAGCAATTCATCAACTTCCTTTTAGCCAACAGTTCCCTATGCCTAATCAAGTCTTCTACCAAGTCCTAAATGTTGAAAAGTAAAAGGCTTGGTATTTTTATTGCCAAGTAGGTTGTAGCCAAGGGGCAAAGTAAAGGTAATTAATAATCCACTGGAATACTCAGGAAATGACAGTATAAACTTTAAATCAGAAAACCTTTGAGAAAATGTCTTCCCTGAAACAAACTGGCACTTATAAGCCCAGCCTGTCCAAACACCTCAATTCTATCCAACGAACATTTCTTGAATGCCTGATCTTGTGGATAAATAGTAAATAGTGCATGTCCCTGACCTCCAGGAACTAGCAGCTTTTAATGCCAGAAGGCCACATAAGCAAACAACAGTGTAGCATGCCTATTGTTATACTAGTTATGTGGTAGGTGTAACAGGAATAGAGGAGGAAGAACTGACTCTGATGAAAAAGTTGGGGGTGGGGGTAGGGAATTTGAGGTGGCCCTTAACAGAAAAACAGAGGAAGGGCATTCCAGGCTCAACAGCGTTACACGCAGGGGTGCTGCTGTAGCATTCAGGGAAAGGTGGCCGAACAGAAGCATGTAGAACAAGTGGGGACTTGGCTGGGGATGAGGTTTCAACAGTAAACTGGGATGGGTTTTTTCTTTTTGGAGACAGAATCTAGCTCTGTCACCCAGGCTGGAGTGGTGCAATCTCAGCTCACTGCGGCCTCCGCCTCCCGGGTTCAAGCGATTCTCGTGCCTCAGCCTCCCCAGTACCTGGTACCACAGGGGTGTGCCACCACGACCAGCTAATTTTTGTATTTTTTTTTTGGCAGAGATGGGGTTTCACTATGTTGGCCAAATTGGTCTCGAACTCCTGATCTCAAGTGATCTGCCCACCTCAGCCTCCCAAAGTCCCAGGGTTACAGCCTGGGATAGGTTTTTGAGTTAGAAGGTATAGCTCCTTTAAGAAATCACTATACAAACTCACAAACTGGTCAAGGTTTTTATTCTCATTCTTCCAGATAAATGCTAAATAATTATAACTCAGAAATATTATGTGAGTATCTTCCAAAGTGAAATTATATCTCAAACCAAAATACATTTCTGCCACACTTAGATAGCCCTGGATTTCACCAAAGTATTTGAGCAAATGGATTCACACAACATACAATCTCCCTCAAGCACTTGTGCTTTCACTTTAATAGGTCTTAAGTTTAGGGGGTTGGGGAGGGGTAGGTATTTTCTGACTTAATCAGACAGAGGTTAGAAAGACAAATAGCATCACAAAGCAGATGCTTGTTTACGAACATTCTATTCATACAACTGCTTCAAAGATTAGGGAGTCTGGGGAAACAAAGTAACGATTTGAAAATCTTAATGCTGTCAATCTTAAAAAGTTGATTGATGCTGCTTGGATTTCTGAGAAAACAGATATTTGAAAAGAATAAGCTTTTATAATATAGCTACAAAATTAACATGAAAACTCTCATGGCTTCCATTATATCAAAAATAAATAATTTCCGGAATAGTAAGGGCTGTGGATCAAAAGTTACAATCAAATACTCTCGAAATCTTCAAATGTACACTCTCAAACTTTGATTGTATACTATAAAATTAAACTGGTCAATATAAAATAATTCATGGTTAAATTCTGAGATTAAATTCTGAAAGCTATGTAGATATTTTCTCATATTAAGGGAAAATAGGTTATAAGTGAATAATGTTTACAACTATAAAAGTTGCCCAATCAAATCAGGAAATTAATGTAAATTAATATTGAAGAAATAAAAACAATGACATTCTGGAACATGCAAAACGAGAATGTGTAATTTTTATTTCCACTTATTGTAATACTTATACATTATTTTTCATGTAAATTTTGACATATGACATATACACAAAAATAAACCATAAGTTCAATGAATTTTCTACAAATTGAACAGATCTATGTAACCAGAACCCAGACATTAATAGAATGCTAAATAACGCCACTTTATCTTACATAAAAAAGATGTACTAAGCACTTTTCCTCACTTATTTCAAATTATATTGGCACACACTTTATGATGAAATTCTTGCAACATAGAACTTCTCTGCTTTCCTGAGGAAAATGTCAGACAGATTTCCAATCTCATGACTAGCAAGTATTGCCTGTTATTTGATGTTTCTCAAATATCCGAGGAAGTGTAAGTTAAAAAATGACTTTAATTATGTTCAAAGAAATCTACATTTTGGAAAAGTTCTAAGTCAGCCAAACTAACCCTGCTCAGAAGTTTCCTTCAGTTACCAAAAAGTAGACTCTTCAAAGATTGTTTAGATGCATGCTCTTGCCACTGAATAAAAATCTCCCAGTCCCCACCAAAGTTTAAATGATTACGATTTATATGTTTATCCACTTGTATTATTTCTTAGTTTTGATTTATTTTATTTTTATTTTTGGAGATGGATTCTCGCCCAGGCTGGAGTGCGGTGGCACGATCTCAGCTCACTGCAACCTCTGCCTCCCAGATTCAAGCAATTCTTCTTGCCTCAGTCTCGCTGGGACTATACACCACCACATCCAGCTTTTTTTTTTTTTTTTTGTATTTTATTAGAGACATGGTTTTACCCTGTTGAACAGGCTGGTCTCAAACCCCCGAGCTCAGGCAATCTGCCCACTTCAGCCTCCCAAAGTGCTAGGATTACAGGCGTGAGCCACCGTGTCCAGCCTAGTTTTGATTTATAAAGTCCTCAATAATTTAATGTTCAGAACTAACAGGATTCAAGATTGTTAAAAAAAAAAAAAGGCTCAAAATATTATGGCCATAAATTTTTATAACTTCTGGATACCTGCTATTAGATCTATTGATATACTTTATTTCTAAAACGTCTTTACAGGATTGCTTACAAATGCTTCCTTTCCTTGTTATTAGCCCTATATGCAGAATCAAATTCCCTCTAGCAAAATGTTCCATTAATCTGTAATGCCAGACTTACGAAGAAGGTACAGAAAGACTTGTCAGGGCTCCCCTGACTTTCTCCCTCCCCATACATTTTATTATAAAAATAAAATATTATTTATCCCATAAAAAGTACTTTTTTCTCATTTGTTGCAACATTTGTAATAATCAAAAAGAAACAAAGTACCCACACATTCAAAAGAAGAAACACCTAGTAGGTGGCATTTGTATGTATGTATGTATGTATGTATGTATGTACGTATTTCAAAGGAGCAACCCTATTAACTGAGCATGTGGCATTTTTAAATGTGGCTCACGTTCATGTACCTAAAGCTCTCTAAGATGCTGGCCTGCATGCAGTGTCTAAGTGTGTATTGTAGAATCCTTATTGTGTACATTTAAAAATAAAGAAAATATAAATAGATATGTGGGACTATGCATAAAATCTTTTTACTTTTTATTTTATTTTTATTTTTATAGAGATGGGGTTTTGCCATGTTGCCCAGGCTGGTCTCAACTCCTGGGCTCAAGAAATCCATCCACCTGGGCCTCCCCAAGTGCTAGGATTGTAAGCATGAGCCATTGCGCCTGGCCATGAAATACTTTTTTCTAGAAACAACCACAAGAACCTTTGGAGAGAGAAACTTCTAGAAAGAGGAAAGAAGGCATTCACTTCTTGTTTTATCCCTTTTTGTACCATTTGAATTTATTATTATTGCATATGCTATATTGCTATATTTGTTAATGAACCCTTTTTGGTTTTCTCCTTGGTACTAATATTAAAAATGAACAAATGACATTATTACTTTCATACAAAAGCATACTTTCCTACATGACAGCACCTAATCAATTCTGTCACGAATAGGACTTTAGGCCATGAAGGATAAGATATTACTATGTTTTAGTGGACAATGAAAAAACGGATCCTATTCGGGTTACGCTGATCTACCTTAGGCTCTCCAACTGTGCACCTCTCTCTGCCCCAAGGTGAGAAGACAAATAGCAATTCTATCTGGAAAAAAAAGGGGGGTGTAGCTCAGATGATAAGATGTTATCAGATAACTGGCTTCTTTTGGCTAGGCATGGTGGCTAACACCTATAACCCCAGCACTTTGGGAGGTTGAGGTGGGCAGATCATTTGAGGTCAGGAGTTCGAGACCAGCCTGGCCAATATGGTAAAACCCTGTCTATACTAAAAATATAAAAATTAGCTGGGTGTGGTGGCACATGCCTGTAATCGCAGCTACTTGGTAGGCTAAGGCAGGAGAATTGCTTCAACCCGGGAGGTAAAGATTGCAGTGAGCTGAGATTGCACCACCGCACTCCAGCCTGGGCAACAGAGCGAGATTCCGTCTCAAAACAGTACAAAACAAAACAAAACAACCTGACTTTTCCAGGAGGACTAAAAGAAAATATATGGGGAGAGGAGTGTAGAAATTAGCCAAATTAGTAAATCAGTTGAAAAGATATAAATCAAAGGCTTGAAGCTAAAAGGAATTAATCTGTGAACAAAAGAATAAAGATGGTAGAACCAAAAAGCAGACACAATCATCACAAAGACCAAAGCATACGATTCAACAAAGATGCAAAGAACCATTTTAAATGATTTTATAAATTAATCCCTAATTTAATAGGCTCACTGCCACAAAATTAATTTACATTTGCTTTATAGTTAGAAATTCCTATCACATTGGCTTATGCTTATATTAGCTTGTTGGTACAACAACATTCAAAGAATGTTCCTAAGATATGATAAAGACACTATTATTTGTAAGGCCTACCTTAGAAAAGAGCAGAGAATGCAACTCTAGTTTCCTTATGTCCCTAACCCTCAGTTTCTTTATTTATAAAAATGGGAAGCAAATGAGAGAATAATGAAAAACACAATGTGTATATGTAATGGTCAGTCACATACTCAATAAATAATCTCCCTTTCCCAAAAGTAAATTCATATGCATATATTCTGAGTATGATCTTCAACAATTATTCTCAGCTTTTCATTAGCATTTTAAGGTTAACAATTGTAGAGCACTTTAGAGTTTACAGTTTGTTTTCATATTATCTTTTCAATGAAGGGATCTTTCAACATGCTTATTATTGTAGCAACTAGAACCATATTACACACATTTTCAGTAAGTGATCATCATCTACATTTCTCTTGAGTAAATTACACCTTCCTTTTTGATAGATTTCTTCCCCCTCCCAAGCAAACAATCTTCCTCTTTTCATTCCAAAAAACTATAATTAAGAGATGTTGGGCCGGGTGAGGTGACTCACACCTGTAATCCCAGCACTTTGGAAGGCCGAGGCAGGCCGATCACTTGAGATCAGGAGTTCGAGACCAGCCTGGCCAACATTGTAAAACCCCATCTCTACTAAGAATACAAAAATTAGCTGGGCATGGTGGCAGGTGCCTGTAATCTCAGCTACTTGGGAGGGTGAGGCAGGACAATTGCTTGAACCTGGGAGATGGAGGCTACAGTGAGCCGAGATGGAGCCACTGCACTCCAGCCTGGATCAGACTGGAGTCTGGATCAGTCCAGAACAGACTTCATCTCAAAAAAAAAAAAAAAAAAAAAAGGAAAGAAATGTTGTTCTGTGCTACCCTTAATAGATCTCTTACTAATCACTTCCTCAAAGGAAAGAAAATACATATATGAGTTGTTAAAACTTAACACGTTTTTTTTGCTCTATAACTTTCTCCTGCCACAAGGTTCATTTTTGAAGTAGCTAATCCTGAGGGCTAAAGCAGGAGAATGAAAGGTTAGAGAAAAAAAAAAAAAAAGTATAATGCACAAGCATTTTTATACAGAGGTGGTGGTGGTTTCTTAGGTAAAATAAAGTTTCAAGCTGGGTAAGAGGAAAACTAATCTTTTAATCCAATGTCTATCTCAGAGCTAAGCCAAGATACTCCAGAGGAATTTGAGGTAACTAGCCTATGTTTAACACTTCTTCTCACTTAACTGGGAAACTAAGTTTTAGGCTTGCTTCTCATAACCATAAAATGGGCATTCTAACTATATCCCTACTACATGAAATTTACTAGTATAAGGCATCTATTATGGGCTGAATTATGTGGCCACCCCCTACCCCCACCCTCCTGCCCAAATTCATATGTTGAAGTCCTAACCTCCAGTACCTCAGAATGTGACTATATTTGGAGACAGGGTCTTTAAAAAGGTAATTAAGGTTAAATGAGGTCACTTGGGTGGTCCCTAATCCAATATGACTGGTGTCTTTATAAGAAGAGTTCAGGACACAGACATGCACAGATGGAAAACCATGTGGCAACACAGCTATCTATAAGCCATAGAGAGATGCCTCAAAATAAATGAACCCTGATAACACCTTGCTTTTGTACTTCTAGCCTCCAGAACTGAGGAAGTAAATTTCTGTTTAAGCCAGTAGTCAGTGGTACTTATTATAGCAGCCCTAGCAAACTAATAGAGCACCCAAAAAGTAGCTTTAGATAGTTTGGTTTTAAAAATACATTGAAAATCCAAGAACTGTCCCCAAGATTGCCCCTCAAAAAAATCTCTACAACTATTAACACAGCAATAAATTGAAAAATTCCCTAGAGTGTGAATTGTAACATTCTTAACACAATTACCAATCATTGTTGAATTATATTGGCACTGCCTTTTAACATGAGTGGTATACGAAGGTCATTGTATGAAACTGTAGGAAATTGATGATCGAGCAGGGCAAAAAAATAATTTGATCCATGGATGAATACACCCTATTTATCTTTGTAAAGGCAAATTACAACATTAGTCCAATATAAACCACTGAAAACTGGTTGGTGACTCTGACTTTTTTCTTTTAATTATTGTTATAATTTTTCCAATAAGAGGCTGGTGAGGGGATTTTCTTTCTGTTTATTGAGGATTTAAACCTCTTTCTAAAAGCTTTGAGGTTGCTTGAAAATTTCAAAATAAAGCATAAAATAAAAATCAGAGAGTCAAAATTCAAATGTTCATGTGAGAAAGAGAATAAACAGCTGCTCTACATTTTTATCGAAACAAAACAAGAAACGGCTTTCAACAGATAACTTGGAAGAAAAAGCTCTGAAAGTTACATTGAAACAAAGCAGAGTGGCTATATAATCACCTTATTAAAGGTTTTTAAAAGCCTGAATAGATTACAGTGGACAAGGAAGAATAGCTCCTTACAGCACCTTTCAGTCTTAAAATTAAACAATGACTATAAAGTGACATAATAGATTAGGCTTTTATTTTCAGTTTTAAGAAAAGGCTGCATGGACACAAGACATGAAGGGAATGCATTTGAAAGTGCATAGTTTTAGATTATCTACCTTAATGACAGACAATGAAAGCATGTTCAACTTTCAACAATTTTTGCAAACTCATATTAATCCTTTGTTCTGTATTTTTTTCTTATATATTTTCAGCTATTAAGAATCAATACATGAATGAGATTAATTCCTAACCAAAAATATTACTTATTCTAATTCTCTTATTTTGACTTACTACGTGCCAGGTGCTATGCTAAGTGATTTACACACATTGAATCTTCACCACAACCCTATGTGATGGGTAGTACCTGTAAATTCTTTAATTAATCTTCACTAAGCACAATTCATTATGCCAGATTTGCAATACAGGTACCCCCAAAACCTGAGCTAAAGTGAGAGCAAAGCTACTAAGAATGAATACATGAATGAGGTTAATTTGTCTACAGATGTGATCCACTCTAGAAGATATTTCACAAACATGACTGACAGAATGGACAATGTGCATATCTTGATCAAGGTCACTAAAAAATTCTCAACACCTCTCCTCCCTACCTAGTTTTAATTTCACGACTTTCAAGCAATCTTCTGCTCTAATCTGGACATTGCTACTGGAGAGAGAATAGGTCGGTCGAGTAGTCACCTCTGGCATCTGGTCTACCTGGAAGTTTTATGCTTCATTATAAATGAATAAATTGGCATCTGGTCCTAGTTGGTTGGTTACTAAAAAACTAATCCTTCATCAAATCTGACAAAATCAAGTTTTGGGGCCCCATGAAGCTCAGTACTAGACCTGAGACCACGGCAACTGTAAACCCCACACTCCCGGGTCTTGCTTGGGGAGCCAGCAAGAGATGTTTCTTAGAAGAAAGACATCTCTCTTTGTCCTTTATCTTCATGTCTTTCAGTTTGAGGCAATGTTAACCCAAGTCAGTATGCCTTTATAATAAACAAAATTTCCACGTATACAACATTAAAAACTATCTAGTCTTCTCTTAAAGTTCATGGACCAGTAAAATTTGAAAACATAAATATTTTGGGAAAAAGTTACTTTTATTTTTTTATTGACAAGTAAGATCATTAAAAATTATTTATGAAAGAAAGGATAGTAATGAAGAAAAAAGGAAAGGCAATCTCATAATAGTATACTTTTTTCTTTTTTTGAGGCAGGGTGTCACTCTGTTACTGTGGCTGGAGTACAGTGGTGCAATCATGGCTCACTGCACCCTTGACCTCCTCGGCCCAAGCAATCCTCCCACCTCAGCCTCCCAAGTAGTTGGGACTACAAGCATGTGCCACCACACCTGGCTAGTTTTTAAAAATCTTTTGTAGAGACAAGGTTTGGCCATGTTGCCGAGGCTGGTGTTGAATTCCTGGACTCAAGGAATCCTCCTGCTTTAGTCTCCCAAAGTGCTGGGATTACAGGTGGCTTTTTTTTCCTAGTTAAGTGAATTTAGCTTTAAGGAAAACCCACTAGAGAGAGTTTATTTTTCTCGACAACCCTCAACAAGATGGGCCCCAGAGGCAACTAATCCAACAGGAACACCTTCATAAGGAAACTGGGACAAAGAAGAGTTGATCACTTTGCCTAAGATGACACAGTAATATCCCCAATCTTGGTTCACTACAATTTCCAGTACTTGGAACTGACTTGAACTAGTTCCAAAGGAAAAGGTAAACTCTTCTGCATGTATATATATATCCCTTATGTTCTCCTTATCCTGATGCCACTGTCGCCACTGGGTTTGGTTTTTGGCCTAATATATTTATGCTAGAATATTACATTATGGTATTATTTCTCGCACTGTAGCATGAAAAGACCTACATCTGATGACCAAGTAAGATTTTATAAACTATTTAGTCTCTAGAAGATCTGATGTACCCAGCAATTCTCAAACATCAAATCTCCTGCTAACTTCTCCTGGCTCAACAATCCTTCAACATATTGATTTCAAAAGGAGATCCAGTTATAAAAATAATTTTTAACTCCTCATTCACAACATACTAAAATCAAGGAGTGGAAGAATTTTTATTTTTATTTGTTTTGGGAATTATGAGAATATAGCTATTTAGTCCATAACACTTCTTAGAGGTCGTGGGACTTAAAATGAGCTTTGACAAATGGAAGACATTTTCTACACACAGAAATTTGAAATCCACATTCCATAGCAAATTAGTAGAAAAGAAGTAAACAAGACCTCTGTATTTCACCCAATTGTTTTAGACCATGATACTAAAAAAACAGACACTAAAATTCTTGTGAGTGGATATTCCCTCCTCCTGGTGAAACTTAGCTTGCTTCACTATGCGCATAAAAAGAGAACTCAACAGAACATTAGCACAGGAAAGGAGAATCTAATGAAGACACTGGAAAGCCAATAAAACTTCATGTTTCTTGTTTTTGTTAGACAGCAAACAGCAAATGACCTTGTCCTATGCAATGTCAAGCACTGTGGTTTTAGGCTGCCTTTTTCTGGTTTTAGATCTCTGCTTATCCTTTCCTCTTGGAACATTTTTCCAGCCACGTGGAAATGGCTTTTATGTTGACATTTCAAAGGTCACTCTACAGAAGCTAATATTAGATAAAGCCAATCTTTAGGTATCATTATGGGATTTTCATTCTCATTGTCACCAAGTTCAGGACAGGGAATCAGTTGGCCCTCATATTAAAAAGAAAAGTTTCTGCCACAATTGTGAGCTAAAAGAATCATTCTTAAAATAGCTGATAGTTTAATAGCAACTTACAGTTATCATTACAGAACAAACTAATGTCATTTCTCCACTGCTGAAGCACAACTACTGTATCAGTTTTGTGCACTTCACTAGGGTAAATCAATTATCACTTACCATTAATAAGCAGAGAGCTATCGGATCCTGGATATGAATAGTTTAGACGACCTGAAGGTAAAAGAAGGCCGTTACTAAGTTTACTTTTTTCATAGATGGTTTAAACTTATTCAATAACAGAGCTGAATTGACTTGCTTTCAAATAGGCAAGGTATTTGAATCAGAGGATATATCAATCAGCATGTTCATCAATATTCAAAAAGGAAAAGTTTGAAAGTAGGAAAAGAAAGTATCTCTCATATTTAACTAGGTCCTTCTAATTTACAAATTTCCATCCAAGGTAATTTTCTTTATACCATTATGTAATAGCAACTCATTATGACAATCTTCACATTTCTGCCCCAATAAATGTGAAAATTTTTCTTCATTTGTGTAGTGTTTTGTTACTTTTGAAACTATGTAATTGGCAGTAATATTCTCCTATGTGATTCATAAGAAAAGTGCCAGGCTTATGCCTACATGTAGAGACAGGCTAATGGGTTTAATTTCAGGTTTGGGGAAATATTCTCAGAGGGAAGAAGAACATTTCACTAAACTTACATATGATGAAAAATATCAAAAGCCCAGGGCACAGTAGGCACTCACTAAATGCTGGGTTACTTTCCTCTGAATTTTGAAGTGTGTCAAAATCTACTTTTGAAACTAAAATGGGCACCCAAGATACCCCTCAAAAAAGAATTTGTGAAGGTACTAAAATTTTTGTTGGATGAACTGTCTTCCAAATTGGTAGCCACAAATGCATGGCGGGGGGAATGGCACTGGGATTTCTCTATGTTGAAGGAATTACATTTCTGTTTTGGAAGAGTTTTACATGTAAGTTGAGTTATCTACACTACAAATCCTTACTGAGTACACATATGGACCTAGTTCTATACTGTAAGTTATAAAATAAGAATCATCATGCAACACTTTTACATCTCCAAAGCCCACATGCCATCTGCACCCACCTTGAGAAGAATGACTGAAGAACCCTCAACAGGTCTTCCTCATCTAAGGAATGGATAGGGGGACCTGGTTGTTAGTTCTCTACTATAGTCCCACCTTCTATAAATCAGGATTTAGAACAGGACTTTTAAAGTGACTCGGAACTACAAACATTCCTTTAGGAAACAGCAGTCTGAACTCTGACCCCACAGAACCATGACTCTCAAAAGCTAAGGAATAACGGATAAACAGAGGTTCTCCAATGGCTTGCGGCTGGGGCAGGCCTTCCAGGATGCCAGCAAGGACTCTAGCTAGTTCCACTAAATACTCTGGGAACCAGAGCTAACATGGGGTCCCATCAATCCAACAGCTACATATTAACAACTCTTTAGAAAGGAACTTAAGGTCTTCAATGTTTTAAAATGCTGCTTCTTTGAAACAGTCTCCATAGTAATGAACTCATGGCATGAAAAGAGGAAACTATTCTCTATTGCCAACAGCTTTAATTAATCCATATCCAAAACTTGAAGTCTGGATAAACTCTGAACTTTATAATTTTCCTACAATTTTTTTTTTTTTTTTTTTTGAGACAGAGTCTCACTCTGTCTCCAAGGCTGGAGTGCAGTGGCGCAATCTCGGGTCACTGCAAGCTCCGTCTCCCAGGTTCACGCCTCATTCTCCTGCCTCAGCCTCCCAAGTAGCTGGGACTACAGGCGCCCGCTACCATGCCTGGCTAATTTTTTTGTATTTTTAGTAGGGACGGGGTTTCACTGTGTTAGCCAGGATGGTCTCAATCTCCTGACCTTGTGATCCACCTGTCTCGGCCTCCCAAAGTGCTAGGATTACAGGAGTGAGCCACTGCGCCCGGCTGCCAATTTTCCTACAATTTTAAAACCAAATGAAAGGATTTAAAAGAAACTAAGTTGGTAATCGTTCCATTTAAATTTCAGCTTAGTCCTATGTAGGGAGTGGAGGTAGGAATGGAGATGGAAGAAAAAAAGGTAAAAATTAATTTTGACATTTCAATTTCTTCCTAAAAATTGGTTTCATTCTTTACTTCTAATGTACATAGCCAAGCACCCAAATCTACTGAATTCTATCTAGGCTACTTTTTAACTAAAGCCTGGATCTATGGCCTGTCACAAGTATGTATTTTTAAAAGGATAGACTTGAGATGCTACGAGCAAGAACATGACCCTGTTAAAAACTTGGGGGATGGAGGGCCAAGTGCGGTGGCTCATGCCTGTAACCCCAGCACTTTGAGAGGCCGAGGCGGGCAGATTGCCTGAGATCAGGAGTTCGAGACCAGCTTGGTCAATGTGGTGAAACCCCATCTCTACAAAATACAAAAATTAGCCAGGCGTGGTGGTGCACGCTTGTAATCAACCCAGCTACTGGGGAGGCTGAGGCAGGAGAATTGCTTGAATCCAGGAGGCAGGGGTTGCAGTGAGCTGAGATCTCGCCACTGCTCTCCAGCCTGGGAGACAAGCACAAAACTCTGTCTCAAAAAAAAAAAAAAACTTGGGAGGTGGGAACAGAGTACTGTTTCTGAATCACAACTAAAAGTAGCAGCTGATTTTCTGTAATGGAACATATATAGAGATTTTATACTTCTAAAACTCTCTAGTAAATGAATAAGAGCTATCACACTTTCATTTATCATAAAACATTTTCAGAAGAATGACTAAATCAATATAGAGACAAAAATATTTGATAACATTAGTTGAAATATTAAGAGGAAATGTCTTATTATCTCCAAGAAGATATTCTAATTATTTAATGCTAACATTGCAATAGAAACCAAGGCTGTTCTATATGAACCATAATCCCTTTTACTTGATGCCAAGGAAGGACTATTATTATTATTATTTTAATTTTTGAGACAGGGTCTCACTCTGTTGCCCAGGCTGGAGTGCAGTGTGGTGCTATCTCAGCTCCAGCCTCGACCTCCCAGGCTTAAGTGATCCTACCACCTCAAGTCTCCCAAGTGACTGGGACTACCAATGCATGCCACCATGCCTGGCTAATTTTTTATTTTATGTAGAGATGGGGGTCTCCCTATGTTACCCAGGCTGGTCTTGAACTCTTGGGCTCAAGCAATCCTCCCACCTCAGCCTCTTCAAGTGCCGGGTTTACAGGAATGAGCCACCTCACCCAGCCCTAAGGGAGGATAATGAACAATGAGAATCCAAAAGACAATTACTAAACAGGCTGGTTTCACAATGAAGTTTCACAAATGAAGTTCCACTTTATCACAAACTCATGTTTTGGGTATCTTTTAAAGAGAAAATTTCAACTTGACAGTAACAAAACGGTCTCTTAACTCTATTATGAGATTAACTCTTCCCATATCTCCTGAAGAGACCTCCCACAACCAAAGGAGGTGACCTTTAACACTTTCCCTGTCCCTTGGCCTTATAAGTTACAGTCATTCTACCCTCCAGCTAAGACACAATGCGACACTGAAAAATCACTGGCAAAGTTCACAGTTGAACTCTGAAAGTGATACTTGTTTTTAATTTTTTTGATCCGGCCTTGTGATATGATTCCTGTTGTCAGGTTAGAATCAATTGTGGTCTCTAGTAGCAAACACACCTGTGACATTCTGTTAAACAATCAGCTATTCTTTCTACTTAAATTTTAACATAAGTGACATTAAGAAACTGTTTTCTTTTTTTAACTTTCATAATGCTTCCCTAACTTGTGTGCCCTACTCTTCCGTAAATTCTCTCCACAACTAAAATATCTAAAGAGTTGTCCATCATATTATGGATAACACATATCATTTCCTTTCTGGAAATCCTCCAAAAGCTTCCATTAAAAGTGCCATGGGAATTTGGTTATCTACAACCTTTTTGCACTCTCGTACTTTTTCCTTTATTTCTGTTCTAATATCCTCTCTGCTATATTGGTGTAAGTTTCTATAGCTTTTCTATTCCATGGCTAGCTAGTTGATAATCCCCTCCCATGCCTGAGACAGTGGCCCTCACTCCATGTTCCCAATGAAGAGTGTGTGTCTCGTATATATGTATTTTTATGTTGATATATAAATATGTGCTTTTATATAAGCATATTTGCATACTTACAAATAAATATATAAACGTCATTTTTTTAGAGCATTTTAGGTTCACAGCAGAATGGAGAGGAAGATACAGAGATTTCTGATATCCCCCTGCCCCCACATATGCATAGCTTACCCCATTATCAACATCCCGACCAGAGTGGTATAGGTTGATGGCAAAAACTGCAACTACTTTTGCACCAACCTATACATTTGTTACACCCAAAGTTCACAGTTTACATTAGGGTTCACTCTTGGTATTCATTCTGTGGGTTTGGACAAATGTATAATGACATGTATCCACCCATTATGGTATCATACAAAGTAGTTTCACTGCCATAAAAATCCTCTGTGCTCCCCCTATTCATCCCTCTTCGCCAGCCCCCAACCCCTGACCTTTTTATTGTCTCACAGACTTGCCTTTTCCAGACTATCATACAGTTGGAATCATAAAGTATGCAGCCTTCCAGATTGCCATCTTTCACTTAGTCATATGCATTTAAGGTTCCTCCATATCTTTTCATGGTTTGATTGCTCATTTCTTTTTAGTGCTTAATAATAGTCCATTGTTTGGATGGATCACAGTTTACTAATCTATATTCACCTACTGAAGGGTATCTTGGTTTTTCCAAGTTTTGACAATTATGAATAAAGCCGTCATAAACATCTATGTGCACGCAGGCTTTTGCGTAGGCATAAGTTTTCTCAAGGATTTTTTCAAATCTATCTTTTTTTTTTTTAGATGGAGTCTCACTCTGTCACCCAGGCTGGAGTGCAGTAGTGCGATCTCAGCTTACTGCAACCTCTGCTTCCTGGGTTCAAGCGATTCTTCTGCCTCAGCCTCCCGAGTAGCTGGGACTACAGGCGAGCACCACCACACACAGATAATTTTTGTATTTTTAGTAGAGTCAGGGTTTCACCATACCCGGCTAGGCTGGTCTTCAACTCCTGACCTCGTGATCCTCCTGCCTCGGCCTCCCGAAGTGCTGGGATTACAGGCTTGAGCCACTGCGCCTGGCTGGAAACATCTTTTTAATGAACTCACCAAATTTTATTTGTAGCTACAAAGCAACAACTAACTTTCTTACCTAATCATTTCAGCTTCTGGCTAACCTTCTTACCTCTTTTACATTAAAGCCCCCTTCGGAATTAGAGCTTTTAATACCTAGGCATCTTGAGTGTCCTGTTTGGGTACCAGGTGAGCATTTGATGAGTTCATTCCACTGAACTCAAAACACCAGTATTTCATAAGTAAAGTATAATAAAATAAAAATTGAGATGTCTGAATATTAATATAACCCAGTACCTGCCTGCTGTTTTGTCTGGTTGGGTTTTTGAGAACTCATCTTTTTTATTTTATTTTTTCAGACAGAGTCTCGCTCTGTCTCCCAGGCTGGAGTGCAATGGCACGATCTTGGCTCACTGCAACCTCCGCCTCCCAGGTTCAAGTGATTCTCCCACCTCAGCCTCCCGAGTAGCTGGGATTACTGGCACCCGCCATCATGCGCGGGTAATTTTTTTTGTATTTTTGTAGAGACAGAGTTTCACCATGTTGGCCAGGCTGATCTCGAACTCCTGACCTCAGGTGATGCCTCCACCTCAGCCTCCCACAGTGCTGGGATTACAGGCATGAGCCACGGTGCCCAGCCAAGAACTCATCTATCTTTAATCATTATCCAGGTTTGGGCACATTCAGAATTTAATTTCTAAAGGGAGAAGGAAGGCATTAGGATTTCAGCATGTGAACCTATTTGATGAGCAAAATTCAATCTTTGAAGGCTCTTGGTATTGATTTTGTTATAAATATAAAAAATACTGCCTGGTCAGCAGCCCTAATCTTAAGGAACATTATGACAGGAAAAGCAGTAGTCTCTGGAGGCCAGCTGCAGAATTTGGAACCAGAAGCCTGGCATACATCATGCCGAAGGCATAGGCTATATTTGGTGACATGACTCAACCTAGCCAAATATAGGCAACAGATACAGTGTGACTCTGGGGATCTACACTACCAAATCCTACAACCTAGAAAAGATCCATACGTCAACTAGGCAATTCTATGCTAAGCATTTGCCAGTTGGAAGAACCAATATTTACCAACAGACTGACTTAGAATAGGTGGGGGCAGGAGGTGCTAAAAAGAACAGTATGTACTATCATATCCTTTTAAGACACTAACTAAAGTAACCAAGTCAAAAAATAAAAGGAGAAAAGACCAGAGGAAATCCTCCTTTACATTAGCAGTATATATAAGTATTACTTTCATTAATTAGGTAAAATAAGTTATTTTCTAAAGAATAATCCAGATATTACTACTACTGATAATTCAACAGGAAATAATAAAAATAAATGCTGCCATTTCAAACACACAAACACCAAAAAGTATCAAATGTATCTGCAGCACAATTAGATTTCACGCTATCTATAAGCTTTTCTTTTTCACAGTCATGCCAACAATGTTGACAACATGGTGCAGGCCAAGGAATGATAATAGGGAATAACTCTAAAGTGACAAGTAGCATAAAATTTTTAAGGATCAACTTTTGATTGATTCACCCTATAAAAATGTGGATACTCCAAAGAAAAGCAGGGTGTTTGCAGAGGAGTCTTCAGTGAGCACCATTAAAAATTTCTAATGCACACAAATATATACATACACATACATTTGCAGTTGTTGATTGCCTAACTAGAAGTGCTGCTCCTACCTCTGCTCCTGCTAATTTTGTTTAGCTCACATCTAAGTAAATCAAAACTATACCGTCATAAGTAATATTTTAAAGGAGGTAGTCCTCCTACCCCTGCACATCTTCTGTTTTTACAAACTCCACTTGAGACTTGCAGCAAGATGGCGCTGTGGGGACCTGGACATCGGACAGCAAAGCTCAAGAAATGTGTAATAAATCCACTGGTTTTGAATGCCAACTTTATATACTTACACAAATGCAGAAGACATAGCAATATGAACAAAACAGCATTCAATATGTTCTATAATTTAATGGTATAAATTTAATTTTTAATAATTTAGTGTATTGACACAAAAATAACTCCCCAAATCAAAATCAGTAAGCTTATTCTACCCCCTTATCTATCTGTGCTACAACCAACTTCCAACAAAGACATTCCCATGCAAAATCACAAAGAAGGAACTGGCTGAGACAGATATCAGCTGAAGAGTCTTGTCCCCTCCCAAAGAGCCACTTAAAATTCACTAAACACACAGAGTTTAGGCTAAACAAAACCCTTCTCTGCTACAAATTTGGCTTTCAGCTCAAAAGCCAGTACTTACAAAAATCTTTGAATTAATGGCTTTCCTAACTCTCCACACTGCCATTTCCCTTCCCACATCAGGCACTCCAGCCATTCAGAACTGCTGGCCCATAACTTCAACTTCTGGGTAACTCCCTCTACCTAGAAGGCCCTCCTCTCTCTCTCTGCCCCTCAATGTCTTACCACTCAAGCCTCCACACTTTTGTCCCAGCAGTTCCCCTGCTAGGCCTCACATCTTATGAGAAGCCTTCCCTGCCCCACATCATCCTTGCTTTGATTCAGATAACCCTCTGTACTCCTTCCAGTATTCTTTACACTTATTACACCATATTTACATTACTTGTTTTAATCTCTTGCTGTAGGGCAATGAGATCTTTATGGATTTTGGGTGTGCTACCCCAGAGCCTGGAGCAGAGAAAGGTGCTCAATAAACAACTGTGGAAAATGAATGAAGCAAAGTCAGCAGTTGATGATCTCTCTGCCATGGAAGATGCAGTGTAATGGGTAGAGTCAAGCCGGTATCATCTTGTGACCTAAGTCAAATTATTTAGCTTTGCTGAACCTCAGGAAAACAGAGATAATTCCATTGACTTCACAGAGCTGTTGTGAGACAGTCTTGAGATAATGTTTGCAGAATGCCAAAAAAAATCCCTCAATATGCAGTAGGTACTTAACAAAATTAATTCCTTTCCCTTCCCCAGTAATAAGCCGAAGATAACCAACAATTTTCCACTTGTAAGAGAAAGGACAAGTAGGATTTATTTTGGCCAAAAAGTTCCAAACTGGAACCTTGGAAAAGGGAGGGGCAAATCTGGGGGATATTTCAGCTTCAGAAAAATGAGAATTTGCTAGTGTCCTTGGTTAAAAACAGGGATATAAGTCTTCTCAGGAAGAGAGAAAAGAACAAAACCTAACCCCTTACTTTCATCAAAGCCAAACTGGCAAAGATACATAATAATTTTAATGAAAACTTCAAAAATTCAACCTAAAATTTTTCTTTTCAATAAAACCAGAGAGGATCTTCATTTTGAACCAAAACCCCAAATTTAATGTTTCAATTGTAATATGATGATTGAAAAACAGATTGTAGTAGTGGCAAAAGAAAATAACACTTATCTGTAAGATGGGAGAGGTCAATGGAATATGTTTCTACAGATGGAGGAAGGTTTCATAGAAGGGAAGGACTGCTTTGACTACAACTCGGGGCAGGTGCGAAGCTGCAAGATCTAAAAGCATCTAAGAATTTCAGGCAGAAGGGAATGTCCAGAGAGAAACTAGTAAGAAGCTGACCCAATTAAGGAATTCAAAAGATTTCCTACTGCCAGTAAAGCTAACAACAAACCAGCAAGCAGGAAGGC
The DNA here is from genome assembly GCF_000001405.40 of Homo sapiens. NCBI lineage: Eukaryota > Metazoa > Chordata > Mammalia > Primates > Hominidae > Homo > Homo sapiens. The sequence goes on along the minus strand of NC_000005.10, from coordinate 173,923,893 downwards.
TATTTTTATCCTTGCCAGAAGCCTTCTGACTCTAGATGCTACATTTAGAGGACAGAGCAACAAGATAACTTGCCTTAAGAGGATGTTATGATACCAGAGATTAATGGCAATTTTTTAAGCTCTAAAAAACTCGGCAAAACTAGGTGTAGTTTTTGTCCAAGCTAAGCCAGCCAAAGTCAGTTGGAAAAAAAAAGGTGAAAAAAATATAATGGAAAGAAAAGTGGAAAAACAGACCAAGTAGTAGAAAAAATTAAAGCAATCCAGAAAAAAAGCCAAGGCAGTAAATTAAAATTCTCCTACCTTGCAAAAAGTTTGCTTAAAAGAAGCATGTGTTACAAGAGACATATATTAAAAGAACCAATGAATAAAGAACTGGCCCCAAGGTGAAAATAATTTTGACAAATGGCTCTCTGTGCTGACATGAACATAAAAAAACACCAAGATAAACTTATGAAATCTCTAGGGACCACAAGCTAAGTCAGTGTAAATGATTGAGAACTTTAGAGATAAGAGAGAGAAGCCACAAGAGATCTAATTAGACTTTTCTCTGACTACAGAAACTAAAGAGAATTAAGACTGAGTTTCTTATTTATAACCATTATTTTATAAAATAGAATGCTACTACACTGATAAAAAGTTGCATTAAAACTGTTTACTGAAGTCCAAACCCCAAAAAGCAATCTGCAAAGTCACTAGTTGGCTTTCTGCATACAGACCTATCTATCATTAACTCTAGTCACTTACTTAACATGAATTCTGACAACTTTTCTGAACCTTAATGAAAAATGGACTTGCATTTTATATCTGATATAAGAATTTCACCTTTTGTTATTTCTCAGAAGGCCCACTACCTATTTTCTCCTATCAATACTCTGGGTTCTTACTTTTCCTCTTATTAATCTTCTAAATTAAATAATAAACAGGATATTCAAAGATGTCTGGTAATTATTTGGAAAATAAGCTGCATGAAGCCAGGAACCTTTGTTTTTAGTTAGTCCCTGATATATCCCAACAACCATAGTACCTGGTGCACAGTAGATGCCTGATGTATATTTGTTGTATGAATGGCCTCAGACAGCTCTGGACTTTACATATACATCCAAAGCAGCGCAAAAGTTGGGGGTGGGAAGCGAAGGAAGTGTATCTGAATCACATGAAGAATGCACATGCTTAAGTCCCATGGCAAATCTGGTGAATCAGAATCAGGGAAGAGAACAAGTCAACTTGGAAAAGTTTCCACTCCCAATAAGGCACACTTCAGTATGAAACCAGCCAACTGTGATGTGTGAATCTTTCATAGATTATGATAAAATACAGATTTTTAAATTTTGTACCATCTCCTAAATTGAAATTAAGAAATCTTGGCCAGGCATGATGGCTCATGTCTGTAATCCCAGCACTTTGGGAGGCCAAGGCAGGTGAATTGCTTGAGCCCAGGAGTTTGAGACCAGCCTAGGCAACATGGCAAAGCCCCATTTCTGCAAAAAATACAGAAATTAGCCAGGTGCACTGGCAGGCACCTGTAGTTCCAGCTACTTGGGAGGCTGAAGTGGGAGGAGCGTTTGAGCCCAGGAGGCGGAGGCTGCAGTGAGCCAAGATTGTGCCACTGCACTCCAGGATGGACAACAGAGCTAGACCCTGTCTCAAAAAAGAAAGAAAGAAAGAGAAAGAGAAAAAAAAATTGAATGCCTACCCTCTGTCAAAGCATACTAGACAAAAATGTTTCCATTTTCTTATGTTTGTTTCCTTCTCAGAGGCTACACAATAAATACTCAGGCCATTGAACCAGGAGCCAGAAGCTGTGTGTTCCTCCTATATTGACCCTTGTAGGTACCAGGAATCTGAGTGACTTTACAGAAGCTGTTGCATCTTTGGGATCTCCAATTCTTTTCAACTGTAAAATGAAGACCACAAAACTCACATAACAGGTTACCGTAAGGATCTGGGTTACAAATAATTCTCAGAAGGGGCACTGAATAAAAGAGAAATGGTATCAGAGGTAAGCACCCTTTCACTTGAAACTGGTTAATGCTGCTTCCCATACAGAATGTCCAGGTCTACCTCGAAAAGGAAAAATGCAGCACAGCATCAAAACTATCCTTCAATCTACCTGGCACATTGAATATGTTCAAATATTTGTGGAGGTGGAGTATAAGCAGAAGCTAAAATATAAGACACTTCCAAACCATGTGGCTTAAAGAGGCTTTAGTAGCACTTGCCTCCCCCTCCTAACAAGAACTGCCATGTTATACAACACGGAGTGCACCCATCTCGTCAGATGGCTCCCTCTACCCCCTGGCATCATGCAGGATGTAGCCTCAGCAGCCCATATTCTTAACCCTGCTACAAAGGAATAAAGATGGCTTCAGATGTCAGGAAGCTCCAAAATGCTACTTGGTGGAGAGGACAATTTAGGAGAGCGTCAGTAGCCTCCTCACTCCTCCCTGTCCTCCTCCTCACCATTTCCTCTGTTAAATTCCTTTTTTATGTTATGTTCTTTTTTGTAACAAGGAGCATTCTAATGGCAAGAGTATAAAGCAGAAAAATTAGGGAAGTTCTCTAGAGCAGTATTTCATAATCTGTTGTAATAACTATTAAGACCTACTTTGATCAAAATATTTCAGAGAGGCTTTCCTCCATAATAATAACTGAAGACTCCTACCCCTGTCTCTACCCTAAGTAAAACAGAACAAAAACAAAAAAAAATCTTAATATCAGAAGGCTACTATGAACTCAGCAACACCTTTAAATGTATTTTAATTGCATTACATCAGCATCCACATGCTTTTGGAAGATAATCATGCATACACAAGTGACATCTATCATCTAACTGGAATGCCTGGTCACTAATGGGTTCACAGGCTCTATCAAATAATTCCCATGGCTGAAGAGGCCCATGGTTCACAAATGGAGAACAAAAACATTTCACGAGGCCAAGTTTAAACAACTGTTTTCTAAACATAATATTTTTAGGCCTATCTCAAAAAGAAAAGATGTAGTTTAGACCCAAAGCCTTCACTCAACCGACTAAATCTGATCTCTGATTATAGCCCTTATACAAACTACTCCATATGAAATACTGCCACACCCAGAATCACATGATATTCATGGGCTACTTTCAGTCATTACACCATAAAAACCTTCAGTTTTAAAATATAAAACTGTACCTCCAGTTTTGTAATGTAAGACTGAATTGCTGATGGTAATGTAAAGATCATTAAGTTCAACCCCTCCGTTTACAGGTGAGGAAATTGAGGTCTAGAGAGAAGTGACCAATCTAAGGCACTACTAGTGGCCAAACCAGGTTTGAACACAACCCTGAACACTTCTCCTTTTATTTCGTAACATTTGGAAAAGTCTGTTATATGCTAACAACTTCCGATCATTACAATAAAGAAATCAGGCAGCTGGTTTAAATACCTCTATTTAGTCAACCATGCCAGACATTTATTATTTGGAATATTATAGCCAGCAGAAGTTAGATTTTTAAAAGTTATTTATATTTCAATTAATCAGGGCTGCTCTTCAGAATTAAGACTTGCTCTTTATTGTTGGTTTCTCAAGCACTAAAAGGGGGCTCTAATTGGTTGATTCCTCCTTCTCTTTTCCAATACACAGCAACTGGCATCAACCCAACTGGATTCCAAAGAGATTATGGAAGTGCTTTCCCTTCAGAGTTCCACTAATGTTCTTAATTGACTGGTTACCAGGTAATACCCAGAATAAAACAAAGCCTTGCTTTTAGAACTGAGTGCAGTGGTGTAGGACTGAATTCAGAATCAGTCAATTAGATAAAATAATGAAGCCCAGAGGCAGCCTGACCATCTCAATGTCTGATTTGAAAAGTAGTGACTAGTTTAAACCTTCTTAAAAAGTATTCCTTTTACAAATTGTATGGCTAATTGTACAGGGCTAAGCAAGAACAATTTCAGAGAATTTTCTCTCTCCTCCTTTTTAGTTTTGGTAGTAAGGATAATGGTAATGTGAGGGGGAAAAACAAGAAATTCACAATCCAGGCACATACAGTTGATAAATGAATCAACTGCATACAACATTCAGGTAGAAAGTCCATGCAGGAGTTTTGGGAAGTAATAATTCTGTGGCACAATTGTGAACTGTTCCCTCGTTCCTGTTGCTAAACTAAATGCAGAGAATCTTGGATATTTTTATGACAACTATGAATCAGGTGGCATTTCTTCCCCTCCCCCAAAGTCAGCAAATAACATCGTCATGGATTATATAACAAGATCAAGGAAAGCCTTAAGACCTTCATAGACAACAAAGGGCTTTTTTATTAAGCAGATATTTGGGCTGTTTTTGTAGCTGCCAGGAAATGAGACAGCAAGAGTCACCTCTATAGAATTTTATTATAGAAGGAAAACAGAAAAACCAAGTGACACTATTAAAGGTGCACAATACACTCTATTAATTTAGATGTGGCACATGAATGACATGTATCCCCATAAATATTGTGGGGCCCCTTCTCTTTTTTACAGTAGGAAGGTCCCTAATATTTATCATTGACAAACTGTGGACAAAGTCTGAAAATCTTACTACTTAATTGTCATTCTGATTTCATTTCTGAGTGGAGATTACTATTTTTGCCTGTCCAGATGGTAAAACATAAGCTTAAATTGTACACAAAACTTAATATGACAAAGCAAAACATTAAAGAAAAGTACTTGTTAATTTGTTACCTGATTGTTGCTTGTTTTCTTATTTATCTCTAAGTTTTTATCTACCACACATAGTTAAATCCCTGCCCTGAATGTATGTCAAACAATATTAAGTCATAATAACCATATTATAAGGGAACTTTACTACAACTGAAAAGAAAAAATTATGTATTAAAAAAATCTTTTAAATGTATGTTTAACCTTCTAATAACATTAAAAGTTTACTATTATAATACTTCCCCCATCTACTCGCCCACCGTTACCCTCACCTCTCACTCAGGTAACAAAGAATAAAACGATAACCGATTTTCATGGCCTCAAAATAGGATTCCTTGTGTTCAATGTTCAGGATTAAGATAAAGGGGCTGCTTAAGTAATTACGGACCCACATCATGGATGACATAAGACAAATTCCCCCTTTGTGGCAACTGCTTATTTGATTTTCAGACCAAATAAAAACAAGGGTTAAATATTCAATCACGAATGTGTGGCAGGTAGAGGGCAGAGGATCACTATTTTCGATTGACTAGTATGTGTTATGTAAGTAAACGGGGCAGATGAGGATCTGGCCCATGCACAAGATGCATTTAGTTTGAACTGAGTTGGTTTCCATTCAGAGGCTAGAGGGAGAAAGGCTTCAGTCCGATCCTATGACGATGTCGGCATTCACATACATCACATGATTTTCTTTCCTAGGCATTTCCCCTTACCCTCCCCGCCTTATAAAAACCCAAAGACAAAAACAACAGCAACCCCAAATCTGAAAGGGGGTAATCGCACTGCTCAAAATCCACACCTTTGTAAGCTCAACCTACACAGTACAGTGAGGAATCCAACAAATCCGGATCAAAAGTAAATCAGAAAGCAGGCAGTTGTTCAAAATTAAGAATAGGCCCTTCACTTTTCATACAAAAAAATCATGCCACACAATTTCGCCCTCTTCTTCCTCACAATAGAAGTTACCTCAACACAGAAGCCCAGGTCCCATCCTACAGCACAGCTAAGCCAAGGCAAGAGAAAGACTGTTTAGGATGTTCCATTTCCGCAGTCAAGAGAGGGAGAGTACAGGAGGAGAAGAAACACGCTTCATTCCTACATAGCCACACACACATTTAATTGTAGCCCAGTTTAAATTATACTCTTTGCTATTTAACGTCCTCCATTACTTATGAGGCTTTGAGAATTAAGGCAACTTTCTAATTCTTAGGAGACTTAAGTCACTCCCCTGTTACGCTACTTTGAATTACTTGGTATCATCCAAACCGAGCAAGAAAGAGCCAGCCTAGTTCAGGAAGGCTTCAGCCAGACACGCAGGCAGCTGCCGGCCGACTCTGAGTCTTAAAGACTTAATGATATTTAAAGATCCCTCAATTCGCCAGACACATTTGATACCACACACTAATAATTTACTTGGAAGGAGAAATTTGATTATAAATCCGAGTAAAATTAACTGGTTTGCGTTATCCATTTCTTCTTCTTTTTTATTTCTTTGAGATGGAGTTTCAGTCTTGTCGCCCAGGCTGGAGTGCAATGGCTTGATCTTGGCTCACTGCAACCTCCGCCTGCCAGGTTCAAGCGGTTCTCCTGCCTCAGCCTCCCAAGTAGCTGGGATTACAGGCGCCCGCTACCGCGCCCTGCTAATTTTTACATTTTTAGTAGAGACGGGTTTCACCATGTTGGCCAGGCTGGTCTTGAACTCCTGGTGATCCACCCACCTTGGCCTCCCAAAGCCCTGGGATTACAGGCGTGAGCCACCACGCCCAGCCTATCCACTTCTTCTTTATGGTACTTTGAATCTGCCCCATTAAATGTCCCTTAAAGGAAAATGTCCATCTAATCCTTTAAAAAGGTTGGAGGTTAGGGTACCAGTAATCTGTTCTTATTTTGCCACAGGCAAACCAATTTAAATAGAAAAAGGTTAAATACTGTAAGAAATTATATACTCTCCCCACCATTCCTACCTGAAATAAATCATTCTAATATTAAAGCAACAGAACCTATTTTAGTAGGACTTCCTTTCATTTTGAAAAAAAATTATTTATTCCCAAATTACTTCAAATTTATAACATATGAAATAAATAAGTGACAAAATTTAGCAACTCTCATAGCAGGTTTCCAGAGCTATTTCAGCCTGCACAGAGTCAGTATCTGTATAAAATACTTGTTCTAATGCCTCTCTACCAGTATACAACATGTGTTCTCTAAGTCAACTAAGTGACTGCAATTTGGAATATAGGAATATTAGTAAAATGGTGTATCGAAAGAAAAGTTAAGGTTTCCTATTATTTATTACATATTTTTAAGTAGCACTAAATTCTATCCCAACTGTAAAGATACAGAATTTAAATAATCCCCACAGCCACTCTCTTACAATGATATAAAAAAAACTTTTATAAAACTGATGAAACAAGCTTTGTGTACTAAACTTTCAACTTGAGTTTCATGATTTTCTTCTAGAAAGGTTATTATAAATTCTTTTGCTTAGCAACAAAGAAAAGAAGCACAGATGGAATCATCACTTGCCCACTCATTTAAGCATTTGTTTCAAACAAATTTACAGCAATGAAAAATAGTCAGGGAAGGGTCTCTAAATTTAACACGTAGATAAAGCAAGAAAAAATATGAAAGTGTTTTAAAATGCAAGGTCACAACACCTTTGGCAGTCAGGAATTAAATACATAGCATTTTTGGAGTAGATCCATAGCTCTTAAAATAAAGCGATGCATGAAACACGTGAGGCAGTGATGTATAACATGCTTCCACTACTTCCTCTACATATGCAATAGGTTTCCTGGGCACCATGGGGATATGTAAAAGACTGGCACTTTAAACAACTTGCATTTCTGAATGCAATCATTATTGCTTACATTCAAATTAAGTACTTGAAATGCCTGAAACTCAGAGGAATTGTGGTGGATATGTTGAGCCTTTCTTTCAAAAATCTGAAAGCAACATATATTCTACAACAATATGAAGAGAAAAAGACTCCATTTTCACACTATTCAAAGGAATAATATGATATCTAAGTCATAATTTCATATCTGAAGAACAACTATAATGTTTTGACAGTCTGTAGATTGCCTTTGTTCTCTCAATAATTTTGCTGTCTCATTTTGGCTTTCTAGTGAAATGAAGCAAATTGAATATTATATTGTTTTCATATATTGAATTTAAAATACTCAACCACTATCATGAAACTGTGGATTGTTATATTCTGTCTGACGTCTAATTTTTAAGCACTATTTTTGTCTCTTTATTCCCTTCACATACAGAAAAGAAAAAAAGGCTCCCTAATTTTCAGAGGTCTCTCTATACACTGAATATAATACTAACTCATGAATCTTTATTTCACTGTGTCCAACCTATGCTTCAGAAGGCTGAAAACAGATGTACTCGCATGTGGTTTTAATCTATTTCATGCTGCTCCATTTCTAAGTAACAAGTACCAATTTCATAAGCGAGAAAAAACATGCATAACAATAAGATACAATATTCCCCAAATAATCATCTAGGCATCTACAGCAATAAAATAGTTTTCTGTCCAGGTGAAGAAAAACTTGATAAGCCTAATAATATTGTAGCAATGCACAAGCTGCCACCTGGGAGATCAAAATTCAAAATCAGCCTGTAGCTCAGGCTCTAAGCTTATGAGACTGAGTGTGCAGCAAAGAAAATGAATTCGGTCTCTGGGGAAGAGCTTCTGAGGATTGTCACTGGTGTTGGTTATGGAGAAGGCAATACACAATTTCGCGGATAAAAATAACATCCAGACTTGCCAGCTGACCAGAGAAAGGACAGGGAGATAAGGAATGAGGAGAACCCTTTCCCCACCGCACAAAGAGCTAAATCCCTGTACATAGAAAAAATCATAGTAGCCTCAAAATTCTTAGAAAAGCAATTAAAAATAAGTTATAAAAAAACCTAATACGAATTATGAAAGCTATGTACTCCTTTGAACATTTGTTTAAAAAAAAATAAGTTTTCCAACAAACCAGTTGGAATCAATAACACATTCATAAAGAAATTCAAAAACTGTACTTGAACGTTCCTAGGACTATTAAGCATTTTGTTGATAGTAAAAATAAAGTTTTTTAACCGCATTACAGTAAGGGAATTTTTTTGTTCCAAAATGAAAAATACAAATTAAGTTTTCTAGCTCTTTTGAAAATTTAAGTTAATAATAGCCACACCAATAGATTCAACTGGTAGTTCCCGTAGCAATTTTAGGCCGTATTAAACACATACACACACAAACTGCATACCTATGAGGAACCAGAAATGAAAGAGAAAAATAAATGAGGTCATTCATAATTTTTTATGAAATTATTTTTAAGATTATTAAAGTTGTCTTTGAATTGTAAAGTCTAAAACAATCAAATCTTTTAATTTTTTTTTCTGAGTGGTATACTGTTCTCTACTAATCTCAGAATTAACACGAATTTTCTTCTCTTTCCTTTTTGTGACGGAGTCTCTCTCTTCTGTTGCCCAGGCTGGAGTGCAGTGGCCCGATCTCGGCTCATTGCAACCTCCGCCTGCCAGGTTCAAGCAATTCTCCTGCCTCACCCTCTGGAGTAACTGGGACTACAGGTGCACACTACCACGCCCGGATAATTTTTCTGTTTTTAGTAGAGATGGGGTTTCACCATGTTGGCCAGGCTGGTCTCGAACTCCTGACCTCAGGTGATGCACCCACCTGGCCCTCCCAAAGTGCTAGGGTTACAGGTGTGAGCTACCACACCTGGCTAATGTCAATTTTCTATTTTCTGTTTCTAAGGAAGCAGAGCACTAGAAGAGTATTTTATTTATTTATTTTCAAAATGAATTGGTAGGTGTTAGATACCTATTTCAAAATGACAATGTGTTTTTTTAAGTTATTCAAATTTTATTATCTTTATTACCTTTAAACAAAATTTCACAATAGAATGAACCACTGTTAAAATCAAGCATAGTATTCCTAAAATAGCTATCTAAATCAGAAGATAGTTTGACAAGAAATAAAATGTTACCCTGAGCAAAAACAATGTCTTGGCAGTGATAGGCTACAATGATACAAAGGTCATGGTCTTGTTTGAAAAAGAAAACAAGCGTAACTATAATCTGGCATTTTAGATCCATGCACTCATCTGTGAATTCTTTACTGCTCTTTGTAGGAAAAAACACACAAGCTTCCTGTAATATACTCAAGCCAGATTGGCACCTAAACTTAAACTGAAGCTGGCTTTTTTGATGAGCATGAAAGCAGACTTACATGTTTAGTAATAATACATGTAATTTCTTTAGTGTCTTCTATGAATTAGGCAATACGCTGAAATCTATAGCTGCATCATATTATGTCATCCTCACAGCCACCACAGACTGTAGTGACAGAGTGGCCGTTTAACCAGATCTGATTCCAAAAGCCACTGTCTTTCTATTCCATCACGTTGCAGTCTATAAATCACTATTTTACAAAATCTGTATGTTCCCAGATTAGATCAATCAGACTTAATTTATTTTGTCATCAGACCTAACTTTTGATTATCCCTATAATATCAGCTTAAAGAAACTTAATTTAGTAAAAATTGGTAAGGAGAACTTAAAAAGAGAATATAGAATAAAGGCAGAACTTTAAACAATTATCCGTTGAGCAAATTAGAAGAAAAAAATCTGATAGAGATGTCCTGGCTAAAACTGATGGCCAAGGAAATTCTATTGTTAATCGTATCAGAATACTGTGTGCTGGCCAGGTGCAGTGGCTCACGCCTGTAATCCCAGCACTTTGGGAGGCCAAGGTGGGTGGATCACCTGAAGCTAGGAGTTCAAGACCAGCCCAACCAACAAGGTGAAACCCCATCTCTACTAAAAATACAAAAATTAGCCAGGCGTGGTGGCAGGCGCCTGTAGTCCCAGCTGCTTGGGAGGCTGAGACAGGAGAATTGCTTGAACCCAGGAGGCAAAGGTTGCAGTGAGCTGAGATCGTGCCACTGCACTCCAGCCTGTGCAACAGAGCAAGACTCTTGTCTCAAAAAAAAAAAAAAAAGAATAATGTGTGCCAACTCTTTTATCTAACCTAAGTATTAGTTAGAGGCTTGCTTCTTAAAATGTCACATAACAAGTTGTTTCTATCCACTGCTGTTTGTAACCTATATTTTCTGTGATAAAAACCATAGGCACTTAGAAAATGATTTCTAATTACTTATTATCTGTAGTACCTAGTGTATGGGAAGCTCTTTTAAAATGTGCTGAAAGAATTAAACACATTAAGAATATACAAATGTTCTTTAACTACTTTTTCCATACTTTTTTTTTTTTTTTTTTTTGAGACAGGGTCTTAAAGAGCAGGAACACAGCTCACTGCAGCCTCAACCTTCTGGGCCCAAGTGATCTTCCTGCCTCAGCGTCCCATGTAACTGGGAACATAGGTGTGGGTTGCTATGCCTGGCTAATTTTTTTTTTTTTTAAATGTTTGTAGAGACCAGGTCTCACCATCTTGCCCAGACTGGTCTTGAACTCCTGGGCTCCAGCCATCCTCTACCTCAGCCTCCCAAAGTGCTGGGATTATAAGCGTGAGCCACCGCACCAGACCTTAACTTTTTAAAAAAAAAAAAAAAATTATTTTATTATATAAAGACAGGGTCTGTGTTTTTTTCTTTTTCAAATTACTTTATTATATAGAGACAGGGTCTTGCCATGTTGCCCAGGCTGGTCTCAAACTCCTGGGCTCAAGTGATTCTCCCTCCTTTACCTCCCAAAGTGCTAATTATAGATTCACAGCAAGTTGCAAAAGTAGTACAGAGAAAGCCTCATGTACCCTTTATCCAGTGTTCTCAAATGGCAACATTTTACATAACTATAATACAAAACCAGGAAATTGACATTGGTACAACCCACAGACCTTATTCATATTTTTCCTTTAGCTATTTTTTAAGAGTGTACAATTTTTCTGGTGCTAGAAATAGCACCTTAGACTCTTCATTTTTCTGAAGAGAAAACAAAGGGTCCAAGAGGCTGAAGACTACCCAAAGTCAGAGTGCTAAAAAGTAGCAAAAATAAAGCCAATTCTGAGTGGGAGATCATCTTTCCACAGCTATATAGCATGCATCTACACTAAAGTCATCCACCAGAATTCCATGAGAAACTCAGTAAAGACCTTCCAAATATTCTTATTTCAAAGGTATCACATCAGATGGATGCCTATTTTTTACACATTATTTTTCTTCCCTCTCTCCAGAAACCTAAAAGCTTTCTTCATTAAAACAATATTATCACTATTGGTCTACTGAAAAATACATAAAATGTTTTTCTGCATCAGTAACATGATAAGCCAAACTCAAAGGGAAACTAGGCTAAGCAGGTCACCAGTTGAAACAACAGGCTGCCTTGTCACCTTTGACCTCAGTGCAAAGCTCTATGTCTGGCACAAAGCAGTGTCATAAACATTGAATCACTGAATGAATGAATGAATGAATGAATGAATGAAGGAGCCAACAGCTTAAGTGGGATGACCAAATATACCAAACATTCTAAGTTTCTTAAAAAAAAAAAAAAAAAAAAAAACCTGCTTTCTAATAAACTGATATTTTTATCCAGAAAAATGTTTTATTTTGTGAGATACTTTTCCCAAAATCAGAGGAAAGGCCCTTAGGAAATATCTAGTCTTGCAATTTTCATTCTTGGCTACATGTTAGCATCACCTGAGATATTAAAAAATAACTTTGGGAGGCCGAGGCGGGCAGATCATTAGGTCAGGAGATCGAGACCATCCTGGCTAACACGGTGAAACCCCGTCTCTACTAAAAATACAAAAAATGAGCCGGGCGTGGTAGTGGGCGCCTGTAGTCCCAGCTACTCGGGAGGCTGAGGCAGGAGAATGGCGTGAGCCTGGGAGGCGGAGCTTGCAGTGATCACGCCACTGCACTCCAGCCTGGCGACAGGGCAAGACTCCGTCTCAAAAAAAAATAAAAACATGCAAGCCCGCACCCCATGTATGGAATGGGGTCCAGACATCTACATTTTATTTTTAAAGCACCCGGGTAATTCTACGTCTTTATAAAGGTGAAGAAATTGAGGCCTAGTCAAACAGAATGTCTTATTCAAGATAACACAACTTGTCAGTAACATGAGACTAGAATCCATGTAGAAACAGTATTTTTTTTTAACATAATACATAGAAAAAAATTCTGAGAACTACAGAACTTCATTTTAACTTTGAAACTATTGGTTATTTTTTAAAACATGAAAGTAGGCAAAAATTCTACCAACATGTGAACTGTTCCTGGGACATAATCACTGTCATAAGTAGGTAGACATAAACAACTAAGACACTGAGAAGTTATTGCCTGAGATATAAAAAAAATAATAATAAGGTATGTAGTTGGTGTCTTTGAGATAATTGCCCATTCTTGGCAATTAGTACTCACGTAGTACTCTTACCTGGTATCACGATGGCTCCACTATAGAGGTTCATCAAGTATGTTGGATTTTTTAACAACAAGAGGTATATGTGTAAAATTGATAGAACTTACTGCATACAAAGTGACTCCATAATATTTGCCATACTGTGTATCAGATTAAATAGTTAATACACATTTAAAACTATTGTCTGAAATCAATTGGGTATATTTCTAAACTTACCTTTAATGGTATCATTTTCAGCTCTCATTATGTCAATGAGTGAACTCTCCAGTGAGTGCATGTCGAATGTCCTGGGGCGATCCTGTAGACACAAACAGCCACAAACCACTTTTTAAAATAGCATTTAAATATAAAAGAGGACAGTAAGTTTCATTAGATGGGACACAGATCACAAAGTAGCAATTTTACTCTCTATGTAAGGCACATTATTACTAAATGTTATTATTAACACCAAACATCAAAAACCACAAAAGTAAGTACACAGGGCTCAGCAAAGAGTGATTTGACTTCTAACAATAATTTCAACAAAAGCATCACATTTATTCAGAAAGCCAAAACCATTAAAACGAATTTCTGTATTAGTTAAGAACATTACATAAGTGTAAAAAAAAAAAATTCTTTCCCATCACTTAAGATTGCAAAAACGTGGCAAAGCTTTCCAAACTTGTCCCACTAGTTATCTGCTAGACTGGTACCTGTATGTGCTGTTCAAAATAGCTATATTTTCTTATAAGGCAAAGTTTAAAAATAGTCATCGAATGATTGTAAGACTATTAAATGGTAAAGCATACAAAAAAAAAAATGAGAGAAATCTTTTTTTTTTTTTGAGACACAGTCTCACACTGTTCCAGGCTGGAGTACAGTGGTGCGATCTCAGCTCACTACAACCTCTGCCTCCCGGGTTCAAATAATTCTTGTGCCTCAGCCTCCAGAGTAGCTGGGATTACAGGCACCCGCCACCAAACCCGGCTAATTTTCTGTATTTTTAGTAGAGATGGGGTTTCACCATGTTGGCCAGGCTGGTCTTGAACTCCCGACCTCAAAGGATCCACCTGCCTAGCCTCCCAAAGTGCTGGGATTACAGGCATGAGCCACCAGATCCAGCCAAGATAAATTATATACTTATTTTAAGAAAATAAAAATACTGATTTATTCATCTCTATATATTATCAAAGTTGTTCTTGACTGTTAATGATTTGCCTTCTCTGAAGATTTGTTTTTAAAACTAATAATCTATATAGAAAGTTGAAAAAAAATCTCCTTCCTTCCAAAAATCATGTAAAAAAAAAAAATTTCGTAGACTCTCCCTTCCCCCAACATAAAAATAAATCTGGAATAATGAAGCACAGAAGCTGCTCTCATTACTGTCACGAGGCTTTCTCTAAGGAGAAGGATGAGAATAGCAATAGAGAACTGCTGAAGCATGTTCTGTCCCTCCCTGCCCCCAATGCAACGTGTTATTAGGTCCCCAAACAACCCAGTCATTACTTCTGGTAAATAAAGAATAAAAGGATCAGAGTTAGAATAAGAGTTAGAATTTAGATGAGAAAGCAAAACAAAACAAAACAAAACAAAATCTCAATTCTTATTTACTCTCAACTTGCAAAATTAGGCTTGATTTTGTTGCATTAAAATTAAAGGGAAGGAAGAGTGTGGGGTACATTGCTGACCTAAACCCCTAGCTTAACCAAGTGCGTTTCAAGAGTGGGTATGGAATCCTAAAATATACAACATCCCAAGTGCTCTGACATTCCTCAGGATGAAGAGTACTAGAGACAACTAAAATTAAGGTTTAGCTTGATACATTGAAAGTAGGAGATGAAAACATTTTAAAATTAAACTGAGACAAAGCAATAATACATGCTCTGACCCACCTTAAGGATACTGTACATAAACACACAAAGGCCACTGCAAGAATATTAAAGAAAAAGGGGATCCCAAAGGAATCTGCAAGCAGAATTCTAAAACTTCTATTCAATTATATTTCCTTTTACATTACAATTTAAATTCAAAGCTTTGACTTTATTTTTTAAAACATCACCTCCTAATTGTATCCCCTTCATTTTTCTACTTTCCTAGCTAACTTCTAGAACATCTAAGCTGACAGAGGATGTCCTCCACTTGAGAGCATTTTTATTTTTTATTTTTTTTGGATGGACCTAACATTTCTCTTCTGTGCTTTTGTAACACATCTTACCCCACATGATTCTTCTGCTTCCCTGAAATAGGGACCACTCCTCCTGACCCCATCTCATCATGCAGATATTCAGTAATGTGCGCTGAGTGGTTTTATAATACCACTGCAACTTGAGGAGTCCAGGGACAGTATATTTAGGTAGAATCTAATATTACAGGTAAGAGACAGTATTTCAAGTTTTCCCCCAGGGGTGGGAAGGTTAGGGTGAGGATGAGGATGGGGAAGAGTGAACACGTGCCTTACCATTCTATCCTGCTCTAAACTGGTATGACTCCCTCCAGAACATCTTTGCCCCACCTCTTCCACCGGATTCTTTCCTCATTATCCTCATCTCCTGAACAAGATCTATCTATAGAGAGGCAGGAGTATACATGGCCAGGATCAGACTAAGGTTTAGTATTCCCAAAAGAGAGAAGCTGTTCTGTGTTTACACTTCCTCATTTCAAGCACTAAATTAAGTCAAAACCTGCATATTCTTTCAGAAGCCAAGTAGACTTGAGGCATTATTTGAGGTTTAGAAGTTAATATAAAATTACACTATCTCATTCTATAGTTGCTGGATATGTTCTATTTCAGCAATGAACCACACCTTTAAAAGGGCCATCCATTTCCATCTCCAACACAAACCAGTCTTGGAGGCAATAATTCCTGGTGTCTGTTCACTTGGCTGTGTCCTCTGACTGTGAGCTTCCCAAGAGCAGGAACTATGTCTCACATCAAATATTTCCAGTATGCCTACCACAACAGGGTGATGGTGCGCCAAGTCAGTCATGTCCTAAGCCCACAAGACTGTCCAAAAGAGCCTGAGGTGGCAGGAGCTTCCTGGCAGATGATCTCCGTTTAAAAATTATCATTTTCTATGTGTGTCATGATGTAAAACTGGTTAAGAAGCACTGTCCTGTATTTCTGTATTACTCTGCCTCACATAGGTCTTGGCAGGTAGAAAGCATGCAAATGTTTGCTAAATCAATGAATGGATGTATTCCTTCATGTAATTTTTAAACATTTAAAATATTCTCTGCTACTTCCTTAAGATTTATTTGTCTTTATATTTCCCCCTTTCCCTCTAAAGAGCTGTATGTTTTCTTTTGGGGGAGGGGAGGAATTAAGTTTAGTGTTGTTTTTCATGCAACTAACAGAGTAAGCAACCTTATGAATTTCCGGAACATGCATTTTGCAATCACTGAATGACAAGAGCACTGAAAAGAAGCAATTGATAAAAAATATAGACTGGTTTTGTTTGGTTTGTTTTATAAGAACTATTTCCAGTAAGTCAAGAAGCCTCCTTTTTACCTGTAAGTTTTTGTTTTTGTTTTTCTACCTACAGGTTTTGTTGTTGTTGTTGTTGTTGTTGTTGTTTTGAGACGGAGTCTCGCTCTGTTGCCAGGCTGGAGTGCAGTAGCGTGATCTAGGCTCACTGCAACCTCCGCCTCCCGGGTTCAAGCGACTCTCCTGCCTCAGCCTCCTGAGTAGCTGGGACTAAAGGTGCGTGCCATCACGCCCCACTAATTTTTGTATTTTTAGTATAGACGGGGTTTCACTATGTTGGCCAGGATGGTCTTGATCTCTTGACCTTGTGATCCGCCCACCTTGGCCTCCCAAAGTGCTGGGATTACAGGTGTAAGCCACCATGCCTGGCAACCTATAGGTTTTTAAATGTGGTATTATGAATGGAATTTAGTAAACTATTCCACACTTTCCTCCCACTACCCTGCCCCATGGGCACCCCAAGCATATTGTGGGAAACATAAAGATTTTTGCTGACTTCTAACTGGTAAAGTACATTAAAACTAAAATCCTAAATTAAATTTTAAATTTTCAGTAATGTTTTATGAAATGAAAAGAAATTCTCCACCCTTTTTACACTAATTTTTAGTAATGATACTAATTTTTTCCTATAATTTGTTACAGTTTAATACAGGGATGACAAGTAAATACAAATACACAAAGTTTGTTCAATTGGTACTATTAGATGCAAGGTGTTTTGAGAAGGATTCTCAGGCTCTACAGGGACTCAGAAGGAAACTGCCTCCACAGACTGCTGCAAGGTATAAGGTCCGATGACACAAGTACTTCATTCTTGCCAAACCTAGTCTAATATGTATTCTTCCCCACAACCCAAACTTATTAGCAAGTATAGTTTACTACAAACATTTTGTTTATGATGCTTTGGTAATTCAAAGAGTTCAAAAGCCACATATTTTGTCAAGTAAACATTCTGTTCTCAGAGCAGGTTTTAAGATTGCCATTCTTGATTTACTCCCTCACTGATCTTTTCTGTCCATTTTTAACAACTAATTTAAAAAAATCCTAAAATGTGTCTGTACCATTAGGAAATAGATAAAGGGGACACAGATAAACAAACCCAAAGTATAAGAACAGTACAAACAATGCTGGTTTTCCTATGCAACAACGAAAGAGTCAAATCAAAAGAATAAGAGTGCTTTGATTTCCATATTTCATTCTTCAATTTTGCCTTTTTAAATTGTTAATTGGATCAAATATAACCACTGACCTATTTTCTAGAATCCATTTCCCAAAGATTAACTGTAAAATAGAAACCTTGTTAGGTGATGCTCTTCTTGATTGAACTTGAGCTAATGACCAAAACATGAACATTAGCATAAATGAGTGGAATGGGCATTAGACACTAGGAAGCTTCAACTCTGCCTGTCGTATTTTATGAGCTTGGGCACTTTCGTCCTTTATACCTCTTTTCTGGTCCATAAAAGGAGTGGTTTGATTGGATCTCTGATGTCCCTGTCCTAACTCCAAAATACATTTGTATTCTAGCTTTTTGATATCCTAACATGTCTTGTTCTTTCAAGATTTACAGTTTAAATTATGACAATTATGGCAGGAACCAAAAATAAGGATGAGAATTTATTAATCAAAGTCCACCACTTTTGCCCACTAATCAAAGTCCATCACTTTTGCCCACAAAAAGGCAAGGGTCAGTGATCAATTAGTAAGAAAATGATCACTTAGAGTCTTAAAAGGACAATCACAGCTGGGTACAGTGGCTCACACCTGTAATCCCAGCACTTTGGGAGGCCGAGGTGGGCAGATCACAAGGTCAGGAGTTCGAGACCAGCCTGCCCACAACATGGTGAAAAAATACAAAAATTAGCTGGGCGTGGTGGCAGGTGCCTGTAACCCCAGCTACTTGGGAGGCTGAGGCAGGAGAATCGTTTGAACCTGGGAGGCGGGGTTGCAGTGAGCTGAGATCACACCATTGCACTCCAGCCTGGCGTTAGAGCGAGACTCCATCTCAAAAAAAAAAAGACAATCATGGCATTTTAATTATGCTACATAAAACATAAAATAAGCTTCTTTCAAAAAAAATCTACTTAAAAAATTTGCTGGGGGACAGAAGAGTGAAGTGTGCTGCTTTCAGATAGATTATTAAAGAATCTCTTATAAAACAAAAGATACTGACAACTCAATTTGCTTTCAACCCCACTGCCAGTTTCTCTTGGCACCCTAAAGGGAGAAATTAGAAAAGCAGACCTACCCTTTATTGAGCATCTACTAAGCACCTGATATTATTCTAGGTACTTGATAAACACTGTCTTAATTAATCCTCAAATCTTCTAAGTTACATTTTTTTATTATTATTATTATTATTATTATTATTATTATTATTATTATTATCTGAGACAGGGTCTCACTCTGTTGCCCAAGTTGGAGTGCAGTGGCACAATCACAGCTCACCACAGCATCAAACTCCTGGGCTCCAGTGATCCTCTGGCCTCGGCCTCCCAAGTAGCTGGGACTATAGACATGAGCTACTGTACCCAGCCTATTACTCCTATTTTAATAATAAAAACTGAGACTAAAGAAAACTTACACAATTTACTACACAGATTGGTTACTGCATAGTTTAGTGGCATAGTCAGATTCAAACCCAAGTCTTACTATAAACCAAGTAAGTGATCCTTCCTTGGGTAGGGTAATGATCATGGCAAAGAACCATACTAATTAAGACATACATTTGAATAAAGGAGGCACTCTAAGGGTTCTGAGGGTATGAATATGCTGGCTAGTGCCTGGCAAACAGTAGGCACTCAAATATTACTTATATTTTACTTATACAAATATTACCTTTTATATTTTACCTATACAAATGATATATATCAGAGGTACTAAAACCATAAGAAGAGAAAGAGAAATCTTATCTTCCTTTTCCCCATTGAGATGACAGAGTGGCATACAAATTAGAGACCCATCATAAATGCATCTCTGGGTTATCTACTAACCACAGGAGTACTGGTGGTAGTAACAGTACTAATAGGATTACTATCAGCAGCTAACATTATGGGTTACATTCATAACCTCATTTATTCTTCACAAAACCCTGATACAATTAGATATGTTCAGTTATTATCCCACTTCACAGATGAAGAAACTGAAGCTTCGAGTATTTAAATAATTCCATCAATGTTAGGTAAGTGGAGGCAGAATGTGAACCCAGACCTTCTGACTCTAGAACATGTGAGCTTAGTAATCATGAAGGAAAATAAAAGATCACCAATGATTTTCAAGGCTAAGCAAAGCAAACTTTATCACAATGCTTAAACCTCATCATATTCTGTAGTCTTAATTATTATATTTAATATACTGAGTTGCATGTCAGTAACTGGTTAGTTTCAGTTTCTGTCATCTCTACTTCACAGGACAATTTCTAAAAGAAAGACCTTATGATACCACTATGAAAATCAAAGTTGATAAAAATAAGCTTCTGACAAAACAAAATGAATGTTTCAGAGAGGACCCTTGTTTTTAGTATACACCTGAATAATACTGCCTGCCAGGGCAAAATGGGAAGACCTACATCAGTATATAGCTAATGACAAGGCTTTTCATGACATTCCAGAAGCTGCCACAAGCAGCACGTGAACCTGCTGGTCTGTTCCTATCAGGAAAAACAACCAAATTGTAATTATGCCACAGACCAAAATAATCATTTGTGGCCATTTTTTTTTAACATCCAGATGGCTGATCTAAGCCAGCGTTTCTCATACTTGAGAGTACGTCAGAATCACCTGGAGTTCTTGTTAAAATACAGATTACTGGGTCCATCCCCACAGTCTCATTCAGCATGGGTCGTGTCCAAGAATTCCCATCTCTGACAAGTTTCCAAATGACACCAGGGATTACTCTTTGAGAACCACGGAGTTAAGCAAATCCATTCAACAGGTTAACTTCATTAGATCCTTAGGGGTGTGCTTTATAGCTTTTATCCTAGTTGGCCAGCTATGATGCAGTCCAGCTTAAATATTCTACAGGAACTACTGTATGATTTCCTTATGAAGAGAAGGGCTTTGCTCTCAAAACCTGAAACAGCTCTGTCTTTCAAGTTCTAAGGTCCATACCTTTGGAAAGATTAAAATAAAGTTCAATTTCACCAAAACAAAATTCCTTAAGAAAAAGCATCAAGAGGTGAGTGGCTCACCATTAAGAACAAACAAAATACAAATTTGGTGCTTGAATTTTCACAATAAAATACTATCTCTGGCATCCATATACCCCATATCTTAAGCATATAGCTTTTTTTTTTTTTTTTCATTCAGCTACATGGAATATCTGCCATTCAGGTATTTACTACTGACATGTCTTCTCTCTCTCACAACTGGTCAAATGCCCTACAAGCCAAGATAAACAGTCTAAACAAAGGATATGCTAATTACTCATTCCTTCAGATTCAACCTATTTATCAAGTCACATCATCAGAAAATACATAGTATATACTGGTCCCTTTGGACTTGCTTTTATAGAATTATGGCTTAACAGCATGATCTCAGATTTTAATAAGCAGAAAATATTAGTAACTGCTGTTTGTTAAACATCTATGAATTTTCTTGTAAAATTTGTCAGCAATGGAAAAATTCATTGTCTGTCAACGCCCCATGATTAGAAACCTGCAAGGCAAATTTCTCTCAAAAATATTTCACTCTTGTTTAAAAGTATGCTTATTTTCATTAGAGAATGAGATCTACATCACCCATCATGTTACATTTTTGTCTTGGATGCTGGGGTGTTCACAGTTAGGTTATGTGCTCACAGGCAAAAACTGTACTGAGTTTAAATGTTCTCATCTAAATATAACCCATGCTACCCACCACCACCACCACCACTCTATTATTGCTTCTTTTTATACTTGAGCTAGTATGTTTTGGCATTACTAGACTGAGTCTAAAACACAAAAGGTAATTAATTGAATGTAACCACATTATTAAGAACCAAAGCCAAAATTCAGCTATCCCTTGACTCATTCTATTTCTATAAAAACATATATTACTGTGATCATCATTTCTCAGACTGCTACATATCTGTACCAGGCTACAGAAGTTTCTCTTTCTGGCTTAAACTTTCCCTGGTAAAGAAGGGAAGGGAAAATATTTTGGTTTGAAAGGAAAGTGTACGCCAGTGTGTCAGCTGCCAAAATAAATAGAAATTTTGAGATGCCAGTAGAGCCCATAATTAATCAAAGGTAACTATGGGAGTTTTAATTCAAGATTTGCCAAAATGTAAATATTCCTCTTGAATTAAATAATATGTAAATTCACAGATCATCAAGAGTGGACTATCCAGTCAACTTTCAAGATTCCACTTCCAAATGACCCTCACATCCCTACACAGGCAGCAAATCCCTTTTCCCTTATGTCTCCCTAGCACTCTGACATCCCACAAGATAGTGATAAGCTCTGTATGACAGAGCTTATACTATCACCATGCGCCATGAGCTTCACTCATTTTCATATCCACAGCTTGTAGCATGCCGTAAAGCCATCGCCACTGATATAGAAAGTGGCTAACATGTTCCTCCTGGCTCTGTGTTGTGCATCTTACATGAATTACATAACATTTACATATATTAGTTCCTCACAACCATCATATGAAGTCAGTACTGTCATTTATTTTCCCCATCGTAGGCAAATGAAGCTAGGAGAAGTTAACTAATTGCCCTACAAAGTCACACAGTAAGTGGTCGAGTCTGACTTCAGAGCAGATGTTCAGGAAAAGTGGTTTAAGTGAAGTTTTGTTTGGGCCTAGAATTTTTGCTCTATTATTACCTGCCAGGTATGAAATCCTTCACTATATATACGTGGCCTGAATGAAGACAACGAGCATCAGAGATTAAAGTTAAAGTGGTAATTATCTGAAGCAGGAGGGACCACATTTAACAGCATCTCATATTTCTTTGCAAGTTCCCTCTTCAATCAGTACTTTTTCATTATAGCTCCTGTAATGAAGGTAGAGTCTAACAGATCTTAGGTTACCACATGTTCCCTAATAGAATTATGATCTACAACTAAATGAATGAATGTCTTCAGTGTATTACCTTGGATCAACAGCTCCATTTGGTTGCCATGTTAATTGACAAATAAGATCTCTCCAGAAAGCCTCTGAGAACATTTTTTATTGCACCTTTACTAAATAAATCACATTCATTTTGAGCATTATAAATCCTTAAAATGATAAACATTTCTTGTCATCACTTATTTGTATTAAAAAACCAAATGACCATTCTAGGCTTGATTAGTCAGTCAGTTCCTGAATCAATAGACCTTTTCTTCTTCTTGACAATTTGTTCATACTAATCTTGCCTAGCAGAGAGAAATAATTAAAATCTATCACAAGCTTTGATACTTGTGATACTAAGTATCAAACATACTAAGCAAGTGATCTTGATGCTGCAATATCATTGAACCTTAATTTCATCAGCAAAACGAGGATAATAGCACCTCCCTTATAAATCTGTAGTGAAAAGCCAGTGAGATAAGGTATATGGGCAGCAGGAGCACAAAGCATGGCGGTTAGTGAACTCATTCAATAAACATTTCTCTGCCCCTTCTATGGTGCAATGAAAAAAAGCATGAAACTCACATTTTAAATTAGATATCGGTTGTATCTGAATAAGTCAGTGATTCTGTGCTATTTTCTATAACCTGTTTTCATAGAGATAATCAAAATATGTTCAAACCTATGACCCCAAAACTATCAGTATAAGACTTCTCCCTAATAAACTATTCAGGGCAAGAAGTCATTAGTTCAAGGAAAGCAGGTAAACAATACTAACACTCAGCCTTGAGGAATGAAGTTATTTAGACCTCAACTGGCTGTTAGAGTTCCTGTTCTCCATGTCTGCTAGGTCTGAGCAGGGTCCGGCGTCAGCAGGGAGAGGGGTCCACCCTAATGTACAACTTTTTTTTTTTTTGAGACAGAGTTCCGCTGTTGTTGTCCAGGCTGGAGTGCAATGGCGCGATCTCGGCTCACTGCAACCTCTGCCTCCTGGGTTCAAGTGATTATTCTGCCTCAGCCTCCAGAATAGCTGGGACTACAGGCGCCCGCCACCACACCAGGCTAATTTTGTATTTTTAGTAGAGATGGGGTTTCTCCATATTGGTCAGGCTGGTCTCGAACTCCCGACCTCAGGTGATCCGCCCACCTCAGCCTCTCGCAGTGCTGGGATTACAGGCGTGAGCCACCACACCTGGCCAATGCACAACCTTTATTCCTAAACTGAAGCTTATGTCTTGTAACCCTCGACATCTCTTCTGTGAGCCTTGACAGTGATCTCAAAAGGCAGCTTGTGCCCAGCCTCCACATTTCCAGACTCTCACAACACCCCCCGACCCCCATCCACAGTTCTCCAGAATCTCCTGGGCAGAAGGCACTCCTCAACACTCAAGCACAAAGAGGAGGTCACTGGCCAGTGCACTTCAGGAGCAGAAGTATCACGTTTGCCATAGCTAAGCATCCTCAGCCCATGGCCCTTCAAAAGCATCAAACATTTGTGCACTGAAAGCAAGCAAGAAATGTAAAAAGTTGATGCAGTCTAAAAGTCTGCAAGGGACCCCAAACCTCTACATTCCTCTTAAAAAACAGAAAAACAAAAAAGACAGCAACCATAAAAGCTCAGTCCTGTCCTGTTCTCTCACTCATCTTTCCTTTCAGAGGTCTTGCCCACAAGTCCACAGAAGTGTGAACCTAGAGAAAGGATAAGATGAAGGGAGGAAAACGGTATACTCTCCTCCCAAATTTCGAATCACTAGCTGGTATTTGGGTGCTTTAACTGGATCTCTTATTTTTCTATGTTACAGAAAGAGAAGATGAAGCCAACAGTGGTCCACCACTATTGGCACCAGGTTGAGCAGTGAAACAGACTGAGCAGGTACAACAGAAATGTGGGCCTTGCTTCAGTTTCTCACTACCCTTCTTTAAAAAAACAACTTGAAAAAAATTTTAATGTTTTCTCTTAAAGACTCCTCTAGAGACACATACTGAACCATTTACAGATGAAATAATATGATATGAAGCAATTGCTTCAAAATAATACAAATGGGGAGAGAGAGGATTAAGGGTATAGATGAAACAAGATTGTCCAGGAGCTGATAATTGTTGAAGCCAGGTGACACATACATGGGAGTTCACTAGACTATTCTGTCTACCATGGAATATATTTAAATTTTTCCATAATAAAAATTTAAGAAGACATGGGTCAGGGGGTGCTTTACCAAGAGAGAAAAAAAATATCACCAGTTGGTCACTTTCAGCAGTGTTCAAGAAAATCAGTGTGTCATCTAGCCTCAGTCCCACCATTATTTAAGTATAGTGACTTTAGGAATTGTATTTTATTTATTTAAAATTAAGTTCAGGCCAGGTGCGGTGGCTCACGCCTATAATCCCAGCACTTCCGGAGGCCAAAGCGAGCGGATCACCTGAGGTCAAGAGTTCGAGACCAGCCTGGCCAACATGGTGAACTAAAAGGTACAAAAATTAGATGGGCCTGGTGGCACATGCCTGTAGTCCCAGCTACTGGAGAGGCTGAGGCACGAGAATTGCTTAAACCCAGGAGGTGGTGGTTGCTGTGAACCAAGATCGCGCTACTGCACTCTAGTCTGGGCAACAGAATGAGACCTTGTCTCAAAAAATAAAATTAAGTTCAAATTATCACACACCAGTTACACACGGGTTTTCAGATTTTAAGAAATTGTGCTATATTTTGAATAAAACTTTGACTTAATATTTCTGTTTGATGAGTTGCTTTCTTAAAACAATAGAATCTTCTAGAAGCCAAATATTAGACATATTTCATTTTATCCTCAAAAATACCAGACAAAAGAAATGAGAAAATAAAGGACCCAGAAGGTGCTGTAGCTTGCCTAGGTCACATAGCTAATGAATGGCCGAGCCATATCTGGAACCCAGATCTGACTTCCATTAACTGAGATAGTTTTCTAATAACATTTTTTCAGAGTATGTGAATATTCTGAGTCACGTTCTTATATTTTTATTTTTTTAAGGTCTCATAGACAATAAAATGGCAGCAACTATTTTACTGACTAGTACCATGATCCTATTGACTAGATGCATTCCTCAAGAATACCTGGAAGAACTATTATTTAAATTGTTACATGGTATTTTAAAATAAATATAGATTTAAAATATATAATACTGAGGAACTAATTATAACTTAGTTTTGGTCTACTAAAAAATGATTAGAATATATCTGATAAATCTTTAGCAAATAGAAATTGCCCAACCAAAATAACCTACAATATAAAATGCGCTTGTACAGCTTAAAGCTTTGAACTTGAATAATTCCATTTGTAAACATGAATGAGCACCTATAGGTAGCTGATGGAGTTTTTCTTTGGCATGTAACAGGACCAGAATTCTGCTATCCAAGTTAAAGTTTGCCTTTTGTGGTACCATTTTGTCATAGAATGTAAATCAGCACATGTTATATATAAACATACGGTAACTTATACGAGTGTGTATTTATAATTGATAATTACACTTTCCAAATATTTTTCCAAAAACATTATAATTTTCTAAAAATTTAAAATTTCCAAATATAAGCATATATTTATAAACACATTAATGACTACGTTAATAAAAAAGTTTGGAAATGCCATTTATACAATTTTTTGTTATAGCTAAAATTGAATGTTAGTTTGCCTTAATGATTAAACAATTTATAGATTAAAATGAAACTATTGGGCTAGTTGATAATTTGTTTATAATATTTAAGAGAAAAAAATGCATGTTCAGTCTTACTCAAAGATTAGCACAGGTCAAAAATACATTACAAACCATGTTACTGATTCATTTTTTATGACAGTCCTGTGCTTAGTCCATAACATAGTAGGTGCTCCAATAAATGTGTGCTAAATACATTAAAATATTTTTTAAAAACTCTTGATTCCAGGATAAAAGCCAAACTATTCTCAATTCAAATCTATGGCACCCTTTCATATCTCTTACTGAAAAATCATAAATTCTCCATTAAAATGTAGTCTCCTTTAATGTATGCAAAAGCAATCACATGTTCTAAAGTTCTTAATAAAACAACTGTGGCCAAAATCTTTCAAAATCCTGAAAGAAACAGGCTGTCAATGCTAATGAAAGTTTAAGCTTATATTTAATTAGAAAACTTCTCTTCGAGAAAATTGATAATTCTGCTAAATATTTTATCTGTCTGGGGTTGCATCTATAGCTTATTCAATAAAGCATATATAGCAAGATAAGCATGACTAAAATATTTCACAGTAACACAAGCTATATTTGTAACTAATTTCATAACTTTATTCAATATAAGAAAGCCATATTTTAAATTTAAAAAGTTAATCAACCTAATATGGCCACATACATAAGGTGCCTCACATTACCCTTCACTGTTAGGTATTATCATATTTTAGAAAAAGTGTTTTGTATTTTTTCTAGAGATGGGGTCTGACCATGTTGCCCAGGCCTGGTCTCAAATTCCTGGGCTCAAGTGATCCGTCCACCTCGGCCTCCCAAAGTACTAGGATCACAGGTGTGACCCACCATGCCCGGCCAGTTATTATTTTCTTGATACGGTATTTTCTTCTGGAATTTAAAAGATTTACTCAAGGTCACACTGCTCATTAGAGTTTAGAGACAAAATTTTTAAAGCTTTATATATGCATTTTATTTATTTTTACAACAGCTTCATATAGTAAATAATTACATTCAAATTCAGAGTCAAACTTAAGTCTGAGTCCACAGCCTATGCTTCACTCTACATTTTTGGGCTCACAAAATAGCCTTTCTCAATAATTGTTCACTTTTCACCTTCAGAAACTGATTGAAAATAGTATCAACAACTTTATCTTTCTATCTACTAAGTATTTTTTGAAAACTTAAAGGTGGAACTCATTCTGTTTCAATAAGATAAAATGCGGTGAGAAAAAATGGATGGGAATCTCCAATAAATTTGAATTTTAAAAAATATATTGCTCTAAATTTATCATGGTAAAACATACTTTTAATTTCTGCAAGGCAACTTTGAACAATTAAACATAAAATAAAATGAATTTTGTCACAAAAAGTTAAAATGCTCACATTATAGGCTCTCTGCCTTAAAGAGAAGCACATTATTCACATTATCTTATGTGAGATGAGACCAAAAACTGAGGTACAATACAGCGCTGAAAAAATATGACAGCGAATTATCAAGCTTATTTTCCTCCTAGCAAAATAGAGAAAGTCATAAGGAAAATAAACTGAAACTGTCAAATTCAAACCTAGGCATATGTTAATTTAAAAACTAGGTTCCCCATTTCTTTCTTATGAACACCAACAACGATGACTTTCAAAAACTTAAACTCATGAGCTAAGTAGCATCTTTCTAGTTGCAACCAGCAACAACCACATTTATTAGGCTTGCGATAAACAGGTTTTTCCTGAAAGGTGTTGGAACAATGTGCTGATCATATTCCATGGCTTCTCTGAAGATGGCTTCTCTGAAGATAGAAAAAGAAAAAGAAAAAAACTCTACCCTGGAATTAGTTTTAATTTCATCAGAAAAGCTATCTAACCTAGTTAAAAAGCCTTCTACAAAGAGGAAGATTTTTCCAATATGTCAGTTCTGCTAGATCTAGAACCATCCGACCCACAATTTACAGTTGAAAAAACTGATTTCTCCCCTTCTAAGTCAAAGAAAATGTTTCCTATGCAAAGATCCTTCTTGGAACGATACTGTATTAAGAAACAAGAAAATGTAATGAGGTTGCCTATTAGACAATTTTAATAATCCACCATGACTTTTAGAACTGAAGCACTCCAGCAGTGTTCTGTTTGCAAATATAAGATGCAGTATATAATTTTGAGGATCTAGACACTTGTTTCCCTATCAAACAAGTTTTAGGATAGTCTTTGTGACATACTGATTTTGTCTTTTTCCTTCCTACCTGACTCTTAGCTAATGAAAGCGGCAACATAATTGAGCTGTAGTTAAGAGGGTGTCAGCACATATACTAAGTAATTCTCCTTTACTTTCCTGTAAGGATAGAAGATCCAGGCACCCCTCCAAAGAAATGCTATACTCAAATATAATTATTGGCAGGTGCCCCAATATATTATCTGCTTTGGATGTCAGAATTCTAAGATATGTTTGGTAAGACAGGATTTTTTTTTTCCTTACTGTAAGGGTCCAATCATGCCTGTAGTCACATGAATATGGACCTTCATTTTGAAATTGGGACAATAAAACCAAATGTCACAGGGCTGAGAAATCCCACATAGGAAGTGAAATAACATATTTGAAAGCACCTAGCCCAGTGCCTGGTATATAACATGTGCTCAAAATTTAAAACAAAAGCATTGACCAAAATATTATCTAAGTTTAACATTTAAAGTTGATAAACAAGTATACTCAATTATTTTCCCCTTTCAATACTCTATCTACAATCAGCCTTTGATCATCATGTATCACTGTAAAATTTTTTCCTCTCATCTTACATGCGTCTGGGAGGCACTCTCCCTTCCAGCCCCACCTGCACCCACTATCCCCCTGCCATATTATCATTATGTGAAGAGGCACTGTAGTATAATGATTAAGAGCCAAATCTTGTCTGTGAATAAAAATAATAATAATTTCTGCTTCATAGGATTGTTGAGTGAATTAAATGAATCAATACATGTAAAACATTTAGAACACAGGAGGCATGTTAGATTTTTTTTTTTTTTTTTTTGAGTCGGAGTCTCACTCTGTCCCCCAGGCTAGGGTGCAGTGGCATGATCTCAGCTCACTGCAACCTCCACCTCCTGGGATCAAGCGATTCTCCTGCCTCAGCCTCTGGAGTAGCTGGGATTACAGGCACCCACCACCACGCCCAGCTAATTTTTGTATTTTTAGTAGAGACAGGGTTTCACCATGTTGGCCAAGCTGGTCTTGAACTCTTGACCTCAAGTGATCCGCCCACTTCAGCCTCCCAAAGTGCTGGGATTACAGGCGTCAGCTACCGCACCCCGCCACATGTTAGCTATTATTATATGCATATTACTTTAGCTGTGTCTAAAAACAGGATTTCAGTCAGGCACGGTGGCTCACACCTGCAATCTCAGCACTGCGAGTGGATTATTTGAGCCCAGGAGTTTGAAACCAGCCTGGACAACATGGTGAAACCCTGTCTCTACAAAAAAATACAAAAATTAGCCGGGCATAGTAGTATGTGCCTGTAGTCCCAGCTACTGGGGAAGCTGAGGCAGGAGGATCTCTTGAGCCCAGGGAGGTCAAGGCTGCAGTGAGCTGTGATTATGCCACTGCACTCCAGCCTGAGTGACAAAGCGAGACCCTGTCTTAAAAGAAACAAACAAACAAAATCAGGATTTGAGTGATGCCCTCTGAATTCATGTAATGAAGCTTTAAGCTAAGCAAAAATAACTTAGAAACACCTTTTAATATACAAAAATCCTCCAAATAAAATGTCTTCCCCTATCAGTTATTGGGGGGGAGGATTATGAATTTAAAAGGTTATTAATTTTAATTCATTATATGTACCCAAACCTGAGTAAACAAACGTAAAAATCATTCTGGTTCATTTCAAATTAAAATAAACATTGCCTAATATCAGTTACACTTCAGGTAAATTATTTCCTTTCAATATAACAATAACGTGCTGGCCTTTGATTGAATACCATTATTATAATGTACCCATGTAAGCACTATCCTTAATGTCTGTGGTAAGTTTCAAGATCTCTCTATCACGCCTAAGGAATTCTTTTTATTCTTTTTTTTTCCCCTGTGAGAAATATTGCAGAAGAAAGGAATTATTTTAATAGTAATTAAATTGAAGTGCTAATATCTATAAAATTTCTTTCCTAAAATTAATAGTGTTTAAGTTATAAATTATTTTTTTTTGAGACGGGGGTCTCACTATGTTGCCCAAGTTGGTCCCAAACTCCTGGGCTCATGCAATCCTTCTGCCTCAGCCTCCCAAGTAGCTGGGATTACAGGCACGTGCCTGCAAGTTATAAATTTAAATAAGACAAATTTAACCAAGTTACTTATACCAACTTAAAATGATACTTTTTCTCAAAAATAACTAATTCACAAGAATTATTGGTTTTTAAAAAGCAAAAAGAACTGTATCCATTTAAGTAAGAATCACAGTGGTCAGTTTACTTACTTCTTTAGACTTTTTCAAAACCCAATTAGGAGTTTCTTGTCATAGAGATTTTTTTCAAATCATTTATTTCTCTTGTGACTTTCAAATCACCCCACTGCTAGCTCTCTCCTCATACATGTGTGCGTGTGCTCTCTCTCTCTCTCTCTCACACACACACACACACACACACACACACACACACACACAGAGCTACAAATGGTGGGGATGAGGAGCAGAATTAACAATTTACTTTTGAATCTTACCATATTTGAAAGTCAGGTACACTGACCATCCTTTTCCCATAATCAATATAAAAGACAGCAGTTCTAAGGGAAGAGTTAGTTTCTAACAATATATTTTAGTATCAATCTTAGTCTAACTATTATTTCATAAATCAACTTAATCTCCAAAGAAACTGTTCAAAAAGATTTCACACATAACACACACTCTATTAGCCCAATAGGAAAAAATATTAATGTGCATATATGTATATTTTATTCATTGTCTGAACTTTTCATTTTTCCTAAAGCAATCTTAACAAAAGTCAGTAAGCTGAGAATGGGAACCAAACTGTGAGGCCACATAAATTCACTGTGTCAGCATATAGTAGCAAAATAAGAAAAAAAGGTGTATTTAGTTCTGAGCCAAATCTTAATCCAGTTAAAATGTACTGAATGTTAACTTACAATTTTTAAATTAGCAATATAAGAATAATTCATAAAACTTATCTTTGCATTAAATTTTCTTTAAATTTATGTTCAAAGGAATATCAAAGGCAACTTTTTAAAAATAGACTTCATGGGATTGTCAATGTCTTAAACAGCCTTTTTACTTGACCACTAAAGCACAGTAATTGATCTTTGGTTTTAACAACTGAAACCCTTTAAAGCAAATGCCAACAGCTTTTTGATAGGCAAAAAAAAAAAAAAATCGTTTTTAGAAGTCGAAAACTAAATATACCCACATATTTTAAGATGCACTGCACCTGAATCCTTAGGAAAGGAATGACATAGGGTTCTCTTAGCAAACTTCCCCTCCCTCTCAGTCAATTACTAATTAAAACAGATAATTCTGCTAGGGCTAACATCGTATTTGGGAACAGTGCAATGATTCTATAATCTGTTTCAGCCTTTGCAGAAATATTTCTAAAGTAACCCTCTAGCTGTAGCACATGTGTACGTGCACACATGTATGTATACATATTTTCAATCCTTGGGTTTGTTTTTTTTTTTAACTTAGAATTTGTACTCTGACCAGCTGTGTACCCTTGGCTAAGTTATTATATATTTCTCATATTCAATTTCTGCATCTGTAAAATGGGGATAATAACAGAACTCATCTTGTGAGGTTGTTGGGAAAACTAGATTCAATGCTAGATTCTTACCCCTTATAAATTTCCTAAACACATATAATCATACCCTCAAAGTATATACATTTAGTGGAGCATCTGACGTTCAACCACCTATGAAATTCCCTTTATCTAGTTCATATCAACCTAACTTGCTGCTCATTAATTCAAAAACATCAATGACTCTTGCCAGAATAAAGATATTCTGGTAGCAAGAAAGACAAATGATCTTTGCCTGGATCTATTTTTAGGAATGGTTTAATTATCTACATCTTCAATGTTAACATTGGAAAATAAACAAACGGGTGAAAGGCATAAAGAGTCACTCTGAGATGAACAGTTTCACAGTGTTCAAAAATAAATGGGGATGAAGAAAACATTTAGATCATTTCTCTCACTAGATAGTCCTTACTGATGAAAGGTAGGCCAAAATTTGCAGAGGTTTAAGAGGAATTGCCAAGTCCATCAATTCAGGCTGTTCAGACCTACAAGGTTCAGAGAGTTTCCAGGTTTAAAATGCAACCAACCAGTGAGAAAACTGTAATTCAATAGCTGGTTTTCAGTGAATCACTACCTTATAGTGTCAAAAGAAATTTGTTTAGTTATATAGTTACTTCAGAAAACATTCAATAGTTTCTGCAATGAAATATATTTATATCTATATATTATTTATTCTCATCTAAATAGGGAAAAAACTGACCCTGATTCTCATGTCAGGCAAGAAAGGTATTATAGTTAATAATTACTACATCACCAGCTACCAGGTATTCATAATTATCTATGACAAGATTAAGGCTACAATTTAGAAAACTGCCAAAGAAACAGCTGAATATTTTGTTCCAATTACACTCCTGCTAAAATAAAGTCTGGTTATTGATTCATTTTCTCTCTAAGAAAAGCTCTGATGTGAATACGGGCACTTCAAACTCTAGTTACATAGATATTACACCATGCTATTTCCTTATTCATCCTAATCTATTAATGGAACATAATCTTACCGGAAAAGGAAAAATGTTGTCAGCCCTGTTCAAGCTATCTTCCATCCAGGATTTAGGTGCAAAGGCAGAGCTGGGGCGAGCATACTTCTGGAGCTGAATATGATTGCTTGCAAAATTTTTCTTCAAAGGCGAGATGGAGTTCAGGGGCGTTATTCCACCATTCAGCCCTCTGCGGTGATCTCGGCCTTGGGAACCTCCCCAGCCACCATATCCACCACCGCCCGGGCTCCAGGAAGAGGAGGGTGTTGGTGACGGACTCTGGTAGCTGCTCCACGGAGAGGGGGGTTTGTTAAGATTATTCGCCAAATGAGGCAGCTGGTTAAAAGCAGCATTTCTATGTGTGAAGGGTGGGGGATGGGGACTGGCAGGAGACCTCCTTTGCTGCTGATGCTGGCTGTGATGATGCTGGAAATGAGGGTGATGTGGGTGGTGCTGTGAGAGAGGCCCGATCTGAGGAGAGAAGCTGCCTCCAAAGCCAGGGCTGACATGATGGGGGAAATTTTGAAACAACAGAGCACCGTTATTAGCCGAAGCAGCAGGGACCCCTCCCTGGTGAAAGAAACTTGCATCTTCATTGATTATTGTAGAGGAGGAAGGCGCTATCGCTGCTGACCAGTTACTGAAACCAGTAAGAGACGATGCGCTAGATGTCAAGGGTTGGGTTGAAGTACCTAGCCCAGTGGCTTCTTGATAATCAAACCCTGTCAACACTGGAGATTCGATCCTTATTTTCTCCTTCCCATTGCCATTTTCCGAAGAATTGTCCCCTTGATTTTCTTCTGATTTTGCCTTCTCTGTTTCAGGCAGTATTCCAGCTTCCTGACCTGGACTTGGGGAAAGCTGCTGCTTTTCTAAGGGGTCTTGCTGTTCCTGTTGCTGACTTTTTGCTTTTTCTGACCCCAAGATCTCATCCTGAATGTTATGGGTAGCTGGAGCAGGAAAAAGCCAAGCTGACCCAGCACTGCTGCCATTGGCAGCTGTGTTATTATTTATAAAAGCAGCAGGGCTGGGGGTGGCATTTTGGTGATGGTGTGGAGGCTGCAGATGTGGATGGAATCTGACTGGAAAAGCAGATTTATTCCCAGTATTGCTTTGCACTAGCACTCCAAACCCGTAATCCCCCATTTATTATCTTTAGGAGCAGAATCTCACAATAAAAAATGACAACCTGATGTCTCACGCCTTTTTTTTCCTCTACCCCAAATTTAAGTTGTTTGCTTGCTTGCTTGAAATGTCTTATTTATAGCTAGCTCAAAGATCGCAGCTTATCACCTTAAATTGTTCTGATTTGGAATTCTGGTCTCTGAAAGAAAAAACAACTCTTAAAAAAATCTCTTAAAACATTGACTTGGATCCAATTGGGCTTATTTTTAGGAGGGAATAAAAATGAAGAGGGTAAAAATCAAGTCTTTGGTTAGTAAAATAGGCGCTTTCTTTTTCCAAAGGAAAATGTACATGAATGACAAAAACAGAGCTTCTCAAGCATCTATGGATGTAGAAGAATAAGCCTTGCGCGGAGTAAAAATATAGATATATATAATTTAACAATCACATATGGTTTTCCTCAGCAGTTTAGATTCACTCACATAAAAATTAGAATAGGACTAAGAGGGGAATACGTTCTTTTCTTGGCAGCTTGGTTAAAAAAAAATCAGGAATAATTTAAGAACATTATATATTATATATTTATATATATAGATTATATTAGGTTATCTGGGGTGGGAAGTGAATTCCTGGTTTCGGGAGAGGAAATCAGCATTGACTAATGGAAAGATGATTGCAGGGAGGTTTCTGCTGTTCCTGGTCCTGTTTTCTGCTCTTTCGCAGGGTGCAGTTTTGGCCTCTGGGGCTGTTCCTGAGGCTCCGGGTGCAGATCTTGCTGCGGTCGCTGTTCCTGGGCTCCCCGCGGCTTCCTCTCCCCCATGAAAGGGGTTGGAAACACCCGTTTCTCCCTCTTGCGGGGGTCGCGATCAGGAGGGATTAGCGAGACTCGACGAGGGTGAGCGGGCGGCCTGGGGGTGCGGGGACCGAGGGGGCGACCTGGAAGGTCCTGCGGTTTCTGCCTCTTCCCCTCTCTGCGGCTCCGGGGTTTTTTTCCCTCATGGGACCCAGGGGCGGTTTGTTCAGTTCCCTCAGTTCGATTCTCCGCAGAGAGGGAAAAAAGAGGAAAAAAAGGAAAAACCCACTACCGTAGTTATTTTAAAGGAGAAGGGCCTCCCCCCTCGGCTTTCTCTCTCTTTTCCCCCAGAATTTTTTTTTAAACTATAATTTAGAAGGCTTTTGTTTCTCCTCACGGTTGCTGGGCCGTCGCCGCCGTCGCCGCTTTACCCTGGTCCCGCAGTCCCCGCTGTCGTTGTTGAGGACTCCTCCTGGTTCTTCTTTTTCTTTCCTTCTTCCTCCTCTTCCTCCTCTGCTGTCGCCGCTGCTGCCGCCGCCGCCGCCGCCACCGCCTCCCGGTGCCCGGGTCCCGCAGCCGCGGCTGAGTCCTTCTCCTCAGGACCGAGCCGAGTGAAATGACAACCAGCTGGAAAGACCCAGAGACACTTCCGGTTCGAAGAGGGAGGGGTGGGGGTAGCACTCATTCCCCACCTACCTGCCGGAAGACCAATCATCTGTTAGAACTCAGGCGAGGCCACGCCCCCTCGCTTCAGAGCTACTCCCAGGAAGGTCGAAAAGTTACCTCCAGAGACGCCTCTTCCGTCTGCGCCTCGCCTAGTGAGGCCCGGCGCCTGGAACCCGCTTCCCCCACCCAGAGTGAGCGCAGCAGGTCGCCATCTTTTGTGTGGGCAAGGGACTCCTTTGATATTTCTCTTCCCTAACTGGGCTTTGCAGGAGGAGCAATAGGGACGTGTCAAGGAGAACGGATTCCTCGCTCACGAAGGCATACGGTCAAGGTGTTGGAGATCGAAGTGGCGGCCCGTGAAACCGCGGATGAATGAGAAGGGTGCCCACAGTAAAGGTGGTGCTCCAAGCATCACGTGCTCTGGCCCGAGCTCCGCCCCAGAGGGATCTGGAAGGGGAGGCGGGTCTTGCCAGCAGCTGTGCGGTGCCTAGAACTGCGTTTGCCCTTGCCCAGAATGTAGACCTCACGAGGGACTCTCCCTTAACCTTCCATTCGCTCACCCGCACCTCCCACTCTCCCATTCTGCTAGGCTCGCATCTGGTGCAGTCTCCCAGGTGCAGAGATGCAGCTGAGGCGTCTGTGGCTATGCCCCCGTATCATCCCGATCTAGTACACCTTACACGCAATACCAGAGGGAAAATTCCAAAACTAAAATTTTATCTTGACCCTCACATGCTCCGATTTCTTCTATGGTTGCCCATTATTTCGAAGATAAAGGCCAAACTTGTTAGTCTGGTATTCAAGCCTTTCTACCTAATGGGTGGTATATCTTAGTGCCTCTTCCCCCTCCAAACACACTCTCAATGCCTTTTTACATGTCCTTTCCACTCTTCTCCTTTGGTAAATTCCTATTTATTTCTAGGAATCAGTTCAAAAGCCACCAACAGCATCTTCTGAATTCTCTCTTATAAGCGTCCACGGCCCTGTGTACCTCTCGTGCTTGTTTCTCACACTATATTGTGATGGTTTATGTCTTCCAGACCTGTGCTGGACCGTGGGCTCTTTCAGGAGCAGACATTGTAGATAGGAGACATCAGTGAATGAATCCTGAAAACGTGAATGAACAAACCAGCAACAATGAAGTCTTCCCTGAGTGACAGCCCCCCAACCCACTGCCACCCCTTCCACCCGTCACCCACCCCCCACCCCTCACTCCTGTTTCCAAGTCTGAATTAATTATTTCCTTCCTTTTGCCATTTGGTTTGGAGCTCACATATCAGACTTTTCATTATGTTTGGTACTCAAGGGCTTTAATGTCCTGTTTATCTTTGTACATTCCCAACGCTATGACCACCATCAGGGCTTAGGATAATGCTTTGCTCTCAGCACAGCTTTAAATATGTTAAATAAGTGAGTATTTTCCTTTAGCAGGAAGAAAAATGAACAAAGAAATCAGGGTAGAGCCAGAAGTAACTGGCACAACTAGAGGGAAAAAAAAGATACCAAGATTAATGAAAAATAGTATGAACAAAGGTGGCTTCCATTTCATTTCCATAGCCTTCCTCTAATGGTCTCAACTTCTGCCTCAGTCTGTCAATCCTCCATCACTTCCGTGTAGAACACCTGAGGGCCTTCAATCGGTGATTTTATTCTCTTTCATTGTGCCATGAGCATGAGTCTTGTCTCTGTAACTCTACTATGGATTCTTTGAGCATAGAGATTGGGTCTTACCTGCTGTTTATTCCCTACAACTGGACATGCCTGGAAACTTAGCTGGTTCCGTCAGGTGTCTTTTCCGCCAGAATGGTTTCCTTGACTGGCCCTCTCTCTAATGTCTTGTAGATTGCTCTCTTTTAATTACTGCTGGTTGTCAGTGGGTTAGTTTCTTAAGGGCAGAGGTTGTGTCTGATTTATCTTTATGTCCCCAGTGGCCAGAAGAGGGTCTGGCACAGAGCAGACTCAAAACTCAGAACACATTTATTGAATGAACAAATGAATGTTCCATGCCCAGAAGATGGTTTAGGGTCCCTCAGAGCTACTAATTATCAGTGGCTAAAATGGCAGCCATGACTTGGAAAAAAGAGCACCTTTGGAACCAAACAGCCCTGAATTTGAATCCCAGCTCTGCTGCTTCCTAGCTGTGCAAAACTGGGCATCACCTCTATAAGCCCTTGGTTCCTTCTAGATAAAATGTGAATGATATTTCCTCTCTTGCTAAGTTTGTAAATTACATGGGATACATGTGAAGTGCTGGACTCCTAAAAAGTTTTATTAGTCCATTTTCACACTGCTATAAAGAAATGCCCAAGACTGGGTAATTTATAAAGGAAAGAGGTTTAATTGACTCACAGTTCCACGTGACTGGGGAAGCCTCAGGAAACTTACAATCATGCCGGAAGGCGAAGGGGAAGCAAGCACTTTCTTCACAAGGCGGCAGGAGAGACCAGAGTGAAAGAAGAACTGTCAAACACTTATAAAACCATCAGAGCTCATGAGAACTCACTATCAGGAGAACAGCATGGGGAAACTGCCCCCTTGATCCAATCACCTCCCTCTGTCTACACATAAGGATTACAATTTGAGATAAGAGTTGGGTGGGGACACAGAGCCAAACCATATCAGAGGTGATCAAAAATGTCACTTCCTTTGTAACACATTAAATGCAGGGAATTCCTTCACAAGTGTCTTTTGCCTAGAAGCAGCTGTGTGCACAAGGGAATCCAGGAACTTGTCTTGGTTGATAAAAGGTGGAGACGCCCAGGGCCACAGTCAGGTGCTGCCAAGTCGGGCTAATCTTTTAAGGCTAAGTCAGGTGTGGGCAGTAGATTGGGATGGTTTGCAGCTAGGATGATCACTAAGACATCAGACTCTTGCTTAGGGACTGGAAGTATGGAAGAAGGAAGGGGGAAATCTATTATTTTCTTTTCTTTTTTCTTTTTTTTTTTTGGCATCAGTTGCCTACTCAGGAACCCAGGATACCCAGAGCCCAGGGCTGCGCTCCTTGAAAACATTCTGGCCTCAGAAACTTCCCATGGTAACCATGACAACAATTCAGCAGCTCCATTTAGGATCTCCAAAAGGATCTACAGATGTAGGTGAGTGCTGGCTTGAGCACTCTGCTGGCAGAAGAGAGCCTTTTTCATGAAGTGTGCTCACCAGAAAGTTTTTGGGTTGCAGGGGAAGCAAGTTCTGCCCAAACATTAAGGTGCTACTAGTTAAAAAAAAAAAAAAATTAAAAAGCTCTATCCCTGTCTAGTACAATGAGGGCTAACACACCTTCAGAGAAGTTGTAGGCTGGGGAATGCCTGTAACCTGGTAGCTACTGCCCAGCCCCCTCTGGGGTTTGAGGTCAACCACACCCAGAACCTAGAGCCTTCCAGGAAGCAGGGCATTAATATCTCCTTCACCAGCCTCTTTTAAAGCTCGGCAAGCAGTAGAAATCTCACCCCATAATCACACAAGGTGAACTCTGCCCCAGTCCAGCTCTAATGTCTCCCACCACTTTCCTTGAAGCATGCATTGTCAGCCTTCTCCCAATAGCCCACACCCGAGCTCCCCAGAGGCTTGTCTAATGACCAAAAATCAGGACCACTACCCAAGGCTGCCCTGGTTGTGCACTGTGCAACTTCATAAGGCACCACAGACTAGTATGTGAATGCATCCAATGGAGTTGTACAAGGCAGCAGCCCTGTTTCAGTTCTTTTTTTCTAAGACACAGGGGCACATTATACAAATATGACACACATACAAAAAAAGCTCATTACATGAGCCATGCTTATTGCCTGCAGAAATATTTAAAGCACTTGATCCTTTTAGAGTTAGCAGCCCAGGAACTTTCTGTAATTGAATTGAAGGACACTGTGTCCTTGGTATTGGTTTTGGTTAGTGAGCTGTAGTGAGAAGACAAGTCTGGACAAGTATATGGTCCAGGCCTCCAAGAGATTAATACCCAGCAGTTACTTTGCCTGGCAACGTTAATAAGCATTCTGATGTAGTGGTGGAATATATGTTTTAATGAAACTAAAAATAATAATAATAATAATATTCAAAGGCAGGGCCTGTGAAGGTAGGGGAAGAAAGAAAGGTGAAATTACCTTTGGAATATCCTCTTCTCCAAGAGTGCCTGGAAGCTCACTACCATAAGGCAAGCTTGATAGAAACAAAACCAAGTCATGAAAGCAGGTTTCGTTAAACCCCACTTCTGATCTTCACTCTCTTTCAGTGTTGGAAAGAATGCATATTTACTTAGAAAGAACCGATTTTTTTTTTTTAACTAATGCTGGGTCGTGTTTTCTTCTTTTATTGGTTGTTTTGCAACCTGTTCAAGCCCTCTGCATTTTAAACATGATTTTCTTCCTGCCTTCCCATTTGAGGTATTATCATTAACATAGAGTGAATAGTTAACAAGCCATTTTGATAGTGAGTGGTGAAGCCAATCCCTCCAGTGCATTGTTATTGGATAAATGGTTTGGAAAGGTCCAGGACACAGATATGCTTCACTTGAAATTGTCGTATCCTGGCAAAGATTTAGGTGAGCTAGAACAGAGGATTGACCTTCCAAACTGTGACATGCATCACTTTGGGATGAGTTGGATTCTTTTGTGGCTCCAGTCACCTATGTGGCCAGGCTGCTGACCTAGATTACCCTTTGCTGTTTTGATTGGACACACTTCGCTTCATCTATCAAAACTGGCCATGCTGCTGAACAGCTGCCCTGTAACACTTTGTGGCTAGGCTGGAGGATTTTCACTTGCAATGCTGGGAAAAAAGTAACTTTTCAGAGGTTGCAGGGAAGCTGCAGGGTCCAGAGGTCGGAGAGCTGGGAGTCAGGGATCAAAATTCTAACCCCAACATAGCCATAAGCTCACAGGCACTGGTCCAGTTTGTCTGATGATTTCCTTATGGGCAGAATTTGAA
The DNA here is from genome assembly GCF_000001405.40 of Homo sapiens. Classification (NCBI taxonomy): domain Eukaryota; kingdom Metazoa; phylum Chordata; class Mammalia; order Primates; family Hominidae; genus Homo; species Homo sapiens. The sequence continues at coordinate 173,883,378 of NC_000005.10, read as the reverse complement.
CTACAAAGAGTTTCAATTCCAAACCCTTAAGCAAAAAAAGTGCAAAGAAAGTCATCAATATGTGTAAAAACAAAAAACAAAATAATCTTTTTAATACCCAAATTTCTTACTCCCTTGTTCATGGAGTATATATATATAACTATAAAACAATAATATGAGTTAATTCCTAGGCACCCAACCTCAAATTTTAGAGTTCATCAGTTCCCAGGGGAGGTCATCACATGCAGATTCCTAGGCCCTGCCCCCAAATATTCTGATTTGGCTTTCTCATAGTATTTTTTAATAAAAGTATAAGGTACAAGGGATTTTCTAGTAATAATGTAGGAGCAGAGAAAGTCAAAAATAAAAATGGCTAGAATAAAATAGTTCCTTTCTCACATAAAAGAAGTTTAGAAGAGTTAACATAGAGCTAGTGGGTGGTTTCAATGAGTCATCAGAAACCCAGCTTCCTTCTAACTCATTGCTCTTCTCTCCTCCAAGTGTGATTTCTCCCTCATGATACAAGATGGCTGATCAAGCTCCAGCCATCATGTCTGCATTCCAGACCAAAGGACAGAGGAAAAGATGAAAAAGGACAGAACTCTTCTCTTTGAGGAAACTTTTCAGATGACACACACATTACTTCCATTCTCTGCACATTGGTCATAACTTAGTCACATACCTGGTGGCCAAAGAGATTGGAAAGTATGATCTTTATTCTGGACTCCCAAGTACTTAGTTAAAAATTGGGGTTCTATTACTAAAGAAGAAGGGGGAGATGGTAATTTAGGGGTGAAGTACTGAGACCCAGTGAGGTTTGGTGACTTACTGGAGATCTTATAGCCCAGTCAATCCTTCATTTTGCAACTGAGGAAACTGAGGCCCAAGGAAAGGCCTTGTCTAAAATAATCCAAATTTTTTTCTCCAGGTATCTTGACTCAGAATTCTGTCTCCTGCCCAGTGGTCCTTGAATTTTATCATGCATCGGCATCACCTAGAGAACTAGTTAAACCAGACTAGAATTTCTCATTCAATAAGTATGGGTGGCGCCAAGAATTTGCATTTCTAGCAATTTGCCAGGCTATGCTGATGGTTTGGTGAACACACTTTGAGAACCAGTGGTCTACAGCACCGTCTGGGTTTAATGAGAGGCTGTCAATTCAATGTGGCCAACTGTACCCATCACCCTCCCTCTAGCCCTAGTCCTCCTCCGATTTTCTCTAGCTCATTTAATGGTGCCATGATTCATTCTTTCGGTTACCTAAGCCAAACTTTGGAATCATCCCAAACTCCTCCCTCTCCCTCTCCATCCTTTTATTCTTGGTCCCTAAGTTTTCCTCCCTTTCTCTCCTTAGCATCTCCTTTTCTCCCTATCTCCTGCTTTGGTTCAAGTCTGATCATTTCTCATCTGAAATTTGTTTGGTTTTTTTTTTCAAAAGTCATTTTCAGGCTTAATGCCTGGCCTTGTCCACTAAATCTTTGTAAATGGGGAGTCTAATTACATTACTCCATTGCTTAAACACTTTGAGTGGCTCCCTGATGTACTCAACTGTATTTTTCAAACTTCAGTGTTTTTCATTACAGCGTTGCAGTTTTTGCCATGTAGGTGTAGCTCCTGCACTATCACTTATTTAATATTTTTCAGTAAGTTGACTTACTTTAAAAAAATTTAAATAAGTATACATTCAAGGAAACTTGATTCACCAACCAAAATGAAAAACAAGTACCACTTGCTATAACCAAAAGGTAATTATCAAAATTCTTTATCTTTGTTGAAAAGGAAGATTAATAAGGTTAGAGAGAGTAAAGACTTCCTAAGCCAATTTTTTTTTCCTTTTTTTTTAACAGACAGGGTCTCTCTCTGTCACCTAGAGAAAGTACAATGGCTCTCTCACCTTGTCTCACTGCAGCCTCCCCTTCCTGGGCTCAAGCCATCCTCTCACCTCAACCTCCTGAGTAGCTGGGACCACAGGTGTGCATCACCATGCCTGGCTAATAATTTTTTAAATTTTTTGTAGAGGCAGAGTCTCACCATATTGCCCAGGCTGGTCTCGAACTCCTGGGCTCAAGTGATCCTTCCACCTTGGCCTCCCAAAGTGTTGGGATTATAGACGTGAGCCACCTAGGCCAATTTTGAAAGATCTTCTTTATGTAATTAGAAGGACTGAAAGAGAATGGGAACAGAGCTAAATGTCTGGTTGTGTGATTCAAGATTATGCATTGCCTTATATGTGTGCTGCCTCCAGTCATCTGATGTATCCCACTGGGAAAGGACCCATTGCCTGGAAAGCACTGCTAAACTCCTTTAATGTGGCATCAGGGCCCTCAACAGCCTGGCACCTGCTTGACGTCTCAGCATCATCCCTTGCAACCCTTTAAGAGCATTGCTTCAAGCACCCTGAAAAACTTGTGTTTCCACAAACTTGCAATAAGTCATGAATGCTATTTGCAGCAAGTAACACAGTGCCTTAAACAATTGGAGGTTACTTCTCTCACACATCAAGAAGGCTGGAGTGGGTGGTTGCTGGTGCTGGAAGGCTAGTGATGTCAGGGATCTGGGTTGGAATCTCTAGACGTTTTTGGTCTTCCCTCCAAGGTCTTAAGAAATCTGCCACAGTCCCTGTCATCACACAGGCATTCAGAAGCTAGAGGGAAAGGGCTGCAAAGAGCCTAGAGTTTCTCATCATGAACATTCCTCTGATCAGATAGGAAAGGCCTTTTCCACTTGCTCACTCCCTATTACATCTTTTTGGTCAGAGCTGGGTCACATTCCTTGATCTAGATCAGACATGGACCCACCTTCCCTGAGACCAAAGGAGCTCAACCTGAAACATAAACAAAATCAGGACTCAGCTAGCAAAGGAGGAGGGAAAGGCTCTGGAGGAATCAACAAGTGTCTCACATGCCCACCATAAAATTACCGTAGGTCTCGCCTGCTTTGTTTGCCCGGGGAGCTTCTACTAAGCATGCATGGCCTTCTCTGCCCTTGGAGCAGAAGTGAGTGTCTTCTCCTAGTTGGCATGGACACTTAGCGGCATAATTGACAATTATGGAATTGACCATTTAGAGCCTACCTACTGGAGTTGCTCCTCCAGGTCAGGGACTCTTCTTTTCTCCTTGGTGTTCCCTGGGCCCAGCATTTTGTCCAGCACATAGTAAGCGTTTAATGAGTGTTTGTTGAATTAAGGCTGAATTAATTAATTTGTTTCTTCTATGCAAGTCACAAACAAAGTCCAAATACTAAATGTTAGGATGAATTACAAGCGTGCTTTGGAACATTTTACAAACAGTGCTCTCTATTTCATTGCTGTTTTGTGTTGTTTTGGAGGAAAATATAGCAATTTCCTAAGAGCATATGTGAAGTTACTGTTAGCATAAAACTTCTACCACACTGCTGATCTTACAGCAAATCAGTCACTGTAAATCCTGGAGAGTGATTTTATAAACTTAGTAAACCATTTCCATCTTGTGTGAAACACATTATATGGGTAATAGCTTCATTTGGCCGAGTCATCTTAGGTACAGTTCCACGATTGCATTAAGCTAGTTTTTATTGATGTACCCTCAATGTTAAACAGCTTCTTAATGAAGTGGATTGCCTTGAAGCCTTTGGATAGTGCATGCACACACACACACACACACACACATAAAGTTATCACCACCCAAAACAACTGCTGAGGCAGTAACGATGTAATATTAATGAGTAATATCACATACAATTGGATGTGCTAGTTTCTAATGTTGTTGAGTTGATTCTCAGTAATGGGCTTCTTGAAATCACCTGGCCCCCAAAGAAGTACCTTCAGATTCAGCAGCCCATGTAAAATATAATAAGTGCATAAATAATTTATCAAGGGAAATAGGTAGCATTATGGCCACAATTCGGTGCTGCTGTTATTTAAAAGCCTGGCAGCTTGGTAGTTAGAAACCACTATGTCCAGGGGTGTTGTAATTCACCATTTGCTCAGAGTTCAAATGAGACAGAAGAGAGCTCCAGGCCCCTGGCTCATTTTTTATTTAGAGGCAATTTTTAAAAATCCATTCAGCCATTTAAATTCCAAAAATAGAAACAGGAAAAAGAAATAAACATGCTTCAAAGTTAGCAATTTAGAGACTGCTTGGAGTCTTCATTAGGCAGGGTCTGGAATATTTTTTTTAAGCAACATTCTACAAACTTGGAAATGCAAGTTCCAAGTGAGAGTGGTGAGAGTTTAATTATTAGTTTCATTGTGTGTGTGTTTCTTTTAAACCCATATATGGTGGTTTCTGAGGCAGTATTTTTCAAATCCTAGTCCTTTGTATATACTTGATACATAATTTGTATTGTATTATTGTACTACATATCGTATTTATTATTCATTCAACATTGTTTGTAAATGGACTCAATATTTTAGAACTTAAGTAAATAAGTTAAAAGGAAAATTCCGTATTACTAATGTAAATGAAAAATCAATATGATATGCCATAAGAAGTTACTGTTATTTATTTTTCCTAATATACACTGAAATAAATGCATATTGAGTGGAACAAATGTCTAGAAATCAAAATAAGAGACAGTTCCTCTGTGTACTATCCAAAAGAGCTCAAGGACATTTAGGGAGGCACCGACTTCCTGGTTAAGAACACAGACCTTTCAGAGCAGGCAGGATTGGCTCAAGTCCCACCTCTCCCATTTGCCAGCTGAGAGACTTGTGAGCAGGTCTTTTTGTCTTTCTGAACCTCAGATTCAGCATCTGGAAAATGAGGATAACATTTTTTGAGCAGTTAGTTGAAAGGATTATACGAGGTAATATGTATAAAGCTCTTAGCATCGTACCTAGCCTATAGCAAATGTCCAAGAACTATCATCTATAATTATTATTCATATCTGACTGGGGAGATGTGGGTCATCGTGGAGAACAAAACACCAATGAATTCAGTTCCAGAACAAACAAAATGTACTAGGTGTCTACCACATGACAGGCTCAGTGATAGGCCCTGGGGACATGGAGATAATTTTCAAAGTAACAGCCATGTAAGGAGATAATGGCATTTAAGCAGCCATGTAAAGAGATACGAGCAGTGCAGTGAGAGCTTTGTGCCCAGGTTAAGATGGAAGGTCAGAGAGAAGAGCATGATCAAAGTCAGCATCAGGGAAGAAAAATGTGTAGATCCATACATCAGGTCTTTTCTGATGGCTTATGGGGACAGACATCGGTACTGGAAGGTGCCAGGTAAATTGGAATTCTGCTGGGGAACAAGATATGCATGAAATTCAAACATATATACAGCCATGGAGACAACATCATTTACTTATGGGCTCAAGTGACATTAATGAGTTGGAGAATATCATTTTCAAAACTAAACGGTGGTCAAGCAACATGTAAACAGAAGTTTGGTTTGCTTTCCTTCATAGAAGTCACAGGCAGGTGGTTCACAGATATTTTTAGTTTGGCCAGCGGAGTAATTTACGTTTTTATTCTTATTACCTGCTAACATGTAAAAATTATGAAACTTCATAGGAAAATCCAGATTTGTGTCTTTTCTTCAAAAAGTATAAGATGTGGCCATCTGGATGTGTGTTCCTACATATGATAATTTGGGGCTGGAGTTGAGCAGCTGCTGCTGTTGTAAGATGGGGCGTTTGCTCTCCAATTCGCCATGGTCTCTACCCAGTCTTTGGTGTTGACCAAAGGCCCAGAGAAGTGGGGCCCCTGCCCTTGGCCTGCTTTCGAGGGTCTACCCTGGCCCTTCTCCATGCTGCAAGAAGTCTGAGGAGCCAATAGATGCCTGCATTGCCTCTTCTAGACCATACTGCAGGTACCAAGAGACCCTGAATGCCCAGCCCAAATTACCCGAGCCTGCTTCTGGAGCCAGCAGAGACCTCTTTTCTTAGTTAATTCACCCAGCACTGCCAGGGTGCACACCCTGGGACCCAAGGGGTGGCAATGAAAAGCTGTTTTTTTATTATTATTATTTGGTGAGGAAGAGGATGATGCTTGTATGTGCAGGCCAGAGTGTCCACCCACCTGCGCAAAGCCCCCTGCTGTATGAAATGGAGTCAGATATGAGAAGAGAAGAAGAGCAGGTGTTGAAGAGGGAGGACTCTGGACTGGGGACCAGTTTTTCCTAAGTCATCATCTTCAGGCAAGGGAGAACTCTAAATTTGAACCTGGCCTTCCAGGTGGTTATAAAGGTATATTTGTCAAGATAAGAGATTAGAAGTTACTTAAATTTGGCTGGGAACAGTGGCTCACGCCTGTAATCCCAGTACTTTGAGAGGCCGAGGTGGGCAGATCACCTGAGGTCGGGAGTTCGAGACCAGCCTGACCAACATAGAGGACCCTGTCTCTACTAAAAATACAAAATTAGCTGGGCATGGTGGTGCATGCCTATAATCCCAGCTACTTGGGAGGCTGAGGCAGGAGAATTGCTTGCACCCGGGAGACGGAGATTGCAGTGAGCCGAGATCGCACCATTGCACTCCAGCCCGGGCAACAAGAGCGAAACTCCATATTAAAAAAAAAAATTAAATTAAATTTGATAACTTGATTTAGAGCTTGTGAGTATCTAGATTATGTTGAGTGGGCTTCCATTTATATTCTTTCCCTGGACCTGCAAATATTAGGAAATATTGGGAATGGGCCTGTTGGTGGATTTCACTGCTTTCCCCTTGCTGCCTGGCCCCTGTTGATATTTGAGTTTGTGGCTTTTACTAAATTATGAGCTTCCTGAGGGTGAGAAGAACACTTGACTTGTTTAGCACTATATCCCCTTCACCCAATACAGTCCTGAATGAGTGACTATCTAATCTGAGAGTTGATATTTTTGACTAGTTCTCTTGCAATTATTTTATCCTGTCATATATGTATGCAAATCACAGAGTATTTAAAATTTTCTCCTTAGAAGCTTGATTAATTGCTGAAAAATTTTTTGGTTATTTCTATTTACGGCTGGGCACGGTGGCTCAAGCCTATAAATCCTAGCACTTTGGGAGGCCAAGGCAGGTGAATTGCTTGAGCCCAGGAGTTCAAGACCAGCTTGGGCAACACAGCAAAACCCAGTCTCTACAAAAAATACAAAAATTAGCTGGGCATGGTGGTGTGCCTGTAGTTCCAGCTACTCAGGTGGCTGAAGTGGGAGGATCATTTGCACCCTGGAGGTTGAGGCTGCAGTGAGCCGTGATCGCACCCCTGCACTCCAGCCTGAGTGACACAGTGAGACTCTGTCTCCAAAAAAATAGAAAATTAATAAAAAATGAATTTATGTTCATGGTAAAATAATCAGAAAAGTTTTTAAAAAAGAAGAAGAAAAGAAATTTGCACAGCATCCCAACCCCATTGGAGCAACCATTATTAACATTTTGATATATTTATTTCCAGTCTTTTTTTCATACATTTCTTTTCATAGTTGAGATTCTACCCAGAGATTTATGACAATACAATCACCATATTCTAAGTATTTGAGTGGCTTTCTTGCTGCTGTTTATCATTCCCTGGGATGCATTTTAAAAAATCAATTGCATAAAAAGCTTCTAGATTTCATGAAGAAATATTGAAGCAAGAAGTGGTATAAACACTTTCCAGAGGAGAATGTGGTTCTCAATTTTTGTACGTGTGAGAGTTCGTGATTTACTTTACTCACCAACTGTTTATCATTTTTATTAAGATCATGGTCACCATAAAGGGTCAATTATTAGCCATCTAATGTTTTTGCAGCCTTTTTTCTGTGAAGCTCTCTACGAAAAAAGCTGCATGTGGTTGGTCCCTTCTCTTTGGAAACCGACAGACTGCCATTCGAGCACATTTGTCATTCAGTCAGTGGTCCATATTTATCAGTTGACACCCAAATGCTGCACCATTGAAAGCCCAAGACTGTCCATTTTAACGGGGTAGAGATGACTAAATTCCAAATTGCAGTAAGCATGACAAGCCAATAAATAAGGGTGCCATGGGGACACTGAAGAGAGGTTGCTTTACACAGCCTGCACTCTAGGGAGGGCTTCCAAGAAGAGGGGACATGTGAGCTCTATCTGGAAAGATGAGCAGGGTCTTGGCAGGTGCTGAAGGGAACCAGGTGTCAGGTTGGGGCTCTGAAAGGGTGGGGCTGGGTGAAGGGGAAAGTGCCTAACCTGCATTCATTGACTGTGTACTGCAGGTGAGTGGGCCACCCTGGGCCCAGAGCAGATGGAGATGGAGGGAATGAATGAAGACATGAAAAGACCTTTGGGTGACATCCTACATAATAGAACACTTTAGAATTACATCCTTGATAATTAAGCCCAAATCCACAACATTCTAGAATATTCCTAATAAAAGTAATTTAAAATGTCCTCTACAACTTGGATTCTTTTTTTTTTTTTTTTTTTTTTTTGAGATGGAATTTCGCTATGTTGCCCAGGCTGGAGTGCAGTGGCGTGATCTCGGCTCACTGCAATCTCCCCCTCCTGGGTTCAAGCAATCCTCCTGCCTCAGCCTCCTGAGCAGCTGGGATTACAGGCACACACCACCATACCTGGCTAATTTTTGTATTTTTAGAAGAGACGGGGTTTTACCATGTTGGCCAGGCTGGTCTCGAACTCCTGACCTGAAGTGATCTGCCCGCCTCAGCCTCCCAAAGTGCTGGGATTACAAGTGTGAGCCACCATGCCCAGCCTAATTTGGCATCTATTAAAATTAAAAGTGTGCATATCCCATGACCCAGTAATTATACCATTTGATTTCAAGTAGAGAAAAATCTTGTTCAAATCGCTTGTGTAAAAGTGTTTATATTGCATCACTATTTGTAAACATGAAAAAATTGGGAGGATCCAAATATGTAGCCTATATGTAGCCCATGGAAACATATGGAAAGTTAGACAGCATGAGGTAGATTTATATGCACAAAGGAAGAGCTCCAAGACAGACAGCTGAAGGCAATAAACAAGTCACATAATACCTATACATTATGACACCATTTATGTAAAAAATTCACACACAAAAATACTACATTTTCTACGGTTATAGAAGTATGCAAGTTTTTAATACTTTATAGGTAATGCAATTTTATGTAAGAACACAGATAACTAAATAAATGCATTGTTAGAGGACATTTGTTAAGCTGAAAACTGTGGCTACCTCAGGGATTGGAGGGGGTGGTTAAAAGAGACTTAGGCCTTACTTTCTTAAATTTTGTACAAGGAGAGTGTATTCCTGTGAATTACTTGTGCAATTAAAGACTAAATAAGATAGTGAAAATGTTCTAACTTTCAGGATAAATCAATACCACCTATTTGGAAACAAATCAAGCAACATGAAACAAGATACTCTCAGATGTTCCTACCCTGTGGCCCATTAGTTTTCCTTTTAGGACTCCATCCAAAGGAAATAACCCCAGAGAGTTGCAAAGATTTTCACAGAAAGATGTTCAATGCAGTATTATTTATAATGGGGAAAAAATTGGCCATTTGAAATGTTCAATAATGGGTGAAAGCTTAGGTAGTAAGATTACATAGTAGAATGCTGGTTACCCACTAAAAGCTTGCTGTGGAAGAATTTTTATTAACTTGTGAAAAGGTTAACAAAATAGTATTAAGTCAAAATATAAAAATATGAATGCAGTATGATCTCCGATATGATGTAAGTACAAATGCCCATGGGGTTATGGGAAGGGATCCAGGAGAGCCATTTGACCAGGTCTTATGTTCACTAATTGAGACTTTGGACGTGACCTGTAAATGCAGTTATACAATAATCACAGGAATACTCTAAACACTGTCACACACAGTCACAGATACACTGTTGTAAGAGTCACATGATAAATGGCAAGAGTATATCTGTGCACAATATATCAAGAATATACACATTTAAAATACGGCACAATGGTTTTCATTCTGTTTTAGTATTGCTTCACACTCAGAGCTTCACAAATAGAGGAAGCCCAGGTCACTCTCCCTCTTGGAGAAGACCTGTTCTGCCACAGGCACAAGGGGCCAGAAGCAAACACCCCAAATGTCAGTGTGCATGCGGGTAGTCTCATGCTAGTGGGATTATAGATTGAATTTTAATGGATAGTTTTCTGCTTTTTCTAAATCTTCTACAATGAGCATGTGTATTTCTTTCAGAATGTAAAAAGAGCTTCTACAGTGAAAAAAAAAAAAAAAAACAGAAGAGGAAACGTCCTCCTTTAAAACACAAAAGCAGCGCCTGGCTCTAGAATGTGCCACATCAGGATGTGTCTGGGTGGAGACCTCAGCAGGCTGGCACCAGGGCTGGACAGAAAAAATACAGCTGGACCCTACTCCAGCGTGTCACAGAAAGGCCAGTGGCGACGCCTGCCCCACGTTGCCCTTCTAGGTGAGTCCAGAGCAGTGCTGTTGGCCAGAGGGGCAAGATGATTCAGGTTCAAAGCTGGGCCGAATCAGAGGGGCAAGACGAGTAAGGTTCAAAGCTGAGCCGAATCAGAGGGGCAAGAGGATTCAGGTTCAAAGCTGGGCCGAATGTTTGCAGGGGTCTGGGAGACAACCCAGGCTCCTGACAGGCTGCATGAACCTGAGGCCCTGGCTCAGTGGCTCTAAACCAGCGTGTGTGACAGCTCAGAGGCAAGGAGGAACCACACATTTGCAGGGGCAAATGGGATAACCAGTTTAGGCTGGTAAATAAATCCCTTTATCAAGGGACTTCAGAACAGAGGACTTATTTGCATGGTAGACAAGCTGCACATGGATGATGGGCGCAATAGAGTAAGATACAAGAATCACTAGATTATGGTGGAATCTCTTATTAATGGAGTTGGGCCTCTGGGAGCGTGTGTGTGTGTGTGTGTGTGTGTGTGTGTGTGTGTGTGTGTGTGTCTGTGTGTGTGTGTGTGATAACCCCTTCCAACCACCACTCTCCGCCCCTACCCCCATGCTTTTTCTTCCCACTAACAAAGCGGGTGTAACTGGTTCCATCAGCAGAGCAAACACAAGGCCTTTGGTTTTTCTCCTTGTGAGGAAATCACTCCTGCCTCCTCACCGGAGAAGCACAAACGCTGATGGGTCAGAGAGCAAACTGAGTTTCTAGTGCCGAGCAGCTGGGGCCAGGAGCCAGAACCCTCATTAGAGGAAGCTGCTACTATTTCCAGGCTGTGTCTATTCAGTGAAAGCAGGTCATTACAAACACAGCACGTTTTTGCATATTAACCAAATTAAAATAATAATATGTTCTCTCCTTTCATGTGCTATACTGATAAATCCCAATTTATGAATGAAACATGCTGATTAGTTAGTTAAAAAATAATTAGTCCCAGAATGTGCCTCTAAGTTGGAGACTTAATGAATGCACACAAATACGTTCTTCCAAGTTCTCAGCAGATTAGTCTTTTAAAGGAAAATATTCATAAGATGCATTCATGAGAGACAAATGATGAAGTAGCCTGATTTTATTTTTCTTTCTTTCTCCCAGTGTGGGATAATATTTGGATGTTATTTAGGGCCTTGTCAGGCTGAGTCACCTTAGAAAAACGGGTCCAAGTAATGGTCCTCATCCTTGATTAGGTTCTGATGTTCAGATGTCAAAAGAGAGGTCTCAGCTCGGTAGCTCCTTCGTGCCCTGGAGAGAGCTTTCCAGCTCTGTTATGGAGCCTTCATTTCTGGGAGCCAAAAATTAACCACAGAAAGACCAGGGTGGTGGAAAGCCAAGGGATGGCATCCACAACACCAGAGTGTGGTCTTTTTGGTCTTCATCATGTTCCCATAGCTGAGAAAACCACTATTGGCTTTCAGATAATATCTGGTTGCTTTGGCCACTGAAAATCAGAAGATACTTGGCATTCCAAGCACAAAGGGGCACAAAGATGGCTGCCAAGGCAAGGGTCTTTAACCCACAGACCAGCTGGCCATTCCTAACCTGGAGGCTGCCCTGGGCATAATTGCACCTTCCTGGGGCCAGTACATTCCAAAGACAACACGGACTGCATTGATATTGTAAAAATCATCTTCAACAATTTCCTAACTTGTCTATCAATGTGCATGATACAGGAAGAGTGATTGTTTAATGTCCATGGTTGGACCAGATACATCACTGTTTCTTTGATTGAGCCCAAGTAAAGTAGGGGGCTTGCATTTAGGAACTTTGTTGTATGGAAATCATGTGGACACCTAGACATATTGGCCATGAGAGGCCCAAAGGAACTGAGAGGAGTGAAGGCAACCTTTTTAGATTCAGGCTCTGCCCCACGTTTACTCCATGGCATAGATCATGATGAGAAGAATGGCCCATGTTCTTAAAATTTCCTTTCCCACCACCCCCGCAAATGTGTATAGCAAAATTCACGTAAGTTAAATGGCCGTACTCTCCTCTAGGATTTGAGATAAGAGAATGAGATTTGGGGTCAGAAAGGCCTGGCTGTACAAACTGTTACCTTATTTCTCTGAGTTTCAACATGCATATCTGTAACTCTGGGGTAATACTAATACCTGTCTAACACGCTCTCTGTGCCTGGGACTGCTCTAGGTTCCTCACTCATACAATATAGACAATTTAGCTAGCCCTGATGGGAAGGATAGAATAATATAATCTGCGTAAAGTTCTGGCACATCTCAGACTGCAATAAATGGTAGCTATCTTATTGCCTCCCTGCTGCTCTTCAGCCTCACCCTCTATGCCCCCCTACCACACATTTTCCACTTCATTCATTGACTCATTATTCTTTTATTAATTCAACAGATACCTACTGACCACTCTGGGCCTCCGAGGGATCAGCGATGGAGAGGTCCTGATAGTTCCCCTAATGGACTTTCTCTCCTGCCTCTCTGCCTTTACTGTTCCCTTGGCCCGAAACTGCCACATCTCAAATATGCCTGCCTCACAAACATGCCCTTTACACCTCAGCTCAGTCTTCACCTCCTCCATGAAGCTTTCTCTTATTCTACCATGAGCTGATAGTCACCAAATCCCATGTAAAGGCTGGAGTCCATTCCAATGGGTCATGGAATCATTCTATCTGGTCAGTCAGTACCAGTGGTAACATATCGTGAAAATCCCCTCTGATCCCACCTGCCCCCTCCCCACTCTATGTATATTTCCTTTGCTCTATTAGTGTCTTGTCTTGTCTTTTTTTTTTTTTTTTTTTTTTTGAGACAGAGTCTTGCTCTGTCACCCGGGCTGGAGTGCAATGTGATTTCCACTCACTGCAACTTCTGCCTCCCGGGTTCAAGTGATTCTCCCACTTCAGCCTCCCAAGTAGCTGGGATTACAGGTGTCCGCCACCATGCCTGGCTAATTTTTATATTTTTAGTAGAGACAGGATTTCACTATGTTGGTCAGGCTGGTCTCGAACTCCTGATAACTCAGGTGAGCCACTCGCCTCGGCCTCCTAGAGTGCTGGGATTACAGGCGTGAGCCACCACACCTGGCCTTATTCTGTATTTTCATTATTGGCTTTTCTTGTCTGTCTCCCCTACCTGACTGTAGGGCTCTGGAGGAAGGTTTGAATAGCTCATCTCTGTAGCTACTGAAGGGTAGCTGGCCAGGGCTGGCCACTGAAAGGTATCAAAAACGAAAAGGGGAAAAGGAGAAGATGGGTGGAAAATGAGAAACATGGGGGAAACAGAGCCGGGGTATTTTCAGCCCATGAAGAAGGGGCCACAGGCTATAAATCTGTCTTTATAAACAACCCCCCAGCCATCTGCCCCCAAAACTTTGGCACAAGAAGTCTCTGCCTTTTCTATAAAAAATTCAGCTCATATGAAAATTGTATATACATGTTGAGTATTATCTGGGCTTTGCATTTAGAAAAGAAAAAAAAAACTTTTGCTCTTGCCTGTGTCTGTTTCTTTGTCCAGCCCTTTGAGGCTCTGGTCTGTGAGTGTCTGTGCCAGTGTGCATGGCTGAGAATGGATGCTTTATGTGCAAAGGAAACACGGCTTTGCTTTGGCTGGTTCTCTGAACTCAGCTGCCAGTCACAGGGCTGGCTGCCTCGATCCGCTTCAAGGAAGTCTCACGTTTGTATTTTAGCTCTGTATTGAGGAGGCCACTGCCTTTCCAGGGTGGCTTCTGGGACATCCCCTGAATCAGGAATGCCTGGGGGCCATGGAAGTCTCAAGTGCCAGGCTTACAGATCAAGGGCACAGTGCCCTTATATGTCTTTCCCCTTGGGAGGATATCTCTGGCAGTGAAAAGGAGTCAGGTAGACATGGGTGCAAATCTGACTTTCATTTCCCAGATGTGTGATCTTGTACAAGCTTCTTGACCTCTCTATGCCTCAGTTTCCTCATCTGAAAAATGGAGAGAGCAGAATTGCCACCTCAATAGAGCTGCAGTGCAGAATAGGTAAGATAATGCATATGATCACATTTTGGGCTCTGAAAGGTCACGTGCACATGTTGATTTATTATTAATGCAACGGGAGGTTAAAATTGAAGTTTTACCTGAGGAACTAAGGTATGACAGCTGCTACAAGCCACAGGTGGGCTGAGGCCAGCCCAAGAGTGCAGGATTTACAAAAGTAAAATGCAAAAACCAGTTGCACATTTATCAAAGCTTGCCACCCCTTTGGAAGACAGAAAAGGGTTGGGTTTTGGAAATTTAGGAAAGATTTTGTGAAGACTTCTTTGGAAAAGGAGTCTGTGCCTTCAGCCTTAGCCCTAGTTCCTAGTGACTCCCAGAGAGCTTGTTTTGTGTGCCTTGCAACTGGGGGATTGTGGTGGGCTGGGGTCTGACTCATGCTTAAGGAAGCTGTAGTTGGTGGTAGCAGAGGAGAGGAAGTAGGGACATGGCCTACAATGGTTGGGCAACGATAGATGAGGCGGAGGGCAGGGGAAGGGGGTATTACATTCCTAGTAGGAATGTCAGCCTGGGGTCATTGTGAAAGGGATTCTGTCCAGAAGAAAGTACCTGGAGAGGCCAAGAAGGGGAATGGCGAGTTACTGGGCAAACAAAAAGCTCACCTGCATCGAGGCAGTTATAATCATTGGTGGGGCAGCAGGGCTGTCCCCAAATAACCTATAGAGCATTCAGGAGGGAAACTGTCAACTTAAAACATCTATCAGACTCAGAGAGGACAAAGCCAGTCTTTGACAGTACCGTCCAATTAAGAACTTCCTTATCCCCTTTACCTCCCTTCTCTATCCCCACGTGATTCTTGGAAGCACCAGAAAATAGGTTAGCAAGCTAGTGGAGGAGCAGAAAAGCCAGACCCACAGGTTTCTGTTGGCAGCAGGCCTTAGGGGAAAGAGGGAAGAAAATGTAAATAATGAATTGAAGCAACGTCCCTGATTTAAAGCAACCACAGGATGTTTTATTACTTAACAATGATTAGAAAACTCAAGGATCTGTCCATATTCTCATTCTGGGGCAAAGAATGGACTGAACACAATGAAGAGTTCTAAAGAGAAATGGGAGACAAAAATAAAGTTGCTTTAATGAGTCCTGCTTATTCAATGTATTGGATACATTATTACTTATCTAGCACTAACCATGTGCTAAACACTGTACAAAGCACTTTATGTTTTCAAAATAAGCCATGGAGATGGATGCTATTATAATTTCATTTTGCAAAGGAAGAAATTCAGAAGGGTTAGATAACCTGAGTTGGGTTTCAGGGAGGGTGGGCAGGAGCCAGGATTGGGGTCAGGCAGTGAGGCCCCAGAACTGGCCACCCTATCACTTTCCCTCTGCGGTGTCTCAGTTGGCAGATCAGACAAGGTATTTGGGGAAGGACTAAAGTTGTGCCTCATGCCTCCAAGTGCACTAAGCTAAAAATATTTCAGGAGTTCATGGGACTTTTCACCAATCCTTTTGGGAAAGGATTTCAGGGAGACATGCTGTTTGGGCTAGAATGACTTGGTTTTAAATATGAAGACCCACTCCAGCTAGCTTAAGGAAAAAGAAGAACATTATCATAAGGATACTGGGATGTATTCGGGAAGCCTGTCACCACTCTCTCTGCCTCCATTCTTCTTGCTCATTCTCCTCCTTCTTTTCCCATTGCACACCCTGAAGTCCATTTTGCAGAGCAGGACTGCCCCAGTTTCCCAGTTAAGGGAACTTCAGTTCTAGTTCGAGGGAGACCAGTTGGCTGAATCCTGACTTGAAGTATAGAGCATGATTCAGTTAAATACATACTGAGCAACTGCTAGGTTATGGGTTTTATTTTAGGCATTTAAGATATAGCAGTGCACAAAATAGATAAAAAGGGCGGGGAGGAACAAACACCAAAACAAAAAATCCTGCCCTCGAGGTGTTGAGAGGTGGGTGTTCCCACTGGAAGAGTGGGGTTCTGATTGGTCTTTCTTGGTCAGCTGACCTCTTCTCCTGGCTCAATCATCTGTGCCCAGGGGTGGGGCCACAGGGTACCGCGGAAGTGGCTGTATGCCGGTACCTGCGACTGAGCTGGGATCGGAGTCCTGGGCCGCTTGTCCCTGAAACCGTCGGTCCGAGCCAGAAGACTTCACGCACAGTCCAATTGGTTCTAGCAAGCCTTCAGCCCCTGAACAGTGGTGGCGACCAGCTGCTAGATCCTACTGACGTTCTCTCTCGGGTGGGCCCCCACTCATTAGCCTTGCCCCAGTATGTTTCATACTGGGTTTGACACACAATTGTCCTTTATCTCACCCCCTTTTGTGTTGGATGAAGCTAAACCTTATTTTACCCGTTGCTTTTTGCTCTTCTTTCCTTCCTGATGAGCCTTTTAAAGGAGGAAATGGGGAAGTCTCCCCCTGGCCTGGTGCGGGCAGCAGCTGAGGCGGAGCCTGGGGGTGACAGAGCACACAGAGAGAGGACAGACTATCCCGGAACTATTGTCCCCCAGATGGTCTCCTCTGAGGCAGTGACACTGCTTTGTACAGCTGGGCCTGGCTGCGGGAGCTGGCTGAAAGGGCCTTGTCAGAGTGCCCTCAGCCTTCCTTGTCTGGCTGGCTGGGATTGGCGAGGACCTGGACAGCCAGGGTCCTCGCCTGCTTCCTGTTTGATGGGCACTGCGATCGACGTTGGTAAAGCCAGCTGCTGCTTTTCAATTGGCCGGGTTCTGGGCCTCCCCGCCTTCCAACCATTTCTACAGCGTTTTTTTTTTTTTTTTCGTTCCTTTTTTCTTCTTTTTTTAAAACATGAGCACTGCACATTCAGTAATGCAATAGATTGCATCAGATGCTGCATTTGCCAGCCTCAGCACCGAGCTACACTCCTCACTGCTGCAGCAAGGATGCAAACCTGGTTTATGTTAGAATGGGGTTCACGGTGCAGAATCCCTAGACAGGTTTCTGTGGGATTCCTGTTTTGTCAATTGAGCAGCATGCTACTCTGTCTTTTCTTGGTGGTTAAGAGCATGAAATTCTGAATGGAGAGACCAAGATTCAATCCTGCTAGGGCCGCTTTCTATATGTATGACCCTAGCCATGTTACTTAAACCTAGGTGCCCCAGTTTCTCACGTAAAGTGAAGTTAATAATGGTTTCCTCTATGCATCATTGTGAGTTGAAATCGGGATAAGATACATAAAGTGCTTATCATGGTTCCTGGCACAGAGTACCCACCCAACACACAGCAGCCATTGTTAATATATTTGTTGCAGCTCTCCTTGAATTCTGTCCCCCAACATAATCTCCCACTAGCTGGGATTGTGGAGGGGCCGGATAGACAGGGTCCTCGCCTGCTTCCTGTTTCATGGGCACTGTGATGGGCTTTGGTAATGTCAGCTGCTTCTGGCCATAATGGGAGCATGCTGAAACCAGGCTTTGTAGTAAGACAGACCTGCAAATTTGTGACAATCACACATACCTCTAGGGTTATGAGAATTAAATGAAATAATGGGTATAATCATAATACATGTATAGAAGCACTTTACACATCTTATTCACTTAATCCTCCCAGCAGCTCTAAGATGTAGGTAATATTATTATGTGTATTTTACCCATAGGGAAACGAAGACATTAACGAGGGTGCTAAGTAACTGGTTCAGGCTACAAGCTAGTAAGTGAATACAGGAAGAAGTGGGTAGGGCAAGCATGCCTATTCACTGTACCAGTTGCCACCCTCTACCTTACTGCCTGAAGCGCCTGGCGCCTAGTAGGAGTTCCAAAAGTGTGAATAACATTTCTATACATTGCAGGTATATAAATGACAAGGCTACAGAGCAGAGTGGATGTTTGGGACAATATCCATGGGAATCATTAGGGAGTAAAGTCAAGCCAATGATATGATCTAATGAAGTTAAGAGCACCTACTCGGTGCCAGACGCTCTCCTAGAAGACTGGCATTGTGTAATTCAAATTAATCCTGAGATCATGGTGTGTGGTAGATGAATGGGTCCCTTTAGTTAATGTGAATTCTGTCCACACACATCTCTGAGCTTCCTGATTTCAGATTATGCCAGAAAAAATCACTTTTCCTAAGGACTGGGAGGAAAAGTGACTCTTATAGCAGGCCCAAATTGAACAGCAAACAGGATGTGCAAAGATTTGGAAGGACAACCTTGTCACGGCCAAATTTCCAGCCTTATTTTCCACTGGTCCAGAAAAATATATGCACAGTGCAAAGCAGTCTCCAGGCTGAGAACCTGGAGGTGTCAGTCAGGGGCTGGGAGGAAACAGATGGCATGCTCAAATTAGGCAATTTGAGGAACGTTTAATAAAGGAGCTATTTACAAAGGTATGGGGAACCCACAAGATACGGTGCAGTTTTCTGGGGCTGGTAAAAGCTGAGTGCTGTCACCTCTCCTAGGTCTGAGGGGACAGGAGACAGAGTGCTGACCTGGACCCTGAGACAGAAAGCCTGGTGTGCAGGACCTGTGGCCTTTGGTGGAGGGACTCAGCCAACCCATAGTGGCCCAGCAAGTGGAGGCAGGGGAATGAATACTCCAACCTCACTTTCCGTCTCCTGCCCCGCCCCTGCTGTTTGAGCCCAACCAGGAACCAGAGAGCAAACAGGCATCGTTGATTCCGGTCACTGAAATCAGCTCCCAGAATCACAGAGCAGGGTGCAACAGGCTAGACTGTGGGTCTAGAGAGGCAAAGGGAAGATTTCTGAAACCCCGGTTCTCAACTGGAACCCTAGAGAGGCTGTTGTCCCCCAGGACTGGAGATTTAAAGGAAAAGTCAAGTTTGGGATCCCAGTGATAGTGACCTGTTTCCGGGATTGCGGAGAGGAGTGGCAGGGCTAAGACTAGGTTTGGGCTGGCTGAGCTGGAAGGCTGACATGACCTCTAACCCTCTATATTAGGGATGTGGGCCCTTTACCTGTTCAAACTGAATTTAGTATTCAACCTAGGCTTTCTCTATGGCTATACTCTTAAATGCAACAGATAGCCAAAGGGAACTTTCCAAGATCAGGAGTGACTCTGATTGCAAATTCCTTCATGTCCTTCAAACCCTGCTTCATTTCTTCTGTGGCGTCTTCCCTGATGTTTGTGTATGCCTGTTCCACATACACAAATAAAATGAAAGCACAGATCTAAAATGTAGACTCCCCACAACGGTATGTTTTACTCATCTCCACGTGCCCAGAACCTGACACAAGGCTGACATATTGTAGAATACCAATAAATATTTGTTAAATCTTTATGTCTCTGTAGTCCTTAGCAGATTCCAATTTAGCCAGCATTTATTAAGCCCCCACTACATTCCAAGCACTGTATCACGCCATTTTCATATCAACTTGCTCATTTAGTATTCCTGACAACCCTGGTTATATTTTACTCATTTTTACAAATAAGGAAACTGAGGCTCAGAGAGATGAAAGTGGCAGACGTGAATTTGAAATAGAGTTCTGCTTCCCTGGTATAATGCTCTTTCCTTTCCTGCTCAGGAGCTGTCCCTTGATTGGCCACTGAACAGTTACTTTATCCATATGCATGAACTGGCTGCATGAATGAGCCCAGCAGAGCCTCTGCATGTGTGTGTATGCTTTGTGAATCTCTGAACCTATCAATTGATGGTGCTGGCCTGCTCACAGGGATCATCCCACTTTGATGGTTGCTGCCAAGCACTCATGGATATTCTCCCCTTCAAGTCTACGTTAAACCCATTGTTCAATATGAGATGGGGTCAGATGGATGCTGTGCTGAACTCACGTCTAAATTGGATGCAGGGGTCTGGATCCTGCTTGTTCCTATTAATTCAACACACATATTTCATACAGTTTCCTCTGTTGAACAGTAAAAACATAAAATTGTCAAGGGCCTACCCTTTCGTTGTTCTAAAATGGAGCTGCCAAAATTCTAATTGGCCAATAAAATGTACCTGCCATAGAAGAGCCCCAAACATACCCCACTTAGCAAAAAGAGAACAAGAAGTAAAAGTTGATCCTTATTATATAGATTCCATATGCCCTGAGCTTGCATACAGTGCTATCCATCCTCATAACAGCTCTGAAGATAGAAGCTATTGTTAGTTGTATTTTTTCTTTTTTTTTTTTTGAGACAGTCTCACTCTGTCACCCAGACTGGAGTACAGTGGTGCAATCCCAGCTCACTGCAACCTCTGCTTCCTGGGTTCAAGCAATTCTTGTGCCTCAGCCTCCTGAGTAGCTGGGGTTACAGGCACCTACCACCACACCCAGCTGAGTTTTGTATTTTAGTAGAGACGGGGTTTCACCATGTTGGCCATGCTGGTCTGGAACTCTGACCTCAGGTGATCCACCCGCTTCAGCCCCCCAAAAGGCTGGGATTACAGGCGTGAGCCACTGCACCTGGCCTTAGTTGTATTTTATAGGTGATGGGTCTGAGGCTTCAGGACACTGGGGGACATTTTTCCAAAAGTCACATAGCTTGGAGGTGGCAAAGCCAGGACGCAGGGCAGACCCGAATGTCTGGCTGTTGCCCACAGATGGGACTAGCCAAGGGGTGCTTTCTACTGCTTCTAAGCCATTGGCCTCAATCACAGATAGTGTCATCTCCATTCTTTCCCATCACCTTCTGCCCTATTTTGCTGAGGATTCAGGGCAGATTCAGATCTGGCCTAGAAAAACATCCTCCTGACCCCTCAGAGAGAGGGAGAGACACAGGAATGTGTTTCTAGGCTGTTCTGCAGAACCTAAGGTACTTTCATGAGAAGCATTTCTCCTTCCTGTTAGTCCTCAGGACTCTTTATCTGCCCCTTTGTATGGCCTTATCACAGGCTGCCTCACTTATTTCTGCCTATCTCCCTTTGTAGGCAGGAACCTATTCAAGGGCAGGGCCTGTGTCTGACTCTTCTCCTCTTCCTTCCCACCTGAAGTCTCAACGTTCATCAAACATTTACCGAGAACCAATTTTGCGTCAAGCTCCATGTCAGATACTTGCACAACTGTGGCTATGTTTTCTATTTGTGGCAACCCATGAGGAGTAGATTGTAGGATTTGCCCATTTTACAGACGAGGATGCTGAGGCTGGGAGGAGTGAAAGAACTTGCCTAAGGCCCCAGAGCTGGTATCTGATCACAGGCCTATTTTGCTCCGCTGTGATGGTCTTCCTGCAACATCGTACTGCTAAGTAGGTGCTCAGCAAAAGCTCGTTGACTGAAAAAGGAAGGCAGCAAGAAAGAGAAGAAGGCAAACTATTGAACAAATTTCAAAGACAAGAAAATAAAAGGAAGTAATTGAATATTTCAAAGCAGTAAATTGGTGGAGGATTAGAGAAATGGGTTTAGGGTGTAACTTCTTCTCTTCTAAGGTCACAAAAAGAAGAGCACCTACCCAAGATCAGAAAACAAGCAAGGTGGCAGCAGCTGGAGTGTTAGCTACAGAGTGGATCTTTCACTGGGCTTTCTGTGAGGATGGAAATACTCAGATGGCCATCACAACATGAGGTTGGACCGTGTAGCATGTGTGCTCTGTGTGGAAACATCAATATCCTTTTCAGGGAATGTGCATAATTTATATACACGGTATATGCATATACTTATATGTGCAGTGAAGTCAGAGAACTCACTGCCCTTGGTGTTAAATGACCAAGGTTCAGATTTCAGGTTAGTTATTTCCAAGCTGCCCAGTACTTGGTGAAACCTCTCATCTCTCTTAACCTTAGTTTTCTCGAAATCTGTAACATGGTATGAGCAGATTTCTCACTGCATAGAGGGTTAGTAAAGTGGTGAATATTTGCGCTGAATAGGGGCTTAGTTCAATGTTGCCCACATCATTCTAATATCTAACTTATTTATTTCAAATGCAGAAAGGTAAAATAGGCCTCTCTGCTACCAGCTTCCCCTCCCCACCTGTGTTATCACCTGGAAGCAGTTCCAGAGAAGTGGGGGACACCACAGACTCTGGAGCGAGACTGCTTCACCATTTCCAAGCTGGGTGACCTAAGGAGGCAATTTACCTAACCTCCCTTTGCCTCAGTTTTTCCACCTATAACGTGGGAATAATTATAGGAACTCCATCTTAGAGTTCTTAAGAAGAGTTCCAAGGTTCCAGGGTTCCAAGCTTTCTTGGAACCCTGCCTGGCACATAGCAAGTGTTCAGAAAATGTAAGTTATTACAGCATTGTTATTATTTTTGTATGCTGAGTGCTTTCTTGTGGCTGCGTTTCAAGGGTTGCATTGGCCCCCACCCCCATCATATTCCAGCTGCCAAGCCGGGGAACCCAGATCTGTAGGGCAGCGAGGAGAGAGGGTTGTTGTCTTTCAGTGATGTCAGGGGAGCTCCTTATCAATAATTGAACAGTTTTTCCAGGAACCCAATCTAGAGCATGCAGTGCCCTGGCTGCAGCAGGGCCTGGCTGGCTGGCGTCCCCGGAAGGCTCTGGGCAGAGGGAATTGTTATCTTGGTGCTGGTCCTGCCTGCTCTGTGGGGGAAGGGATCTTGTTGCTGGTGGCACGGCTTCTGTTGGAGGGTGGGACTCAAGACTCAAGCCTGGGGCAGCGTTCTTAATCTTCACCCAGGCCCTCCTGCACTGTCCTGCTCCAACAGTCCTTAGACTAGCCTTATTCTTCACCCAGTTTGCTCAAGCCAGGAGCCTGGAAGTCATTCTGAACACCTCCCCTCCCTCGCTGCTCACTTTTAAGCTGTCGACAACTCTGCATTATTTTGCTTTTAAACATGTCCCAAATTTGCCCCATTCTTCCTTTCTCATTGCCACTGCCCTCATTCAGCTATGTCTGGGCTTCTACAGCACTCCACTGGCTTCCCAGGTCCCCACCCTGCAACCTTTCCCCACTCCCCTCTTTCTAAAACACACACACACACACACACACACACACACACACACACAGAGAGAGAGAGAGAGAGAGAGAGAGAGAGAGAGAGAGAGAGAAATCTTTCTAAAATGCAAATCCGGTCATGTCACCTCCATGCCTAAACCCTTCAATGCCTCTGTGTTGCCCTTAGGGAAATATATTCAACCCCTTTATGTGATCCTCAAGATCTGTTGCCAACCTCTGTCCAACTTCATCCTGAGCCCTTCTGGTCTTCATTTGTGACCTTCTGGCCATATTGCCCTGTGTTATTCCCTGTCCCGGGTAAGCTACATCTCACCTCTGGGCCCTTACCCTTCTTGTTCTCCCTGCCATGACTGGCTCCTACACATCTTGAAGTTCTCAGATAATGTCACCTCCTCGTAGAAGCTTTTCCTGATCCTCCTGTCTAAAGCAGTGACCACATACCCCACCCTTTTCCCCTGCCCCAGCCCTTGAATATTTCCACCATGAGATAATCCCAACAACAATACCCTTGTCAACCTACCAGCTTTCTTATTTATCATCTGTCTCTTGCACTAGAAGGTGAGCCCCTTGGGGACACACAGATCCTGCCTGACTTGCTCATAGCTACATCCTCAGGACATCCAGTAGACCCTGGTGTCTGGCAGGTGGGCAGCAAATATTTATTCATTGGGCAAATGCAAGCAGGGAGGTTGTGTGGTGGACTGGGGTGAGTGCTGGGCTTGGTTCCCCAGCTCTGTTACCTGTTCCCTGTGTGCAATGAAGTATGTCATCATCGTAACTCTCTGAAGATTGCAGCTGGAGTCAGGAGATCTTGGGTCTAGTCAGACTCTGCCACTTCCCTGCTGTGTGAGCTTGGGCAGCTAAACTTATCTCTCTGAGCCTCCTTTATTCCTCATCTGTCAAATGAGGATCGTACTGCCTCCCTCGCAGAAGAGCTGTCAAGATTCCATGAGGTGAAGAGTGTGGAATCCATGCATGTAGATGGAATCTGGCACATTTGGGGGTCTGCCAAATCCCACCAGCTTCTTGCACTGAGTGGGGCAGACAGATCCTATATTCACCCCACAGAAGTCACAGCCAAAGAGGCTGAAAAGCAAACATCCAGCCAAGAGCCTGGTTAGACAGCACCTCACTCCAAAGGAACCAAGCCAAAGCAACAGCACCCAGAGTGTTTGCTTCCTCCTTTCGGGGAAGGAGGGCTCCCTCTAAATTTCACTGTATTTCCCTTTGGGAAGGGGCTGCCAAGGAGCTCAGAGAGACCTTGGACACTCAACCACAAGCTTTTCTTCTGCAGTGGGAGGGCCCATTATGCCAACTGGATAACCTGATGGATTATTTATGGTATACAATTGGCCTTACAGGGCCCCTCTGCTGAGAAAGCCACAAGGACAATAGGTCAAATGGCTTTGCAGTGGTAACATTTGCTTTGATTGCAAGACTTTATCATAACATTGGCTGGAAAAGATGATAAAAAAGATTAGAAAATGCGTAAGATGTTTTGCACCAATGTCAGAGCTGGTGGTGATAAGGAAGATGCCACGTGATTCTACACTGTAGGAGCTGGTGACTTTAGGTTTTATGGTTATGAACTCCCAGCTATAAAAACACCTTTACTGTTGGGACTCCTACAGGAAAAATTATTTCTGTTATTGTGACTGTAAAGCTCTCTAGTATAAACTTCCCCCTTTTTTGGATCCCATTGCAACAATTTATTTTACAACCGTGACCTAGAAGTCAGGGTTGCTCTGGCATTAGAGCCAGAAAGGGCCATCAATGCTTAGCAGATACGCTTCTGCCTGCTTGTCAGGGTGCTGTATTTAAGAAAAAATAATGTGAGGTAGGGCACTTAACACAGCACCTGCTGTACAGCAAACCCTATAAACATTAGCTGCTATTATTCCTACTCCTGTTTTATTAACAGTAATATATATACGTGCACTCTGTAGCCTCAGATCCTTTTTTGGAATGAAGTCAGTAGTAAAGAAATTCTAGGAGTCTGGAATGTGTTCTAACAGCCCAGATGAAGTGAATTCGGTTCCAGTGTAGGTGACCCTTAAACTGTCATCCTATATCCATCCAGATGACACCTAGTTATCTCTCATTCCTAAGGCTGACCCAGATAAGAAACTCCTGATTAAGCGGAAGGAGGGAACTCACATAAAGTAAACACCTGTCAGCTACCTCCAAACATCTTATTGCATTTAAGTCTCATGGCAATCTGGAGAAGGGCTGGTTTTCTTCAACTTACAGATAGAGAAACTGAGTCTCAGCACAATTTAGTTACTCACAAGAGGACGACAGCTAGAAAGCAGCCAGGCTGACTTGAACTCAGGTCTTGATGCCTCTAAAGGCTGAAATTCTCTACTGTCAGAAATGGATTCTCAGGTCTTGGCTACTGACTTACAATCCTGTAGCAAGTCTGAGCTTGCGAAGTTTGCGTTTGTTTAAAAAGTGACATCCTTAGTCCTGGCCAACATGGTGAAACCCCATCTCTACTAAAAATTAAAAAATTAGCTGGGTGTGGTGGTGCACACCTGTAGTCCCAGCTACTCAGGAGGCTGAGGCAGGAGAATTGCTTGAACCAGGGAGGCAGTGGTTGCAGTGAGCCGAGATCGCGCCATTGCCCTCCAGCCTGGGGACAGAGCAAGACTCCGTCTCAAAAAAAAAAAAAAAAAAAAAATAGTGTCATCCTTAGCTGCAATGTATTTTCCAGTGTCCCTTCCCCATTTTAAGGGCAGCCCTGCACCAGGCCTTTAACTTCTCTGCCTTAACTGGTCAGCCTTCTCATCTGTAACCCAAACCACAGCCAAAGCAGAATCCAGTCAGAGTAAGTTATCTGCTGTCAGGGCTGCTTAAATATTTCATGGTGGCCTGGATCGCTCTGCTCTGGGGGCAGGCAAGGCAGCTAATGGATCAGCCACAGGCACCAGATGTCCAGGGGATGGGGATAGATGGGCTAGAGGAGGAAGCCGGCAGACGATAGATGCTCAGGCTAAGCATCTTGTTAAGGATGAAGCTGTGTGTTTGTAAGGGGTCAAATTTTAAAATGCTGGACTTAGATGGGCCCTTGAACCTGGACTTAGAGGAAAGGCTGCTTTAGTGTTTTTATGGCCTTTATATCAGCCCTTGCATGATCTTCTAAGAAACACACACACACACACACACCCTCTGAGGAAAATGGCTGAGTGCCTCAATCTGCAGATTGGTAAATTGAGGCTCACAGAATTGAAACAGCTGACAGGTTTGACTCACATGAAGGGATTGGAGAAATCATACGGGCTGGACGTGGTGGCTCATGCCTGTAATCCCAACACTTTGGGAAGCAGAGGCGGGAGGATGGACTGAGCCCAGGAGTTCGAGATGAGCCTGGGCAACATAGGGAGATGCTCTAGTTCACCTTGGAAGTAACGACAACTTTCAGTTTACTATGTCTCTATCTAAAAAGAAGTAACAGGTTACTGGAAAGATCCTGGAACCGGGAGAGAGAGGAAAGCTGGGTTCTCTTCCCGTGTCTTCCAACTACTGCCTATGACCAGATCACTTTCCCTGTCTGAGCCTAAATTTCTAATTTCTGAGGAATTCTTGGGATCCATGGTGCCATCACCATCATAACTACTGCCCCCCACCCCCAATCCCGCAGCAGATTAGGTAGGGGCTACTGGCAGAGAAAGCAAGAAGGTGGAGCAGAGGGATGATAAGGCCATCCCAATTCTGTGCCCAGGATTTTGGCCTGGAGAACACAGCCATCAATTCAATCCTGAGCTGAGCAATGGAATGCAGGGCAGGCAGCTCCCACTTTGGGAGACAGAGGTGGGAGGATCACTTGTGCCCAGGAGTTTGAGATCAGCCTGGGCAAAATAAGGAGACCTGCTCTGTACAAAAACAATTAAAAGTCACCCTGGTTTGGTGGTATGTGCCTGTAGTCCCAGCTACTCATGAGGCTGAGGCAGGAGGATTGTCTCCTTTTTAAGAGTTCACCTGCAAAGAGAGAATGCTGATGCTTAGGGGGAAATGGCATCTGTGAGCTAAGGAGCAGGGCCTAGCTAGGGAAACAAGGAGCCTGAATCCTAAAACAGGGAGGTAAAGAGTTCTGAAAGGTGGCATCTAGCAAGATGTAAAATGCTTGGGTTTAAAATGCCAGCTCTCTACATCTTGATCACTCAGAGATGATTTATTGAGTGTCTACTATATGGCAGGCACTGAGCTAAGTCCTGGAGTCCTGGAGTGAATAAGACAGGCATGTCCCTGCTGTCTTGGGGCTTATGTTCTGGTGTGGGGGAATCAAGTGCTGTCCTTAAACCAGACGAGTTTAATGAATCCCAAGGGCTCTGCGGGAAACAGAACAGAACGAGATGGAGTGACTGGCGGGAGCACATCCAACAGGGAGGTGACAGGAGTGACCTCTGAGTTGGGCCTGAAGAATGAGGCGGAGCCAGCCAGGGGGAGAGGGTCAAGCAGAAAAACAGTGAGAGGAAAGCCCTGAGGCTGCCCGTAAATGAGGAGGCCTTCAGCTGCAAGTCACAGAAAACCCCGACTCAAGGTGGCTTCTACGATAAGCACATTTTTATCTCACTGAGCTGGGAGTTCTCAAGTAAAAGGTGGAAAATGGGGAACACAGCACTGCTGCACCACATCATCAGGGCCTGGTTTCCTTCTGTGTCTCTGCCCATCCCAAGGCTGGGTCCCTTCATGGTGCCTGTAGTGCCAGGCACATCCAGACACAACTGTCTAGCGAAACAAAGAAAACTTCTGTATCTTCTAAAAGAGAAGAAGCTTTCCCCAGGAGTCCCCAGTACACTTTTCCTTAGACCACAAGTGACTCACAAGCCCAGCCCGAACTACACAAGTGAGAGAAATGGTATTTTCCATGATTACATTGGGTATCTAATTGATATGGGGTAAGATAACCTATCTGGATCAATGGACGCTTCTATCAAATCAGAGTCCTGTTGGCCAGGAGGGAAAAAGGAAAGAGTGTTTACAAGGCAGCCCACAGGGCCCAGTACAAATAGGAACAAAATGGTGGTTAGAGGGAGGAAGAGAGGGCAAATGTAGAAAGAATCAGGTGTCGGCCAGTCGCAGTAGCTCACACCTGTAATCCCAGCACTTTGGGAGGCCTAGGCAGGCAGATCACCTGAGGTCAGGAGTTCAGGACCAGCCTGGCCAACATGGCGAAACCCCGTCTCTACAAAAATACAAAAAATAGCTGGGCATGATGGCGGGTGAGTGTAATCCCAGCTACTCAGGAGGCTGAGGCGGGAGAATCTCTTGAACCCAGGAGATGGAGGCTGCAGTGAGCCCAGAGCCTGGACAACAGCGAGACTAAAAAAAAAAAGAAAAAGGAGAGGAAGAAAGAAGAAAGAAAGAAAGAAAGAAAGAAAGAAAGAAAGAAAGAAAGAAAGAAAGAAAGAAAGAAAGAAAGAAAGAAGGAAGGAAGGAAGGAAGGAAGGAAGGAAGGAAGGAAGGAAGGAAGGAAGGAAGGAAAGAAAGAAAGAAAGAAAGAAAGAAAGAAAGAAAGAAAGAAAGAAAGAAAGAAAGAATCAGGCATCCTAGGCGGAGGTGAGGTCAGGGAAGTGGGCAGGGGACCACTGATTTGCTTGTGAACAGGCTGCATTACTCATCTGTGAAAAATGAAGCTGATAATAATATATTTCATAAATGTGCCAACAGTACATGATAAGGCTCACCATTGTGTAATGTGCCATCAAGAAAGAATAACAACTGTCAATTAAACTCTGACATGCCATCAATTGTAAAATATACTCTGATTTTTGAGATGTTAAAATGTGAAAAAGAAAACAAAAAGTGTGTGTGGTAGAACCATCGAAATCTGGTGGTAGCAACCTATGAGGCAGAGGCAGAACTGGGATTTCCCTGCAGGATCCCTCTTTCTGTTCTTCCTTTGTTGTTTGATATTTGTGTTTCTTCCAGTATGGTGAAATTGTTTCTGTAGTTTCTTAGGACCATATCTTGAGAGTGGAGCCAAGAGGTTTGACTCACATGATGGGATGGAAAAAGTCACTTGGGCCGGGTGCGGTGGCTCACACCGGTGATCTCAGCACTTTGGGAGACAGAGGTGGGAGGATCACTTGTGCCCAGGAGTTTGAGATCAGCCTGGGCAAAATAAGGAGACCTGCTCTGTACAAAAACAATTAAAAGTCACCCTGGCTTGGTGGCATGTGCCTATAGTCCCACCTACTAATGAGGCTGAGGCAGGAGGATTGTTTGAGCCCAGGAGGTCAAGGCTGCAGTGAGCTATGATTATGCACTACCCTCTAGTCTGGGTGACGGAGTGAAATCCTTTCTAAAAAAAAAAAAAGAAAAGGAAAAGAAAAAGAAAAGGAAAAAAAGGTCACGTGGTATAGCGTGAAAACAACATAAGTTTGAATTCCTCTTGGGCCCCCCAGCTTTGATGGGACTTTGGGCAAGGCTCAAAGTCCCTAAGCCTTCCCTGAGCCTCTTTCCTCTTCTCGCTCTCCTGGTTGCTGTGAGGATTCGCTGAAGTGGTGTGCAGGGGCCTTTTAGCTCCTACTCAACACACAGTAGGTGCTCTATCCGTTCCCTTCCTTGAAAGTGAGGAGAGATTGGAAAACAGCCCCGAGATAAAAATAACCTTTGTCTCAACTCTCCTTCAAAACCCACCTGCCCTAATGAAGCTCCATCTTGCATTTTGCCTTTGAGTCAACAGTTCCTAGAAATGGACACAACTTCTCAGTACTCTGCATGGTGGCTGAATCAGCTCCCACCAATCTATCACATGCAGCCGGACGTACTTGCCATTTCAGTCACACTCGCTAAGTGCTTCCATCTAAACCTCTTGAGGCTACAAGGTACCAAATGTTTTGAATTAATTGGCTTCTATTTTCCTTTCTGTACATGCGCCTCAGTGCCTTTTTAGGGTGAGATTGACTCACAGAGTCCTTCCTGAATTCTGGCAGCCCTGATTCTACTTGGAGTTAATTATCTCTAATATGCTGTACAATTCCCTCTGTACCTTTTATGACATGGAGTTGAGGCATAATTTATCCAAGTCTATCATTGGAGATTTTTTTTTTTTTTTTAGAAAAAAAGAATGATGTGTGTGCCTCGTAAGAAAATCCACTCAGCCCATTAATTGTTTATTCACTGGGTGTTTCTCGAGGACAATCCTCTTTGCCCAGCATTGTGCTATGTCCCTTATAATTCATGACCAAGTGATAGGCATGTCACAAGCCTAGCAGTCAGTATTCTTACTCCCATTTGGCCAGGGAAATACTTAGTTCGGAATGGAGAATGGCTTGCTGTAGTAGTTCTTCTCCATTTGCTCTCTCTGCCATCTCTTTGTGCTGGGGTCCTTGTCCTCTGGGCTTCCTGCTGGGTTCAGCCAATTGAGGCACTAGCAGGAGAAGAGAGAAGTCGAAGTCTTTCTTCCCCATCCTTACCTAGTTAGGTGCCACCTGTCTGCCAGTCGTTGAGTCCCTCCATGAGTGTGATGCCTGATAGAGGGCAATGCCACCGTTTCCTCCGTCTGTCCCCTCTGCTCTGAAGGGGTAACAACTCCTCCTCGTTGCTCTTCTTTGCATGCTTCGTCATTCCTGGTTTATTTCCTCATCCTCCCAGCACCTGTGTGGTCCCTTCCCTCTTTTTCTTTTTCTTTTTTTTTCATTTTATAGTAGAGAGATGGGGTTTCGCTCTGTCACCTGGGCTGGAGTACAGTGGTGCGATCATAGCTCACCACAGCCTTGAACTCCTGGGCTCATGTGATCCTCCCACCTCAGCCTCCCAAGTAGCTGGGATGATAGGTGGGAGCCACAGCACACAGCATGTGGTCAGTTCCTTAAAGTCTCTTCACCTGACCCATCTGCAGTGAGTGGCGTTTCCTCCAGGACCCTGACTGACACACTCAATCAAGACCACGCAGCTGATAGCCACACAGCGGGCCTGGGATTCCACATTTGCCACAAGTCCACTCTCTCTTGAGTTCTGCCGTCCCGTGTCTGTTATCCTGAGAACTTGGGGTTTTCTCGGATAAGGAAAAGGAAGGTGTGTTTTATCTTCAAATGTCTTTATATTTTTGATAGGACACTTGGAGGAAATCAGGCTTTTTGAGAATTCAGTGACAGCATATGTGTTTCGCTCCCAAAACTCTATTCAAATTCATCCCATTGAAATCAAACCCCTAGTTCCTTTTGAAAGACTATTGTCCAGCGGTAGCTTCAAAGGCAATAGCAGGAAGTTATATCAACCTGCTAGGGCTGCCATAAACAAAGTACCACAAACTGGGTGGCTGAAAACAATGGAAACGTATTCTCCCACAGCTCTGGAGGCCAGGGTTGGAAAATCATGGTGTCAGCAGGGCCCTGTTCCTCTGAAACTCTGGGCAGATGCTTCCTTGCCTCTCCTTGCTTCCGGTGGTTGGCTGGCGATCTTTGATGTTCCCCGGCCTGCAGCTGCATCACTCCAGCCCCTTCCTCCGGTGTCATATGGTGTTCTTCCCTTATGTGACTTCATGTATGTCCCTTCTCCTCTTCTGGGAAGGCACCAGTCATACTGGATTAACGGCCCACCCTACTCCAGTATGACCTCATCTTAACTAATGACATCTTCAACAGCCCTACTGTCAAAGAAGGTCACACTCCAAGGTATGGGGGTCAGGGCTTCAACACGTCTTTTTGGGTGACACAATTTAACCCATATCAGAGCTGTCACTGAGGACGGTACTGACTTGGGGCAAAGAGGGTCTGATGGCCACTTGGAGACTGGTTTAGCTCCAAGTGACAGTCAGACCCTCCTTGCTCCAAGTCAAAAAAAAGAAAAAAAGATTTAAGAAAAGAAAAAAATCAGGAGCTATGATAAACATTTAAGGGTGGGCAGACCTTTTTTTCTTAATGGCCACAGGCAACATTGTTTTCTGAGCAAAGCCATCTTTATATGAATTTCTCATCTGGAGTGACAGGGATGGGGTGGTGGAGACTTAGAGAAGTGAATGATTGGATAGTTCATCATTTTCAAAGAGCTGAGAGGACCTGTGGAGACATTCAATGTGTCTGTGTGTATTGGTGGCTGGGCAGTGGGGAGCTGGGTAATGAAGCAGATGTTTAAAAAAATTCCCTTTCCTGTCTTTCAGAGCAACATTTCTCAGTCTGCACCAGCTTGTACAATACGCAGGAGTGGGAGACTGCAAGGGTAGTGAGGACAAGAGAATCCCAGGGCAAGGGGAGAAAGGGTCATGGAGGAAAAAAGACTTTGGAGAGGTTCTAGAAAATTGCAAGAATCAGCACCTCTTCCTTCCTCTTTCCTCCCTCCCTTCCTGCCCTCCTTTCATCTATTCGTCTTCCAGACTTCCCCTCACCTCCTTGACTGGCTCCCAATGCATCACATATCATGATCTTGCTAAAGAAAGATTAGGAATTAGGCTGCCTGGAGTCTGCAAATTAAATGATTGAGCCAAACAGAAGTGAGGGCCACCGAGGGGGCATGCGGGAAGGAGACTGTGACAGTATATCGAACATGTCATGTCCAGCAATGACAGGACATTGCCTGAGCTGTCTCCAGTCTGAGCAGGCATTTAATGAACAAATGCAGAAGCACCCCAAGGATCCGAGAGGAAACTGCCACAGGGGTGGAGAGATAAGAAGCCTCAGAGCCCCACTCCGGGTGCTCTTTTCAAGGCTTCTTGTTATAGGAAAAATGTGATTCACATCTTTTTTTGTGGCTGTGAATTATATTAATGAACAGCTATGTGCTCACTGAAGTCACTGTGACCCAGAAGAAATTGTTTCAACTGTATCTGAATTCCTCATATTTAAATTCTCTTTCTCTCTCTTTGGAGAGAGAGACCTGTAAGAGAAATATTCACACAGTGCCAACAAGTACAGAGTAAAGCACACACTTCCCTTCCATCTCTGATTCCTGGTTCCCCAGAGGCAACCTCTATTACTCGTTTTCTTCAATTAATTATCTTCAAAAAGCAAAAAGTCTATGTCTTGTTTGTTTGTAGTGTTGTAACTGTTTCAAATGAAAGTGCTCTAAAGTAACACCAGAGGGTCCGCCACCCCTGCACCACCAAAATAAAACTTGTTTCTCAGGGGAGTAAGTTTTTCTCTACTGGGTCATATCACCTCAAAGTGAACAAGCAGGGCTAGAACACATGAGCAATTAAACCTGGAAATACCCTGTGAGGTGGGTGTTGTTACTCTCATCTGTAGGCATAGTTATGCCATTTTACTGATGAGGAAACTGAGTTCCAAAGACTAAGCAATTTACCTAAGGTCATAAGAAAGGCAAAGTCTGACCATAGGTCTGGTGGACTCTCTTCAGCGCATTGAGCCGCCTTCTAGTGTTTTCCAAGACTATTGGTCTATTTCATGGCCAATGATTCCCAAATAAATGAATAAATAAATGATTAAATCAGGCTGGACGTGGTGGCTCATGCCTGTTATCCCAGCACTTTGGGAAGCTGAGGCGGGTGGATCACTTGAGGTCAGGGTTCCAGACCAACCTGGCCAACATGGCAAAACCCTGTCTCTACAAAAAAAATACAAAAAAAAAATACAAAAAAAAAATTAGCCGGGCATGGTGGCGAGTGCCTGTAGTTCTAGCTACTAGGGAGGCTGAGACAGGAAAATTGCTTGAACCCAGGAGGTGGAGGTCGCAATGAGCTGAGATTGCATCACTGCACTCCAGCCACCATCTCTAAATAAATAAATAAATAATTGAATACATTGATCCCTAACAAATTTTTATTAAGCACCTATTATGTATCCTACTAGGTGATTTAGGAGGATATACAAGTAAGGGATGGTGCATATAAAGATGGCTGCACATTTTTGCCTCTCCTTTCACGAAGGAGAGGAGTCTATTTTGAATCTGAACTGGCCCTCTTGCTTTGCTTTGACCAAAAGAATGCAACAGAAGTGCTTCTGTGTAACTCTCAAGGTTGGGCCATAGGAGATCTACAGCTTTCATTTTCACACCCTTTGAATATTCCCTTTTAGAATCCAGCTGCACATGCCACATAGAAAGACCACAGGGAGAACTGAGAAGCTCAGTTGACACCCCCAACTGAGTTCCTACCTGACAGCCAGGACCAACCACCAGTCATGAGAATGAGCCATCTCAGCTGAGTTGAGCCTCCGGGAGGCTACAGCTCCTGCCAAAACCATGAGGACCAGAAGAACTGCCCAGCAGAGCCCAGTCAGCCCTGAGTCATGGTATACAATTGGTGCTGTTTTAAGCCACTAAGTTTTGAGATGGTTTGTTACACAACAGATGACTGAAACATAAGGCACATCCTTTGCCCAACAAAAGGATGATGATTTACAAACAAAATTCCAATGATTTGCTGTGCTGCTGTATATCCTTTTTATACAACTATTTTCTGTTTAAATAGCTAGAGTTCTGATTGCAGTAGGAATCCTGACTGACACAGGAGACACTGAAGGGCTTTTAAAAAATTTTTTTCTGCTAAGAAATGCCAAGATTAAGTCTGCACTTTAGGAAGACCATGGCTGTGATGTAGAGAATAGCTAGAAGAAGAAGAAGCTGGAGGCAGGGGAACATCAGGAGGCCATTGGAGGTTATGATGGCGGGGAAATTGGAGGATGAGCGTGTTGGAGAGATACTGAGAATGCAGACTCTCTAAGTCTTGGTGATACTGAGGTAAGAGAGAAGCAGATGTTAAGGAGGATGTCCCTGACTTGATCAACTGGGTAGATGGCAGTGTCATTTCCAGAGATAGTAAACCCTGGAGAAGGAGGGCAAATAGGAGTTTCCTTCTTTCTTTAGTGGGCAATAGCACAGAGTAATCGCTGGTCTCCTATCCACCCTCCAATCATCTGGTCAAGTCACATCTCTCCTTAAGGCCCTTCATGGTGTCTCCATTCTTTCCGGATGAAGCCAACCATCTTCAGTGACTTGCTTCTTACCCCCAGAGCCTCATCCACGGCCTTCCTCTTTGGTTCCAGGGACATGTCAGTCCACACATATGCCATGTTCTTGCCTACTTCCAGGCCTTTGCTCCCACTGTTCCTTTTGCCTGGATTGCCCTTCTCTTCTTTGTTTGGCTGATTCTTATTTCAAGATTCAGTCATCACCTCCTCCAGAAACTTCCTCATCTCAGGGTAGGTGCCAGTCCTCCAAGACCCAAGAACACCCTATGTTTACCTACAGAGCTGCCCTGATCAGATTGCTTGGTCATGACATGTTTCTCTCATGGCTCCCCTGCCAGACTGAGAGTCCCCTGAGTTTGGGTCTTCAGAGCCAGCACAGAGCTGGGATAGGGCTTTTCCCATGCAGGACCTCACTTCTCAGCTATACTATTATCAGCACTATTCTTCTTCCTGTTGCTTCTACTTTGTAGTGAAGTGCTTCTGGGGAAATACCATCCAGATGAATTTATACATGGACTTAAAGAGTGGAAGAGGGGATGATATGGTTTGGATGTTTATTCCCTCCTAATCTCATGTTGAAATGTAATCCCCAGTATTGGGGGTGGGGCCTAGGGGAAGGTGTTTGGGTCATGGTCAGATGCCTCATAAACAGCTTGGTGCCCTCCCCGTGGTAATGAGTTCACATGAGAGCTGATAGTCTTTTGTTTTGGTTTTTGTTTTTTCGAGGCAAGGTCTCACTCTGTTACCCAGGCTGGAGTGCAGTGGCACGATCTCATCTTACTGCAGCCTTGACCTCCTAGGCTCAGGCAATCCTCCCATCTTAGCCTCCCAAGTATCTGGGAACACAGGCATGTGCCATGCCTGGCTAATTTTATTTTTTTGTACAGATGGGGTCTCACTTTGTGGTCCTGGCTGGGGACTCAAACTCCTGGGTTCAAGTGATCCTCCTACCTTGGCCTCGCACAGTGCTGGGATTACAGGCATGAGAGAACTGATTGTTTAAAAGTGTGTGGCATCTCTTTCTCCCTCTTTTGCCCCCTCCCTTGACACATGATATGCCTGCTCCCCCTTCATCTTCCACCAGGATTGTAAGTTTCCTGAGGCCTCATCAGAAGCAGATGCCAGCACCATGCTGCTTGTTCAGCCTGTAGAACTGTGAGCCAAATAAACCTCTTTTCTTTATAAATTACCCAGCCTCAGGTATTTCTTTACAGCATTGCAAATGAACTAACACAGGGGACCAGAATTTCAGAGTTGAAAAGTAAGATAAAGAAATAGGTCCAAAGTTTATACACAACTTCTTCTGGTAGTGACTTAAGCTGGAGGACAATTAGTCCCCAGGTGGTGTTTTACAACTACAAGTCTCAGAGGGCATATGGAGACTGAAGAATATAAAATTGCATAGGAAAATTGGGGAGCTTCAGGGGAAGCTAGCTTCTAGGAAGTAAAGCAGCCCAGCTTGTCCTTACCTCCTTAATTCCAGACCCTATCCCCAAACTGCTTGCTGTTTCAGGGCCCTCAAATGACACCCAGAGGTTTATATCCCAGCCCTGCCTTCTGGAGTCATGTCTCAAACTGCAGAGCAGTGCCTATAGTAGAGTCCTAGGGAGTCACAGTGCTGTAGGCCCTGCAGGAAAATTCAAATTCACTCTGAAAGCTCCTACTGTCTTTTTTCTTCCTCTGGAACATGTGGCTGCAGGTTTTGGGGGCTAAAGAGGGGAATAGATGCTATTGGACCTTACCATTGGCATTGCAGTATTGGACACATGGGCACAGGATTCAGGTTGGGGGGCAACATGTCTGCTAGGACAAGGCAAGTGATGCAAATAGGTGAACTGGGTCAGGTGTAAGGCCATAGAGAATGATAGGAAATGAGGAAAATTAGGAAGCCCTGCTCCATCCAAAGGAAGCAGACACCACTCAGCTCCCACAGATTCTCACCACAAGGGCATGTTGGTCCAGGGAGGCAAGATCCTCTCATTTTTCTTCAAATGAATTTAGAAGTCAGAATTTGTATGTGAAGTCTTCCAATATTAAATATGGAACATGAATTTAAATTTTTTTTTAAACTTTTTACCAAATGAAGCACAAGGCCCACAGGTATCCAGGTGGTGACCTCTCTTCTACTGACATCCTGTGCTCCAATTTATAGTCCATATCTCAATGTTGGCTACTGCATAAAGTCACAGAATCTACCTCTTATACTTTCCAGCATTTGGGTCACTGGTAAATTTGCAGGTGAAGTAAGGTAGCAGAAAGATTTTGGGAGCCAGAAACAAAAGTGAGCTTTGAATCTCAGCTCCCGTATTTCCTAGCTATGTAGTCTTCACTGAGCTTTACTTTCCACATCTGTAAACCGGGGACAATAATTGTAGTAGACACTGTTAGTTGCATGCAAACAACTCTCCCTACCCCCATGCCTTGATCCTTTCATGGTAATAGGAAATAATTTTGTTCAGGCATTGGAGGAGCAGCAGTGAGCTCAAGGGGATGAATTGTGCTCAGTTTAAGTCACTGTGGGGACCGTATTCCACTTTGCCAATGATTTGCCTAGGGACAACCATGAGACCCGGCTTGGAGAATGAGTTGGGGAAGGAAGTCTGCTGAGGAAGTTCCTAAGATATATTTTCCTCTCAATAAAAGAGAAAGTCCAAATGAAGAAGATTCCCCTTTCTGCCATCACCCTGACCTTCCTGTCTGGGATGCTGCAAGGTAAGAATGTGATGCTTAAAAGCTGTGGCAGCCATTTTGTGACCATGAGGGAAAAGTCAAAAGAATCACAGAGATGCTGAGCCAGAGTGCTGGCCGTGTGGAGCTTCTTCTGAACATTTTGTTGAGAAATGTTAGTGTCTCTATTGTTGAAACCGCTTTTCTCAAACCTGCACATGCACCAGAATCATCTGGAGGGCTTGTTCAGACACAAATTGTTGCCCTCACTCGCCACGTTTCTTATTCAGTAGGTCTAGGGTGGAGCCCAAGAATGTGCATTTCTGACAGGTTCCTGCATGATGCAGAAGATGCCAGTGAACCACATTTATTTTGTTTTATTTTATTTTTTTGAGACAGTCTCACTCTGTTGCCCAGGCTGAGTGTAGTGATATGATCACAGCTTACTGCGGCCTCGATCTCCTAGACTCAAGTGATCCTTCTGCCTCAGCCTCCTGAGTAGTTGGGACTATAGGCCCGCACCACCACACTTGGCTAATTTTTGTTTTTTTTAATTTCTTTTGTAGAGACAAGGTCTTGCTATATTGCCCAGGCTGGTCTCAAACTCCTGGATGCAAGCTATCCTCCTTTCTCAGCCTCCCAAAGTGCTGTGATTGTAGGTGTGAGCTACCATGCCTGGCGTGAACCATGTTTTGAGAGACATTTTTTAAGCCACTGTTAGCCAGATGTCCTATTAGTTGCTGCTGAACACCTCCTGACTGACGTAACGACACTTACCTGAGAGGGGCATGGTGGACGTGAATGGAGATATCATATGTATCGAGCAAAAGCATAGTGTTTATTTGCGTAGACTTTAGCTTCTTTCTGCCTCTCATTTTCATCTGAAGATACTGTTGTCCATTCAACTCTCGTCTAGCTTGAACCAACAGTGAAATGAACCTAGAGACCTGCTCTCTCTCTCCCCTACCAAAAAAAAAAAAAAAAATCCATGATGCCAGTCAAAAAGACAATGAAGTTTCCACAATGTAACTTCTAGCAGAAGATCTCACCTCCAGTATGTCTGGGAAATCTCAACGAAAAGCATATTATGGGACTGGCTTCCACCCTTAGTACAAGACGTCAGTTTACACCATTGGTAAATTTAATCTGTTGAGACACAGCTCTGATTTTACAATGTAAGGGCTTGTGATCAAGAATTCAATGTATGAAATTTCCCTATATAGCTCTCTTCAGAAGCCTCCCATGGGCTTATCTCGTAGACTAGACACCTACCTGGTCATGCTCAGAAACCAGCACAAACTATTTACCACCATCTCCCATCCTAGCCAGAGCCTTTGTAAAGCTTCCTGTTCCAGACCTGCCTCTGGGACTCTTGGCCTGCTGTGCCCCTGTGATCATGCTCTTTCTTGTCTTTTTTCCTTTTCACAGATGTCTCCACTTCTACTGCCTAGGAAGCCTGTTCCTATTCACTGAGCCCTCAGCATTCTCTTTTTTCAGGCTATGCTGGTCTTTTCTGCCCAAGGTCAAGGGCCTTAACGGGAGGCACTGTGGATCAGTAGGAAGACTCTGGCAAAACTACCCTTAAAAGGACCCCAACCCTGCCCCCAGTTCAGCTCTGGTCCTCTCTGGGTCAAGTCAGCAGGTCAAAGGGGTATGCTCAGGAACCTTCTACAGCAGCCAGCCTCTTTAGCTCTAACGTGCAGATCATCACCTGGCGATCTCGCTAAAATGCTAATTTTGTCTAGGTGGGGGCCTGAGATTCTACAGGTGCTACAGCTCCTACTTGACAACAGATGACACTCACAGTAGCAAAGTTCTAGACCTGCACTGCCAAACAAGGCAGCCACTCACCCAAGTGGCTACTGAGTACCCAAAATGTGGCCAGCTCAATTGAGATGTGCTGTCAATGCAGAATACATACTGGAATTAAAAGATTTAGTACAAAATAATCTGTTGTTGTCAGGGGCTGAGAGGAATGGGGAGTGACTGCTCACAGGTACACAGCTTCATTTGGAGATGAAGAAATGGTTCTGAAATTAGGTAGTGGTGATAGTTGTACAACTTTGTGAATATACCAACATCCATTGCATTGTGTACTGTCAACGGTGAATTTTATGGTGTTTTGTTTGTTTTTGTTTTTCAGACAGAGTCTCACTCTGTCGCACAGGCTGGAGTGGAGTGCGATCTTGGCTCACTGCAGCCTCCGCCTCCCGGGTTCAAGCGATTATCTTGCTTCAGTCTCCTGAGTACCTGGGATTACAGGTGTGCACCACCATGCCCAGCTAACTTTTTTTTTTGAGACAGAGTTTCGCTCTTGTTGCCCAGGCTGGAGTGGATTGGTGCGATCTCTGCTCACTGCAACCTCCGCCTCCCGGGTTCAAGCAATTCTCCTGCCTTAGCCTCTTGAGTAGCTGGTATTACAGGCATGAGCCACCAGGCCTGGCTAATTTTGTATTTTTAGTAGACATGGGGTTTCTCCATGTTGGTCAGGCTGGTCTCGAACTCCCAACCTCAGGTGATCTGCCCACCTCAGCCTCCCAAAGTGCTGGGATTACAGGCATGAGCCACCGCGCCCAGCCGTGAATTTTTGTAGTTTTAGCAGAGACGGTGTTTTGCCATGTTGGCTAGACTGGTCTTAAACTCCTGGTTTCAAGTGATCTACCTGCCTCAGCCTCCCAAAGTGTGGGATTAAAGGTGTGAACCACCGCCCCTGGCCTAAAATTGGTTTTTAAAAAAGAAAAAAAAATTAGTACAAAATAGGGTGTAACATTTCTATCACTGATTACATGTTGGAATAATATTTTGGATACATTGGGTTAGATAAGATATACTGCTAAAATTAATTTCACCTGCTTTTTTTTTTTTTCTTTCTGAGACACACAGAGTCTCCCTCTGTCACCCAGGCTGGAGTGCAGTGGTGCCGTCTCGGTTCACTGCAATCTCCACCTTCCAGGTTCAAGCGATTCTCATGCCTCAGCCTCCCAAGTAGCTGGGACTAGAGGCATGTGCCACCACGCCCAGCTAATTTTTTGTATTTTGATAGAGATGGGGTTTCACCATGTTTCCCAGGCTGGTCTCGAACTCTTGAGCTTGGGCAATCTGCCCACCTCAGCCTCCCAAATTGCTAGGATTACAGGCATGAGCCACTGCACCCAGCATTTATTTATTAAAAAAAAAATGTGAGCTATTAGTATACAGTTGACCCTTGAACAACACAGAGTGTCAGTTGAACTGCATGGGTCCACCTACCCATGAATTTTCTTCCATCTTTGCCACCCCTGAGACAGCAAGATCAGCTCCTCCTCTTCCTCCCCCTCCTCAGCCTACTCAACCTGAAGACAACAAGGATGGAGACCTTTATGCTGATCCACTCCCACTTAATGAATAGTAAATATATTTTCTCTTCTTTATGATTTCTTAATAACATTTTCTTCTCTCTAGCTTGCTTTATTGTGGGAATACAGTGTATAATACGTATAACATACAAAATATGTGTTTATTGGTAAGGCTTCTGGTCAACAGCAGGCTATTAGTGGTTTGTTTTTGTTTTTGTTTTTTTGTTTTTGAGACAGGGTTTTGCTCTGTCACCCAGGCTGGAGTGCAGTGGCGTGATCACAGTTCACTGTAACCTCAACCTCCCAGGCTCAAGTGATCCTTCCTCCTCAGCCTCCCAAATAGCTGGAACTACAGGCTGCACTACCACACCCAGATAATTTTTCTTTATTTTTTTTTTGTAGAGACAGGGTCTCACTGGTTGCTAGGTCTGGTCTCAAACTCCTGGGCTCAAGCAATCCTCCTGCTTCAGCTTAGTAGATAGGTTTTAAGGAAGTCAAGTTATAAGCTGGTATGACTGTGATCAGGGGGTACTGCCGCTAACCTCTGTGTTATTCAAAGATTAACTATATTTTAAATTACACACGTGGCTTGCATTTATGACTCACGTTATGTTTCTATTAGATACCAATGTTGTAGCTCATGGTCTATGCACACACTGGGGACTAGAATACCTTGCCCAAACAGCTATGAGCTTATTTCCAGAAACTGCATGGACTCCTTCCCCAGGTCTGTCCTCTCAAAGGCTGAGCAAGCCGCCCGTGCGCAAACCTTGAAGCCCATTGGTGGCCAAGGGTAGCTGTTGGTTGGGAGGGGAAATAGACAATGGAGTTTGGCTGTGAGGCCGGGGCACCCTCAGGTGTTTTTGCCTGCACAAGGCCCATCTCAGTACAGATACAGACCAAGGCGGGGAGAGAAGTGGGGCAGGAGCCGGGCCTGGGGCTTGGGATTGGCTTTCCAAGGTCACCACCTGTAGGCGCAAAATGCTGAGGCATCTGAGATTTCTAAATTCAATCTTGACCTTCCAGATTGTTAGGCAGATATATTTGTCAAGGTATGCAGCTAGACATATTTTATTTAACAGTTCATTAGCTTGATTTATAACTTTTAATATTTAGACGTATAATATGTGGGTCTCTGTTTGTACTCTTGCCCTGGGCAAGTAAAGTAATTACCATACAGGTTTATAAGGGCGAGATACAGGATGTACGTGGTGCAGTGGGAGCCTAAAGGAGGGACACGCTCTGCCTGGGACGGAGTGGCTTCTGCATAACAATGAAATCCAGGGGAAAGGGTCATGGCTGGGGACCACGACTACAGTGAAAAGAAGTCAAACCTATTTTTCTTTTCCTTGGCAGAAGGGAGGAGGAATACCTGGGCATTTGGCTGCTGGGCTGGGGACCCTGGTGAGCCAACCAGTCTTACCCCCCTGCACTGCCTCACATTTGCAGCCATGGGGCACCTGCTTGTGCCCCATCCGTCTGGTTCTTCAGAGTAAAAAGAAGATGGATTCAATGCTGAGGGGGCCCAGAGTCTCATCTGGGCCTTTTACCAGCTCTAGTTCTTTTACACTTCCCAATGGCAGTACCATGCACAAGATGATATGACATCCTGGGGAAGACTTTGGGATAGACCTTGGTGTGGGACTGCTTGGGTTTGAATTTCAGGTCCCTTTCTCTGGGTCTCAGTTTCCCCATCAGTAAAATGGGTTTGAAAATAATAGTACCATAAGAGAGTTCTTAGGAGATGAACTGAGATAATATTTGTAAAGAACACAAAGCACCGTATACACCCCAGTCCTTACTAATTTTATTGACAGATGGGACACTGTGGGGTAGAAGGTGAGGAAGCTGGCTTAAAGACCACACCAGGTTTCAGGACCAAGGTTTCAACCATGTTCTCCTTCCCTCCAAAGCTTGTGTTCTTTCCCGCTCTCACATGTGAGCATTTCTCAACCACAAAGATAAATTCATCTTCTCTTGCATGTGAGGTGTATTCATTGAGCTGGAGAGAGAAGACTAAAAATAACGTTAGGTGTAAATTTCATCCAGTGAGAAGGGCTGTGCCTTGGTTGGGCTGGGCATGAAAGGAAATGCTTAGCTCTCCATTTTCTCCTTGCTTTTCAACCAAAAGCCTTTGGCCTGAAAACACACCTGAGCCTGTGATGAGTTTTGGAAACCACAATTGTGATGACAGGGCGGGAGACCTTGCCAAGGCTCTCCGAGACTTGACCCTGCCATCCCTGCTACAGAACTCCCCTCCTGCCCTCTCCTTCTCCTCAGAGTGCTAGAAGGAGCCAGGTGGGTGCTCTCCTCAAGACCTCATATGCATGCAAAGACCCAGATCTTCCCAACGCTAGCCACTGCTCAAATGTCACAACCAGAGAGTCTCCCCGACCACCCTACCTCA
Organism: Homo sapiens; assembly: GCF_000001405.40. NCBI lineage: Eukaryota > Metazoa > Chordata > Mammalia > Primates > Hominidae > Homo > Homo sapiens. The sequence goes on along the minus strand of NC_000005.10, from coordinate 173,840,050 downwards.
AGCCTCTTCTACCACCCCACCCCAACCCACTCTCCAGCATGGTGCCTCCTTTTTAAGTCTCATAGCCCTTAGAGCAATCTGAAACCTTGTTCATTTCTGCGTCAATCTGTTTCTTGCATCCTGCCCCTTTAGCGTGGAAGCTGGAAGACAGCAGACCCGGTGTGTCGCTCACTGCTATGTCTCCAGAGCCTCCAACGTGCCTGATGCCTATTAGTCCTCAAAATTTTTTAGTAAATAAATGTATGCATGGAGGAATGAATGAACAAATAAATGAAACCTCAGTTCTGGTCCCAACTGTGCCACTAAATTGCTTTACCTCTGGGTCACATTCTTCTCAATTATGAAACGAGAGGGCTGCATTCGATTAGGAATTTTTTAGGGGTACTTTGTGGGTAACACTGAAGGGTTTAAGCAGGAGCGTCATGTGGTCACATTTGTAGTGAAGAAAAAAAGAAAATCACCCTGGGACCCAGTAGAAAGTGGATTGAAGGTGCCTATTCTGGAGTTCAGGGAGTGGCCAGGAGCTGTGACAGACATACAGGCCAGAGACAAGTGAGTCACCCAGGTTTATCAGGAGACAGCAGATAAAGCTCACAAACCCTCTCTCAAGTGACAAACTGCTACCAGGAACCCAAGCAGATTCTAGAGTTCTATATGGGGTGGTTGAAGCCTCTCTGTCTCTATCTCTTCCCCACACGCATATAAACACTGGCCATCCCCTCCCCTGCTTTGTTGCCACCTGGGGCTTACCATATGATGACAGGTTAATCAGGTGATTGTGACAGATTACAAGAATACTTAATATTGATGAATCTTCTTCCTAGTGACTACTTACATATCATCGACCCTTTTCCATGTGGAGCTTACAATAGTACCTATAATATTATGTATGTACAATAACACAATACAATACAACAGTAAACTACAAAGCTATACATAGAGAACAAATCAGGATTAGGGAAAGAGAGATTTAATAGATCAGGGCCAGGAAGGAAGTTAGGACATAAACAAGCAGACAAAGGATTCTAGGCGTTTATCAAAGTTGGCCACATATTTAGATTGAGCTTCCCAGTGGCCAGAACAAAAAGGAAAACATGATGATGCTTGAGAATATGAAAAAAAAATATGATGCTACATTATTTGTGCCATATAAGGAAAAAGTATACTAATGTCTCAGAAGTAAAACTTTCTTTTTTTTTTTGAGATGAAGTCTCGCTCTGTCACTCAGGCTGGTGTGCAGTGGCACGATCTCAGCTCACTGCAACATCTGCCTCCCGGGTTCAAGCAATTCTCTGCCTCATCCTCCTGAGTAGCTGGGATTACAGGTGCCCACCACCACACCAAGCTAATTTTTGTATTTTTAGTAGAGATGGGATTTCACCATCTTGGCCAGGCTGGTCTTGAACTCCTGACCTTGTGATCCACCCGCCTCAGCCTCCCAAAGTGCTGGGATTACAGGTGTGAGCCACTGTGCCCTACCCAGAAGTAAAACTTTCTTTGGCACCTGAATTGGAAATGACTTACATTTTTTTAACATGAGATAATCCTATTTATTTTTAAAAACATAAGTATACATAGACAGAAAATTTTGAGTAAATACACCAAATCATTGATTACAACTATTTAGGTAGTAGGATGAGAATGTTAGTGACATATTACTTTCTCAGTGATCTTATGAATTTTCTAAATTTTCTGGAATACATGGTTATTGAATTTTTTTTTTTTTTGTATTTTATATATTCAGGCTAGAGTGCAATGGCATGATCAGAGCTCACTGCAGGCTTGAACTCCTGGGCTCAAGCAATCTTCCTTCTTTAGCTTACCAAATAGCTGGGACTACAAACACATGTCATCATGCCTGGCTAAGTTGATTTTTTTTTTTTTTTTTTTTTTTTTTGTAGATTCTTGCTATGTTGACCAGGTCTTGAACTTCTGGCTTCAAGTGATCCTCCTGCCTCGGCCTCCCAAAGCACTGGGATTACAGATGTGAGCCACTGTGCCTCGCCCGGATGTTGAATATATAATCAGAAAACTACAATGAGTTTTTTCCAGTTTTTAAATTTGTGGTAAATATGCATAACATAAAATTTTACTACCTTAACTGTGTTTAATATATACAGTTTAGTGCCATTAAATATATTCATAGTATTGTGCAACCATCACCACCATCCATGTCCATAATTCTTTTCATTCCGTAAAACTGAAACTATGTACCCATTAAACTAGAACTCCCCATTTCCACCTCCCTCCAGCTGCTGACAACCACCATTCTGCTTTCTGTCTCTGTGATTTCTGGTACCTCTAAGTACCTCATCATGGGTTTTTATATAGGGAGAAATAAGTGATGTCATGTGCATTTTCCAGTTTAAAAAATAGAAATCAGTGGTAACAAAGACATTCCTGAGACTGGGTAATTTATAAAGAAAAAGAGGTTTAATGGACTCACAGTTCCAGGTGGCTGGGAAGGCCTCACAATCATGGCGGAAGGCAGGTCTTACATGGCGGCAGGCAGGGAGAATGAGAGCCAAGTGAAAGCAGAAACCCCTTATAAAACCAACAGATCTCATGAGACTTATTCACTACCACAAGAACTGTATGGGGGTAACCGCCCCCATGATTCAATTATCTCCCACTGATTCCCTCCCACAACACATGGGAATTATGGGAGCCGCAGTGCAAGATCAGATTTGGGTGGGGACACAGCCAAACCCTATCAGTGGTGTTAGTGATCATTTTATAGGAGGAGTAATTTTTTTATTAAGAAAGGGAGACAGGACTGGGCACAGTGGCTCACGCCTGTAATCCCAGCACTTTGGGAGGCCGAGGCGGGTGGATCACGAGGTCAGGAGAGCGAGACCATCCTGACTAACACAGTGAAACCCTGTCTCTACTAAAAATACAAAAAAAATTAGCCAGGCGTGGTGGCGGGCGCTTGTAGTCCCAGCTACTCGGGAGGCTGAGGCAGGAGAATGGGTGAACCCGGGAGGCAGAGCTTGCAGTGAGCCAAGATTGTGCCACTGCACCCCAGCCTGGGTGACAGAGCAAGACTCTGTCTCAAAAAAAAAAAAAAAAAAAAGAAAGGGAGACAAAAAGTGGAAGGACTGGGCTACTTATATATCAGCAACATGTGTTTGAATTTTGGGGTATAAATTAATTAAGCCAATAATCATGAGTTTAAAATCAACTCTTCCTCTCAGTAGAACAATGAATAAAAAGAGCTACAATTTACTTAGTCTTTAGGAGGGTGTGTGCCAGGCACTTGACTAAGCATGGACAGAAATGAGTGCAGCCCTCCTCCAGCCCTGAGAGGTAGGGTTCTTCTCCTATTGAGAGATGGGTTTAGCTAGCTCCTGTGCTGTGTTGGAGTTACACAGCTCTTCACACTGGTCCTTCTGACCCCAGATTCCTGGCCCAGTGCACGACGGGACTCTTCCACTCTTGGGACAGCCTGCTAAGTGTGCTGAGGATATCGGTAATGGTGGCAAACCATTGTGTTTCAAACCAAACCAAAAAGGAGGAATCTTGCAGGAGGTTCCATCCCAGGATAAATGCAAAAATATGTCCAGATCAATTTCAGGAGGAGAAACTGATCAGTCCACCAAGATGTAGCAGATTACTACAATGTGGTGGCTTTTTATTCAGAAAAAAAAAAATAAAACCTACTACTGTTAGGGGGCATATATGCCTTACCTTGCTTGCAGGAGGGAGGACAATCTCGCTGATAAGCCCTGGGTAGCCAGGCTGTTCAGCAGGTCCCCCCAGCCCCTGTTTTTTTGTTTTTGGCTTTGTCTACATGGCACCACAACACTGGCCTCACTAGAAGACATAGTGAAAAGTGTTGTTGTTGGGAGAAAATAGCCACAGGGTGCTCTATGTCTCTGTTAACACTTCATTGTAAACATGGGTTGTGGATTTAGAAAGTATTGAATTCAGGTTCTGACGCTTTTCTCAGTAGATTCCTGTGGCAAGCTACTAACCCCCTCTAATAATAATAGTGCTGACAGCATAGGATTATTGTGAGGGTGAAGTGAGATGCTGGTTGTCAGGGGTTTTGCCCCATGTCTGGCACACAGCAAGAGCTTAAAAGGTGAGAGTTATAATTATTCACTAGCTTAGATTACAGGCCATCCCTCAACCAGTCATGCCGGCCAGGCGATGTCATGCTCTGATTGGGCAGCCCTGGGTCACAGTTGCATTCTGAAAAGATGATACTGTTGCATGGACTAGGTATTGCAGGAAGGCAAGGGCGTGGACAGTGACTAGGAGATATTGCAGGCATTCAAACAAGAGATGATGTGGCTTGAAAGAGGGGAGCGACTGTGGTGCCAGAGATGAGGGCCACGCATTGTGCTTCTGGAAAGCTGTAGGGAGTAAGTCGTGAGTTCTCCTTCGGTGCCCCAGTAGCCCTGCTGCTTCTTCTCCATGGGAACAGGGAAGGAGGAAAACACTAAGTATCAAAGGTAGAGGAACACATACCATCAGGCTAGCTTTCCTGTACCAGATCAGGCCACCAACATTGCCCTTCTTGGCATCTTGGATTTCTAAGAAAATGCAACCCCATGGAGGGAGGGCATATTGTTAAGCCAGAAATAGGCTCAAGAGCACACTGCCAGCCATGCGAACCACACGCCACAACCAGCCCTTTATTCATGGGGTGCTGGGAACTATCTTCCTCAAGCCTCTACAACCCATCCTTGATTGCAAGCAAGTCCCTGGGTTTCAAAACAGGAAGTAGGCCAACTTGAGTTGCTCTTCTTCCTGGCAGCTTCCCTTCCTGGCAGCTCCTCCTCCAGACAAAGAAAGAGGCAGATGTTTTGCAAAGAGCAAGACGACACTCTTCATGGAGCTCTGGGGCAGGAGACAAGATGTACAATGGCACAGGACAGGGGACCTGAGTAGAGGACAGCATGGCAAGGCTGAGGCATGGACCAGCACCTCTGTATGAGGCACACCTGGAATTGATAAAGCAAGTATCATACAAGATGGAGAGGGACGTGTCTCTCATTTGACAGGCTTTGAGTTAGAACAGTCAGGATTCACATCTCAGTCTGACTCCAAAGGCCCAGACTTTCTTAGTCAACCACTTGATTGTTTTCACCTGCATAATACCTCATGACTCCAGCTGATATTTTTCCCACTGGGTTGGATGAACCAGTGGGAGAGCAATCAGAGACCATTGGCATCCATTGCCAGGAGAAAAGAATGGCCTTGTAGCTAGCTGTCTATACACTTATATGCATGTACTTTGCATATTGCAGAACATAATGAAAATGTTAGGGCTTATCACTATGAGCAGTTCTACCATTTATCATACTGATTCCTCTCTAAATTAGGACAGTCTAATTTCCCTGAAGTCAGAAAGCACCTCTATCAGTTTCATCCTGTTCATCCAAAGGATGGTACCCCATCAGAATCTCACACATGGCAGTTCATTGTATATTGCTTTAAACAGAAATAAATTGAATTATGCGCTTTATCTGTGCTCCACAGTTCTTCGGAATTTAAATGATTGCCTCATCAACGTTAAAGAGCTTTTCAGAAGCGAACACTTTCTCTAAACTCTGAAGTGATTGGTAAACATTAGTTTCAAGGAGTGTTAAGGCCATGATATTGGGTCTTAATACACAGGGGCACATTTCTCAGAAGGAGACTAAGACATGCGTGACGGTGCTGTGTCCAAGACACCCATTGTGCCTCCCAGTTTGACTTTGACAAGAGTCTGACCAACACCCAAAGCCCTCCTCAGCTTAAACTAAGGCTTGTCTTGCCAGAAACCAAAGTTCCCAGCCATTAATCAATGTCTAGTCCCTACCAGGCTGAGAATAGACTCCTTGCCTGTAAAGACATTCAAGGAAGCTGCCAGTGGCTTCTGGTAATCGCCAGTGTGAGTGGGAAAGACATAAACTATCAGCAGGTTGGGGGGAGAAATGGAACATGAGGGGCTACTGTTTTTGGCTTCATGCAAAGCAGGGTGTAATTTTTCAGAAAAAAATAAAATAGTGAAACACGAAGAACATAAGAAGGTCAGTGTCACTTCCTAGTTCACCCTGAGTTAGACTTCAAACAGTGAGTCCTTGTTTTCCGTCTTTTCTATGGGGCAAGATGTGATTGCAACTGAAGTACATTGATTAACCCAAAATAACTTTCCCTCAATTTGCTGGATGCCTAGGAATACTCCGGAGACCCTGCTTTTGTTTTGAGTTAGCCATTTGGGAGCTTGGCACCGATCCCCGTGTAGCGATTCAAACTGAGTGAACCAGAAAAATGTCAGGAACTACACAAGGACATATAGTACAGTTTAATTAGTTTAAGGAGAGGGTGGGTCCCCCCTTCTCCCTAAACATCACTCAAGCAAATTGTTTTTTTTATGGTCTTGTTAAAATAATTTCATGGTTGCAGTTTTGTTCTTATACTAACTAAGCAGGACCGCGTGGGTTATTAAAAAGGGTAGTCAGCCTGGAGAAGGTGGGTGCATTCTGTTTCCTTTTAAAAAACATAGGAGTTTAATCACCTGGCTTGTGCAATGACATATTAAAGAATGTCAGCGCAAGGCTGAAGCTCCTATTAATAATAGTCGTTAGCTAGGAAATTCTTCTGCTGACTTTAATCAGGAATTTTCCATAGTAACCAAGGCTGCCCACGGGTAGCCAGGCAGTACGGATTTTCATTCCATCACGCACATTTTTCTGTTCATTGTGATACAGAGAACATTACTTACTGGAACATGTGAGCAGAGCTATGCTCTCTGGGAGTGGAAATCTTTTACTGTTCCTCTTTCTTGGAACGGTTCCTCAAAAAGATTGGAGAACTGTCATCTTTCAAGGAAGACAAGCCACCTGTTTCAAAATACAGGCCTGTGCAGTTAATTCCAGGCTTCTGCATCTTTCTGGCATTTCTCTCTCTTCTGACATAAATCTTGTAGTCGTGACAAAGATGAGAAATCAGGGCAACCCTTCTACCTTTTGTGGGAACCAGATTCTGATTGCACAGAGACATCATTCCCCTGCTGAAGAAATTTCCATGGCTCCCCATGGCCCATGCGATAAAGTTTGGACTTTTTTAGCCTGATGTTCAAGGCTGTTCATAATCTGGCCACAAACAGTTTCTGGCTTTCTTTCCCTTTTCTCGTCCCACCAGGATAGACCTCAGTCACACTAAGCAGCTTTTGGGGCTTCCTTAACATGGGCCCTTCTCTTCACCTTAGAACATCATTCTCCATGTCTGTTGGACAAAATCCTTCTTATCTTTTGAGGCAAAGCTCAAATGGCATCTCCTATAGGGAGTCATCCTTAAAGTCTGCGTAGTAGGGACATTGAAGCTGCCTCAACGGCGCCTTGTGTAGCTACTCCCGGCTACGGCATTTAGAGATGGTATGTGTGTTTCTGTGTGTGAGTGTGTAACATAAAACTACTTTTTATGACATCTACCCTTCAGAGAAGATGGTGACTCCCCAGGGTATTGCTGCTCTCAATGAGGTTGACCGCATCAGCTTCCTCTGGGAGCATATTCGAAATGCACAATCTCAGGCCTCACCCCAGATCTACTGAGTCAGAATCTGCATTTCATCAGATCCCCAGGTGAATCCTTTGTGCATTCAAGCTTGAGAAGCACAGATCTACAGGGCCCAAACATCATGAGGGTCTTGAATTCCTCCACAGTACCTGGCTGCATAGCAAAATCAGCAAGGAATGCTTTCAGTAGCACATATACTTAGGCCTTCCTTGATTCAGTAGGTCTGGGGTAAGCCCTGTACACGTTTGTATTTTTAAAGACCACAGGTGATCAAGGTGCACAGCCAAGATGGAGAACCACTGGCTGAGCCCGGTGATCCCTAAACTTGAGTGTTATATTGAAATCACCCAGAAGGCTTGTTAATATAGATTGCTGGGCCCCATCCCTGAGTTTCTGAACCATCAGGTCTGGGGTGGGCCTTAGAATTTGCATTTCTAACAAGCTTCTAACAAGGTGCTTATGTTGCTGATGTGGGGACCATGCTGCAAGCCATTGTCTTAACACATAGGTAGGACATATTTTTTGGATGTGTAAGTGGAAGAGACGATTAGAAAGAAAATTTAGATTCAAAAAAGTCTAGTGTTTTAGTTATCAATCGCTGCATAATGAACCATTCCAAAACACAGGGGCTTAAAACAATTCATGTGTTGTTTCTCCCAATCCTGTGGGTTGCCTGGGCTTAGCTGGTATGGTTCTTTTGTTTCATAAGGGGTAGCTGAGGGCACTAATGGAGCTGCCTTCCACTAGAATCTTATCTGCAGCTGCAATGCCGAGGATGGCCTCTGATCTTCAAGGCCTCTTTCCACGCCGTCCCCTCCTACCCCTTAGCAGTCTGGCTTAAGCTTCTTTACACATGCAGTTGGCTTCAAAGTGGGAGAAGGTAGAATCTGTTGGTCATTTGAAGGCCTAGGCTGGGAAGCCCTAAAATGTCATTTTTGCCACATTCTATTGATATAAACCAAACAAGTCTAAAGGCAACTTTAGATTCAAGGGGAGGGGAAACGGAATTCACCTCTTAATGGGAGAAACAGTAAATAATTTGTAGCTCACTGCATTTAGTTTATTGTAGAGGAAAAAGCAAGGGAGCTAATGAGAAATACCTAAATTCTGCTAATCTGTCATTTGGCCAGATTAGCAAGATCTACTGCAGCCATCTGTTGCTCTCTATGCTGAGCCTCAATGGCTGGGAATTCAGAAGTGGGCGTTAGCTTTGCTTGGTCTTCCTGCTCTCCTTGTGATCTCTTTTTTTGAGGTGGGGGAGATCCAATCCTGTTTCATCTATTTTGCCAAAGATGGAAGGGGCTTGGAAGAATTGCTTTGTGGGTATTAAACAACACTTCACAGAGGGTCCTACAGAGCTCAGAGGCTGAGGTAGTGAAGGTCTCTATAAATAAAACACTGTGATGAATCTCTTTACCCTTGGTCATCAGGTAGATGGTTTTAAAAAAAAGTTTGGGAATGAATGAAAAATGGAATGACGGCAACATAAGACCCTCCCCACTGCCCATTCAATCAGGAGTTTTTATAGTAATGATATTATTATTTAACAACAAATGGCTTTAATAGCTGAACTTTTGGTACAGTCTGCAGAGCCCTTTTTCATGGGCATTTTCACATCTACTCTTTTGCAATCACCTGCCAGTGGATACTATTATCCTCATTCTGAAGATAAGGAAACTGAGTTTCTAAAAGTAGAAGTTGCCCAAGGTCATGAGAACTAAATGGTTGCTGAAATTCAAACCCAGGACTCTAGCCACAAGCCTTTTCCATGATTCTATTTCAGGAGATTCCTTCCTGGAAAAAATTTAACTGAACACCCTGCAGTCATCCTAACAGGTCAGAAGGAACAATAGGGTGATCTAGATCAACATGGCTTAAAGTGTCTGCTCAGACTGGTTAGCATCAACATGATGTGAACACTTCTTTGAAATGCTAGATCTTAGGCCCCAACCCAAATCTACTGAATCAGCACTTGCGTCAGGTTTTCAAAGTGATTTGTATGTACCAAAAAGTTCAAAGCACCAATTAAGGGTACAGTTTTGGAGTGGAACAGGCTAGAGTCAGATCCTGCCTTTGTCACTTACTAGTATTTGCATGACTTGGGCAAGTTATTGTCTAAGCTGCACTCTTATTGTCTGTAAAACAGTGATTTTCAAAAGCACCTGACTTCCCAAGGTTATTTAGAACATTCTACAAGTTAATTCACATAAAATGCTGGTTTATAGTAAATGCTCAGTAAATGTGAGCTTCTGCTATTATTGTTAAAAATAATAACCTTCTTGATCAGCCAGCCAGATGGCTCATGATTTCTTTCTGTGAAGAGCAAAAGCCTATACACACACACACACGCATGAGTACACACATACACACATGCACACACTGCAAAAGAAAGACAGTGACTTTGCTTTTGAGTTGGTCTCAGAGCGTTGAGGAAGGAAGGGCAGAATCACAGAAGAACAGACAAGACAGCTTCTCCCTCAGAAGCACCCCGCTGGAGCCCACACTCTCACTGGCTAGATGGGCTGTGTGATGAGATGTCCCAAGGAGGAGGAACAGTTCTGGAGCTTGTTAACTAACTGATGAGTCAGGGGCGACAGCAACTGAAGCATGAAGGTGGAAATACACAAACAAGGCTCAGCGTGGCCAGGCCTGCCAGGGCACACTGCCCTCCCTTAGCTCCCCAGCCATTAGTGCACAGAGAGGGCAGGAGATGGGGGACAAGCCCGGGGATGACAGGGTAGTGTGCAGTCAGGCTGGTCCTACCTGGGCCCTGAGGGGCTGGCTAAGTCAGGATTTAAACGGGAATGCTGGGCTTCAAATTGCTGGAGCAAAAAAAGGGATTTCAAATCTGTGGACACCTCTCTGAGATGCATGTGCTATGAGTACTATAAGCTGAAGTGGGCTCGGCATGAGGGGCAAGGTCCTGAGTCAGGATAATCATAAATAATCACAACAGCGTTCATCACGTGCTTGGTGTATGTCAGGATTGTCTATGAATGAACTCACTTCACTCTCACAAGCACAGTCCACACGAAGTGGGTACTATACGCAACAGATGAGAAAACAGAGACATAGAGATGTTAAACTATTTGCCCAAAATCACACAGCTAGTAAGTGGCAGAGCCGGGCAGTTTGGTTTTCAGAACTAGCACTCTGAACTATTAAACTAAGTTGAATCTCCTGAAATAGAATCATGGAAAAGGTTTGTGGTTTTTGTTGGGGGAAGAGATGTGTGGATGGGTCTGTTCAGCTGAAAGAACCTGGGAGAGAAAAAAATGGGGATGACCTGTGATCCTGTCTTTTGAGGAGGTGCCCACCCCAGAGGTGAGCTCACCCTAGTTTTGCTTTGTCTCAAGTTTCAGTCCATACAGGGCAGATGCTGACTAAGGACCCATTCTGTGGCACGCAGTGAGCCTGACTCTGAGAGAGTGGTTGAGTGAGACCCTGCAGTGGCCCTGAGGAGTTCAGGGCCTCCTGGATGCCTGTGGTGCAATGGAGTCAGACAGGTGCAGACCCTGGAGAGGCAGGAGAGGATGCTGGGGTTCCCACTTTCTTCTCAGACAATGAAACCAAGATGGTGGAAGGGTTGGCACCATCCTTCTGTTTGTAATTTCCTCCATGCCTTGTGTCTTTGTGAGTCTTTTCCCCAAGTTCAATTCATCCATACCATCTCTCAACTTTGCACCTTCTCCCATGTCCCTACATACCTCCTCAAGTCTTCTTGTTTCTGAAGATCACAGATCTGATTCCAAATAAGGAAGATTTGGCCAAATCTCAGCTTTTCCAGCATGTAGTTAGAAATGACCCATAGGCCAAGAGAATCCTCTTGTGAGGATTGACTAGGGCCATTTGGTTGTAGAGGCAAATTGCCCTACAGAGTGGTAGGAAGGGACTTGGACTCCACTTGGAGGGTCTCTGCAAATCTCAGCTCTGACACCTATTAGCAGTAGGACTCTGGGTAGTGACTTACCTTCTTTAAACCTGAGCTTCCCTTTCCTATGTAAAATCCTTCACTTACCCCAGCTGCCTTTAAGGGCCCTGCATAATCTAGGCCCCGTTAGACCCTCCAGTCTCATTCCTTACAATTCCTTCATTAGTTAAGATTCGTGGAGCAAATAACAAACAAGCAGCGGCTTAAATCACAAGGATGTCTGTTGTTTCCGTATTGAGAAGTCTGAGGGGTACACCCTTGCAGCGTGGCTTCAGCAGTAGCTCAGTGTCCAGATATCTGGATGGTCCATTGGGTCCACATCTCTCCAGTTCTCTTGGTTTTCCCCTTGTTATCTCAAGATGGCTGCCATGGCTCCAGGCATTGCACCCACACGGGACAGTGACAAACTCTCTTCATGTACTTCTTTACTTTGATCTGAAGCTCCCCAGGAGACTTCTTCTGACACTTTTTTAGATGAGACCATATCATGTGGCCGCTCTAGCTGCAAGGGAAGCTGATGAAGCACACATCTTGCTTTTCTTCTGTTAAGGTAAGGCTGGTGAGGGAGAAGTGGATTGCAAATGCCTGCTGAGTGGCTGAGCAACATTGGCTGCTACATCCCTAACAAACATCCCGTCCCTCTATCACACCAATCTGCTCAGTGTTCCCCCAAAACAGCATAGAATTTCAGGCCTCTCTATCATTTTATATGATGGTTTTCTCTGCCTATAATGCCCTTCCTTCCCTTCTTCATCTGGTAAACCCCTACTTAACTTCTAAGTTTCAACTCGGAGATGCCTTTGTTGAATATCACCTACATTCTCAAGTGTGTGTTAGATGGACCTCTGCTCTCTGGACAGAAAGTGTCCCTTTCCCACCTTCTGTATCCTATTGTCAAGCATATAACCATATAAAACAGGTGTTCATTAAATGTTCATTGAATAAATGAAGTTAATAGTCACTACCTTGCAGTCATTATGAAGTTGAAAATGAAATAAGAAATAATAGACATTTTAATAATAATCGACATACTATTAATAACTTCAACTCACATTAACTGTGTACTTAGCTAAGTGTCAGCCACTGGTCCAAACATCTAAAACGCCTAACTCATCAGATCCTAACAAAAACCCTATGAAGTAAGCCAATTTGTTGGCATGAGCTAGGTTTTGCTGAAGTAAATACCAAAGGTTTATTTCTCACTCCTGCTCAATATTCTTTGTGAGCTGAGGGGATCTCTTTTCACTGTAATTGCTTGAGAATCCAAGCTGGCCATCCTGTAGTTGCAACACTCAAATCACCTGGCCTGCCTCCTTGGTCAACATGGCAAGGTAGAGAGTGTGGAGAACCCATACCAGCTCTGAATGCTTCTATCTAGAAGTGATGTACACCACTTCCCCTTATATTTCCTGGTCAGGGCAAGTCACATAGTCCAAGTTCACAGTCCATGCCCAAGTTCAAAAGATTATGTGTGCTGAAAAAGTTGTTGGTGAGCTCTAGTGTATCTACCACATAGGTGCTCTTATCAGCTTTACTTAACAGATGAAGAAACTGAAGAAGAAAATGAGGGTGAAACCATTTGCCCAAGGTCACATAGCTAGTAAGGGGTTAATGCGGAATTCAAATTTGGCCTTTGTGAATTAGGGCAGAGGTCATCAAACTCTGTAAAGGGTAGGAGAGTGAATATTTTAGGTTTTGCAAGCCATATGGTCTTCGTCACAGCTACTCAACTCTACTGTTATAGCACAAAAACAGCCACAGATGATATGTATATGAGCGGGTATGGCTATGTTCCAATAAAACTTTATTTACAGAAGTATGGGGTGGGCCAGGTTTGGCCAGTGGGCCATGGTTTGCTGACGCCTGAGTGACAGTCCTTGCTCATGACCTCAAGGTTACCTTGAACTCTGCAAATTGTGAGATAATGAACCAATGTGAGTTCTTACATCCATTTTCCACCAAATATCAGCTACAACATGACCTCCCTAGCTGCTCAGAGTTAAATGATTTCACAGACTTTAATGGGTCACTGAGCTTTCATCTAGCCAAGGTTAAGGGTAACCAGCTTCTCTTTGGGGCCTGGTTAATTATTACCGTGCAAGTTTAAAGGGAATGACAGACAGGTAATTTTCTTACTAAAAATGACAACAGGAACCATACCAAGAACCAAGCAAGCCACTCTTAAACCCCCATTAGCTGGTGGGGTCATTTCTAATGGCACATTCACCGACGGGACAATCGTTCTGCTGGCCTATGCTAACCAGCAATTGAAATCAATGGGAGGCTCTGGGCACCAAAGCGGGTTTTTTTCTGGGCCACCTAACCCAGACCTTGTTTTTCCAGCTGACACTCTGCCTGTGTCAGCTAATTCCTGCTTTGGAAAATGCATTCCAGGGCTAATAAGGACTTTAAAGTCACACTATTTTCTCACCATGTTATTAAAACCCAAACGGCTTTGCTTATTCCTAACATGACCAGGAGGTTCTCTGGCTAGCTTAGAAATTGCCCGAATGTCACAGAAGCTGGGGTTTCAATTGGGAAGACAAATCATGAGGTTTATTTATTGATTTTATTAAATTAAGAATTTGTTTTTAAATTATTCAAGTGCTGTAATAGCAAAGCAGTGAGTTAGGTGCCATAAGAGAATCACATGAAGACCACGATTGGACTAGAAGGCTGACATGTTTGAAAATCTGCAAGGCAGCGTTCACCTGCACCACTTACTTACTTGTGGTAGGAAGCTGGGCAAACCTCTTCACTTCACTGAGCCTCAGTTTCCCCACGTGTGAAATGGCAACAATGAGACCAATTTCACGGTGTTGTCATTGATGGTGGCAACGTGTAAGTGCCCCTGAGGCCATTCCTGAATTGCAGCTAGCATGGAAGCAGGAAGGTCGTAGGTCTGGCCAAGCCAGAAATAGCTGAGAACTGGCTCCGGAAAACTGGCAGAATCAAACCCAAGCTGTGCTCCCCAGTGCTAATTGGGAATTCATCAGGAGAAACAATGACCAGCCAGAATAATTAGGAGAATGAGCTAATGGAACCTGCCCACCCCAAGCTTTGTTCATCCTAGGATGGCAACCAGTCCTCCCCCAGGCTGGTCCACAGCTGTCTCGAGGGAGGAGGGCTGTGTGGGGGCAGAGGCAGAGTGTGCCTCATTTCAGCATGCCTATCTTTATCTCCACCATCAGTTCTCACGAATGCTGCGCTGAGCTCACCAGACGGGGCAGCCGGGGCCAATCATCCAAGGCTTAGGGAGACCTGTGGATGCTGGCAGCAAGGCAGGGCCATAAGATGCAGACTAGAGCCAGGCGTTTCCCGGGCCCCTGCTCCTCAGTGGTGCAGCCACAAGCAGAATTTTCAGAAGCATGGATGGGATTTCCGACTTCATCTAGACTTCACATCCGCTTTGTTCAGAAAAGAAAACTCAGGCCCGGAGACGGATAGTTAGTGATTTGCCAAAGGTCGTGTAGACATCAGTATTGCTGCCATCCCAGGAGCCAGACTCAAATCTCCTTACTGACCTGTCTATCTCAACACCCTTTAGAAAGAGAGCCACCAACACTGGAGTTGGAGAGGCTAGGGGTTTGTTTGAACAGAGAAGGGATAGTGTGAGGTCAAGGATGCAAATTTCTAAAATTCTGAGCTGGGTTAAAAGAAAAATCTTTCTCTACTGTGGTAATATCCACATTGGAACAAGGGACCCTCCTCTCATCCCTTCATCACCAGACTATATTCAAGTCACGTATCCCCACCCAGAGGGAAAGGTTAGCTGCAGATGAAGAAGATGGAGCACAAACACTATTATTGCCTGATTCACTTTGTGGAAAATTTTCTAATCCTGGCCCTGCCATTTCCTGGCTGCGTGTCCTTGGGTAAGTTACTTCTCTGCTCTGAGCTCTGATTTCCCCACCTGCCAAACTGGGGTAGTGGTAGAATTGAGAATCTTTTGTAAGCTGTAATTTGTTAGATGAATGGAAGGTTTTGACCAAGGGGATTTTACATGTAAAGCAGACTGAGGCAGAGAATTTTTAGTTCATAGCAGGTGCCCCTGTTCCCTAAAAGAAGGCAAAGAAAA
Organism: Homo sapiens; assembly: GCF_000001405.40. Lineage (NCBI taxonomy): Eukaryota > Metazoa > Chordata > Mammalia > Primates > Hominidae > Homo > Homo sapiens. The sequence continues at coordinate 173,824,529 of NC_000005.10, read as the reverse complement.
ATAATGCCAGGCAGCTACCCCGCAGAGCCTGGAACCTCCTTCCTGTTTTAACAACCTCCCTGTAAACAGTCCAGGGGGTGATAAAGTCTCCTTCACTGAAATTCTGTGGTAAATTGCATTCCAGGCAGACTCACCAATCATTAGCCATGCGATCTTGTTTATCCTGCCCCAGCCTGGAATTTGGCCTCTTACAAAATCCCAGCTACAAAAGGAAAACAGGTTGGACCAAAACTGCTTAGTGAGTAAAGGAAGGCTTCCAAGAGGAAGGCTGGGGGATGTTTACTAAACAGATGCCAGGCCCAGGCCCACGCACCAGACCCTGGCCTGAAAGTTCCAGCTGACCTTCCTGTTGACATTGATTTGAAAGTTTGTGGTATGATCTGGCCCCCAGAGAGGATAGCTCCCAAACTTGGGTAATTGACTAGGCTCTGCCAAAAGTCAGGTCTCCGCTGCCAGTCATGGCCACATTGCCTTCCATTTGCCCAATGGAGGGATTAACATTTGTCGGGTACCTTGTATGGGGTGGGGATTGTGCAGTTCTCATCATTTCCCTCAGAAGTTTTGACAGAAGCATAACTTGAGTCTCTTCTGATCTATTGAGTCATTTGCCCAAGGTCATAGGGCCGGGAGGGTGAAATAGACAGGGGTGGCTGCTGTTTGTGTCGGCCGACACATTTCCTCCCCTCTCCACTTCTTAGGATAGCAGACCAAGATAGCCTGTCCACAGAGGCTGGGTGCAAGACCCAGGCTGATCCAATCCTAAGACCATATCCTCCTGGCAAAATCAGAGAGGAGCGTGCGACCAAGATGGGCCATTCAGATGCTGTTTCAAACATTTAACGTATGTAACTACATTTATGCCTCACGCAATGGACTGAATATTTCTGTCTCCCCAGATTTGTATGTTAAAATCCTAACCTCCAATGTGGTGATATTTGGAGATGGGTCCTTTGGGAGACAACTGAGTCATGAGAGTGGATCCCTCATGGAAGAGATTAGTGCCCTTATAAGAGGGACTCCAGAGAGCTCTCTTTCCTCTTTCCACCCTGCAATGACACAATAACAATCTGCAGCCTGCAGCAGGGCCCTGGAGCCAAACCATGCTGGCACCCTGACCTCAGGCTCCCAACCTCCAGAACTGTGAGAAATAAAGTTCTCTGGTTTATGGTACCTATTAGGTTGGTACAAAAGTAATTGCAGTTTTTGCCATTAGTTGTTTTTTTTGTTTGTTTGTGTGTTTGGTTTGTTTTGTTTTTCTTTTTTTTTTTTTTTTGTGAGATGGAGTCTCGCTCTGTCACCCAGGCTGGAGTGCAGTGGCATGATCTCGGCTCACTGCAAGCTCCGCCTCCTGGGTTCATGCCATTCTCCTGCCTCAGCCTCCCGAGTAGCTGGGACCACAGGCACCTGCCACCACGCCTGGCTAATTTTTCGTATTTTTAGTAGAGACGGGGTTTCACCGTGTTAGCCAGGATGGTCTCGATCTCCTGACCTCATGATCCGCCCACCTCGGCCTCCCAGAGTGCTGGGATTACAGGCGTGAGCCACTGCACCCTGCTTGCCATTAGTTTCAATCACAAGAACTGTAATTACTTTTGCATCAACCGTATAGTTATTGCAGCCCAAACTAAGATACCTCTTAGCAACCCAATGATATAGATCCTTACTGTACAGACAAACAGAGTTGTTATGTAACTTACTGGAGCTCACACAGCTAGTTAGTGGGAAGGCTAAGATTCAAACTCCAGAGCCCACACTCTTAGCCACTAGGCTAGCCTGAGCCTAGTGACTGTCCTCTTTCTGTTCCACCACAAAGCTTCTTGTGGCTTTGTTTTTCGTGAGAACGTCTAGTCCCTCCCCAACTCTGCTTTGAGGTGTTATTTAAACAATGTAATCGGGCCAATCTGCTTCTCATAATGCCTGACTCATTCTCTGTCTTCTACAGTGTCAAGTCCAAGTAGCATGTCTACTGTTGGGTCTGTGCTGCCTCCCCTCAATGGCTCACCCACACCCCCACACACATACACACCCACACACACACACCTGCTGACAGATCAGGCCACTGATGATTTCTGGAAAATGTCAGCTTCCTAGGGTGGCATCGTCCATACATATAATGCAAGTCACGTATGTAATTTTACATTTTCTAGCAGCTACATTAAAAAAGTAAAAAGAGGCCAGGCGCACCTGTAATCCTAGCACTTTGGGAGGCTGCGGCAGGCGGATCACGAGGTCAGGAGTTCGAGACCAGCCTGACCAACATGGTGAAACCTCATCTCTACTAAAAATACAAAAATTATCTGGGCATGGTGGCACGCGCCTGTAATCTCAGCTACTCAGGAGGATGAGGCAAGAGGATTGCTTGAACCCGGGAGGCGGAGGTTGCAGTGAGCCGAGATCACACTATTGCACTCCAGCCTGAGCAACAGAGCAAGACTCCATCTCAAAAAAAAAAAAAAAAGTAAAAAGAAACTGGTAAAATCCCTTTAGTAGCATATTAAATATATGTAAAATATTGACATTTCAACATGTAATCAACAGAAAACAAATTAGGAGTGAGTTTCTTGTTTTTGTTCTAAATTTTAGCAATCTGGCATATATCTTAAACTTATGGGCCATCTCAAATTGGAGTAGCTGCATGTTCCTAGTGGCTGCAGTACTGGACTGTGCAATTCACCAAATTTTTTAGGTCAGAGTACATCTAGGAAATGACCATACTTGTATGGTGTCCCAGGGTAAATAGTCGAGCCTGTTAGGGGCCAGAGGCAACAGGCCAGATGCCCCAAGTTCCCATCGCCCCACTTTCTTCACTGTTCCAAAAGAAACCCCCCTTAAGGGCTGGACATTCAGAGGCTTTATGCATATTAGGAAAAGGCATCCTGTCTGGGGATTTCAGTCCCACTACTCTTGAAGCTGAAGCTGGATGCCCTCGTTTTGTGCACAGCATGTACAACTACCTTCAGGCGTCTGCTGAGGGATGAGGGATCCATTTCTGGGCGCACATGTATCTAGCCATGGTAGCACAGGCCGGGAAGCTCTGTGCTGGAAATTCTGAGTTTGTGTGTGTGTGTGTGTGTGTGTGTGTGTGTGTGTGTGTGTTACCTTTCTTCCTTCTCTTTACTCTCCTTTTCTGCCTTCTGTCGAGCACAGCCTGCCTGTGACCTCACAGCAATAAGTTAGGCCAGTGGTTTTCAAAGTGCAGTTCCCAGAATAGTAACAGCAGCATCACCTGGTTCCTGTTAGAAATGCAAATTCTCAGGCCCCACCCTAGACCTACTGAATCAGAAACTCTGGGGGTGGGGCCCAGAGCTCTGTGTTTGACGAGCCCTCCCTGTGATCCTGATGCTGTCTACACAGAATAGAAATACTGTGATAATAACACCACCACCACCTGCCTTTCACTGAGTGCTTTCTGTGAACACTTACTAAATGACTATGACCCTCATAGCCAGTCTGATGAGGGTGCCATAACTTGCCCCATGTTACAGAAGGGAAACTGAGGTGTGGAGGCCAGTGGTTCGAACAGACCCCACAGCTGGTGTATGACAGTGCAGACACAGGATTTGAATTGAGTTATCTTTACTGGAGCACCCATGGTTGCAACTGTTTGGCTATGCAGCTTCTTTTTCTACTTCAGCCCAACTGATGGCTTGAAGTCTTTGGCTTGGAAATATTCTGTCCTAATCTCTCATTCGTTCATTCATTTATTCTGGATTGAGCTCCTAATCTGTGCCAGGTCCCATATTAGGCACTGGAGCTGCAAAGATAACTAGGACTTGGTCGTTACTCATAAGAAGCTTATAGAATAGTTAATTTGGGTCTTGGGAAGGCAAAACAAACCAAGAACAGTCCGGATTAAGATGAATTGGGGTCAATTGAATAATTGGAAATTTGGCAGTCATAGTGGTAATTTCTTAGTGGGAAACACATGTGCTTGGATTTTTCGGGATAGTATTGGTTATGACTCAACCCCTCCCCTTTCTCATGTAACCATTTCTTCCTCATTGATTGCTCTGGAAGCAGAAATTTTATTTTATTGCTTTAGATAATAACTTGGCCTCACTTTATTTGTCAGCTGAGTTCTAATGGTGCAAAGTGGAATGATTTTCCTGGACCCACTTTTTAGGGGTATGGATGTTGTGACACTTTGGGAAACTGGAAGTGATTCTATATGACAGTTTTGTAGGTCAGAATATACATGCAACCTGGAAGTCCACTGGGACTTCTCTGCTCCTTGGAGATAGATAAACATTATATCTGTTAGAAATGCCTTTGGATGCAAGTAACTAAAAACAAGGCCCAGTAGTTTATTCTTATTTATAACAAAAAGTCCAGAATGAACAGACGATAGCCTTGGTTCAGCAGCTTGTTAATGCCGGGGCCAGTAACTCTGATTCCCTTGGCCTCTCCCCTCATGCTTGTCTCTCAGAATCACAAGATGCCCTCATAGAACCAGACATCACATCTGTGTTCAAGGCAGGATGAAGCTGTGGGGAAAGTGTTGTTATAGACAGGTTTTCTTTCTTTCTTTTATTTTTGCTGGGTGCTATAGTTTGAATGTGTCTTCCAAATTTCATGTGCTGGAAACTTAATCCCTAAATTCATATGTTGATTAGAGACGGGGCTTTTGGGAGGAAACTAGGACTAGATAAGGTCATTAGGGTGGGGCCCCCATGATGGGACTGGTGGCTTTATAAGAAGAGGAAGAGAGACCTGAACATACACGCAGTCTCTTGCCCTCTCTCCATGTGATGCCTCCTGCCACATTTTGACTCAGAACAAGGCCCTCCCCAGGGCCCATGCCATGCTCTTGGACTTCCCATCCTCCAGAACTGTGAGCTACATACATTTCTTTTCTTTATAATTTACTCAGTATGTGGTATTCTGTTATAGCAAGAGAAAATGAACTAAGACACCACGTAAGCAAAGCTTTCCCAAAGCCCCCACAATAGGCTTCCTCTTAAGTCCTATTGGTCAAAACTGTGTCATGTGGCCTTAAGGGATGCTGGAAGAATATTTGTCACAATTGGCTCAGACTCATAGTGATTTATCACTGCAGCTGGGCATGGTTCTGTGAGCAAGAAAAAGGGGAGAATGGACAATCTGTAGGAGACTAAGAGTGTGTACTACAATCACCATCTCCACTATGGTTGTCTTCTTTTTGCCATGCTAGCAAACAATGCTTTTGCCATGTGCTGGCCGCGATAATAATTGTTTTGTAGGTGTTTCCTCATCTAATTCTCAGAACAATCGTAGAGATTGTTCTTAGAGATAAAGGAGGGAGATTAAGAAAGGCCACGTGATCTGCCCAATATCACTCAGCTACTAAGTGGAAAAACTGGGATTTGGATCCAGGCTGTATGTTGCCAGAGCCCACATTTTATTATTATTGTTTTTTTGAAATGGAGTCTTGCTCTGTTGCCAGGCTGGAGTGCACTGGTGCAATTTCGGCTCACTGCAAACTCCGCCTCCCGGGTTCAAGAGATTCTCCTGCCTCAGCCTCTCGAGTAGCTGGGACTACAGGCGCATGCCACCACACCCGGCTAATTTTTGTATTTTTAGTAGAGAAGGGGTTTCACCTTGTTGCCCAGGATGGTCTTGATCTCCTGACCTTGTAATCCACCCACCTTGGCTTCCCAAAGTGCTGGGATTACAGGCGTGAGCCACCGTGCCCAGCCCAGAGCCCACATTACTTACTGCTTCAAGAGACTGTCCCCAGAGAGATGGGCATCTCTGGGCTGGAGCAACCCAGGGTTACAGGCTTGAAAGCCACAGCCCCTTTCCATCCTTTTTTGTGATTTCTCCAGGGCCATGTCCTCAAGGTCCCCAGTGTCTCCGGCTTTTCCATGCTGATCTGATGCCTATTTTAGATCCATGTGGGCTGGAAACTGAGGCTTCATTATTAGTTTTTACAAGTTATCAACTGACAACAAGCAGTTGGTTGGCTGAGTAGCTTTTACTGAACATTTGGAGGGACCAAGAAAGGAGGATCACCTCAGAGTACACAGCCTTCCGCCATCTTGCTGACTCATATTGTCTTTTCCCTTCCAATCTCTGTTACTTCCTCCCTCCTTTCCAGAATTCCTCAGGAATTACAAATTCTTTTCCTTCTGTGATGCCGAGTATTTGGGCATCTTCTCCCAAATGTGCGTAGCAGGAAGTAGCGGTTGGCGTCAGCATGGATGGGAGCTTATAAGACCAGGAGTCCTCTGTATTATTCCTGGTGTCCATTCTGCTGTGGACTTCCTGTCCTAGTCTGAGGGTGACTGGTCTCAACTGGCCTTTGGGACATCATGTGGTCACCCATCACTGAAATCCATGGTCCCAATCATTGGCTTCTGGTTCTAAAGTCTACTCACCATCAGCCCTCCTCAGTGTCTGAATGTCCCTCATGGGGAGCCTGGGAACTTGCAGAAAACTTGCATACTGTCTGCTGCCTAAGGCTCATTTATCCAGCAGTTTCCTTCTGAAAAGGCTGTATGTTGTCCCTGCACCTGCTGGACATGGCCTTGTCCACACTCCCTTTCAGCCATGCAGCCTGCTTTCCAGGTCCAGGGGAACTGCCACAAGCTGCCCACCTCCCCCACCCCGTCCCATGTTCTCAGAATCCTCTTCCCACCTGGATGTTTCCACCATACCTCCTCCAGGCTCCTCCCTGATCTAGGAAAAACAGCTTCACATATGGCTGGTCTCTTCATCCCCCACCACCATCTTCTCTGCAGAACAGTCTCAGGGGAGCAGAAGGACCACAGCTGCCCTTCCTCCCCTCTTCTCAGCCCAACACTTCCTCTAAGTGGAACGCTCTTCTCTACCCTAAGGTGGCCTTCATCCTGCCCGCTTCCCTGAGTCCTTGACAGACAGGCTGCAGGTGAATAACAACAGCAACAAACCCAACAAGTTGCCAATCAATGATGGGAGATCCGCAAATGTGATTCTTGTTTTAGTTCGTTTTCCAAACCCTTCAAAGTGCTCAGCAGAATAAAGGGTCCCTATTTAACAGTCGCCACCCTTCTGAAAAGCCAGTAAGGGTTAGAAAAGACAATTTTTTTTCCCTGTTACGTGCATTCAGTGGTGATGATTCTGGTGTTAATTATTGATTTAGTCAGTCATGGAAGAGAGGTAAAATACAAGCAAAGCAATTAAGAAATGCAACTAGTGTCAGCATGTAGGTCTCCTCTTCCTGCATCTTAGTGAGACAAACCCCTCCCAAATCCACTACCTGCAGTCACAATTTCCTGCACTCTCTTGCCCTTATATCCATCCAAGAAATTCATTTTATTCAGTTTTCCCTGCCAAACAACTCATCAAGGAAATGGAAATTAAAACAACATTGAAGTACCAGTTTTACCTGTTCTGACAAAATACATAAAATTATGGTAATATCCAGTGTGTGAACCCTTTGACAACAACTCGGCAGTGAGCTGTGGGAGCTATTAAAAAATGTTCATACCCTTTGACCTAGAATTTATCTTGCAGAAATAATCCCTGAAAGAAAAAACTGTCACATGCATGTTCATTGTAGCAATATCTGTAATAGCTCTAAATTGGTAACCTCAAAATCAAATGACAGGGAAAAGGTGAAGGAAAATACAGTACTTCGAAGCAGTGTGATATTATGCAGTCATTAAAAATGACGGGAAGATTATGTAGCAACATCAGAAGTGCTTGTAATTTGATGTTCAGTGTGAAAAAGCAGAATACCAAATTGTGTCTCTGCAAGTTCTCCCAACCGCTCACAGCCTGTGTTAACCAAATCCTGACCCGTTTGCTCTTTCCTTTCTATCTTCCTGGCCCAACTCAGTTCAGGCCCCATCGCTGCCAGCACACATGTGATGGGAGTCCTTCGTATACCACACACTCACTGTCCGCTTATGTCCCCACCTCTGGCCCTAGATGATGCATTTTTGGAGGACAGGCACTCTGTCTTATCCTCTGCTCTCTGACACATGATAAAGACTTGCTAAACGTTTGTTGAATTACAGGATCAATGGAAATAATTTTGGCTACTGTTTATTAAGCACCTACTATGCAGCGGGCACTGTCTTTGGCATTTTCCATATATTATGCCACATTATTTTATTCTGAAATAATCCTATGAAGTAGATACTATTATTACAGCCCTTGTACAAATGAAAACTGAAGTTCAGAGACATTTGTATAACCTAGGCCATGCATTTGTTAAGGTAGAGGGACAAGATTTGAATCCGAGTCTGTCTGACTTCAGAGCCAGTGATCTGCTCATTTCAAGATATATAAATGTGTGAGTATGTGTGTGTGTGTGTGTATCTGCCTATGATGATACAAACAGGAGGAAAACATGGAAAAATAAAAAAGGATGATTTATTTGGCTGGTGAGGAGTGAGATGGTGGGTGGGTGAGTTTTTTCCTGTTTTGTATTGCTTGAAATGTTAAGGTGTGTTGAAAAGAAAGGGATCCACTGAAGTTCCAAGTCCTTCTGAGGTTGTCTCCGGTAGACTGAACATCTTAAAGGGAGGCAAACCATGTTGGTCAGCTAACTCCCTTTCTGTCTCCTTTTCAGGGCCCAGGGGACATTCTGTTCCAGAGACACAATCATATGCAAGACCTGGGCCTGGGGAGCAGAAAGTATCTGCTGCAGCGTAGCTTGCTGCGGAGCCAGCCTGGCCCACCTGGCCCGTGGCACAGGGGCAATTATTTTCTCCCCACTCCTGCCATTCTGCTCTCACTGCCTTTAGGGGAAGTTGCACAGTTGTTGTTCCAGGTCCCACCTCACTGCCGGGGTGTGTGTGCCGGGTTGAGGCAGGGATGCGTGCAGGAGTGGACGGAAGCATAAACCATGGCCACCATAGCAGTGGAAATCCTAACATTTAGAAGGCAGATATTATCTCTAAATGAATTGAGACCAAATTCAAAGGAGATATTCATCACACTGGTTTAAGCTTGTGTCACATTCCTGTATCACTCTGGCTGTGCGTTACGAATTAATACTTTCAATAAATCCTGTAATTATCTTGTGAATAGTGCATAATTATGGTGCTTTGTATTTTTTTCAGTGTTGAAAGCATACATTTGGTAAATGGAAATATTTAAAATATAGCTCAATTTTTCTAAATTTTGTTTCAGCATGTCTTCATTTGAAATATATATACTCAAATAAACTACAAAAAAATTGAAGTGGCCCAGGTCCCTTTCACTCTCTGAGAAATCCAGGCCCCTGATGTCCGAACATGTGTGGGACAGAGGCAAGCTCTTCTGTCTCACTGCATTTTGGAGTATTCAATGTGCTTGGAGAAAGAACCTATTATTTATATTAAAAACAAACTAAATGGGGAAAAATCAGGAAATAAGATGAAAAGAGCAAAATCTGTATTTTAAAAAGGGCACCGGGGAACTTGCATTTTAAAATGAAAATTACACGCATTCATTTATACCTGCTTCTTCCTCAAACCGCACTAAAATGACAATGATAATGGAAAAAGAAAGGTTTAAGTTTACAAAGACAAGGACAATAGGAGATTAGGCAGGTCAATTACTCTTTTACTAAAAAAATTTTAGTGTGTGCGTGTGTGTGTGTGTGTGTGTGTGTGTGTGTGTGTGGTGGAGGAGTGGGCTTAAATAACATTTATTTCTTGCAGCTCTGGAAGCCAGAGGCCCAAGATCAAGATGTAGGCAGGGTTGGTTCGTTTTGAGGCCTCTCTCCTTGGTTTGCAGATGGCCACCTTCTCGCTGTCCCCTCTTATGGCCTGTCCTCTGTGTGTGAGCATTCCTGGTGCTTCTCTGTGTCTAAATTTCCTCTTCTTATAAGAACACCAGTCAAAGTGGATTAGGGCCTACCCTAACAACCTCATTTTAACTTAATTACCTCTGTAAAGGCTCTATTTCCAAATATAGTCACATTCTGAGGTAGTAGGGTTTGAGGTTTCAATATATGAATTTGGCAAGGGGTGTGGGATACACAAAATTTAGCCCCCAACACAAGCCTACCCTGAACCAGTGACGGCAGAATGTGCTGATTGACATACACAGTCCCGCTCTGAAGCTAAGGGCGGGTGAGAGCCCTCCAATAACATAGAAATAAATGTTATTTAAGGCACACACACACACACACACACACACACACACACACACAGGTTGTGTGGGGTGGAGAGAACACTGGGTCCTACTGGGATGGAGGAAGGGAGAAATGGGACACTGGAGAGTCATCCAACAATGGCTGAAATAACTATTGCAGACTCAAAGCTGACCCAGGGAACCCATAGCAGTTCTCTAAAAGCAGCAGAAACAAGGTACAAAATGAGTCTTCTACCTAGGAATGCAGGTGAAGGAGCTGTGGGGGATAATGAAAAGGGTGGGGCTTCCATCAAATGAAGAAAGGTTTACCTGGCAGAAAAATTTCTCTCCTCTACTTACTGTCTCTTCCAAGTTGAATCTTCTTCCTTTTTTTTCCTGTTAAATTTTTTTTTCTCCTGTTTAAACTGTTATTTTTAGCTTGAGGGTACATGTGCAGGTTTGTTGCATGGGTATATTGCATGATGCTGAGGTTTGGGATACGAATTGTCTCATTAGCCAAGTTGTAAGCATAGGACCCAACAGTTAATTTTTCAGCCTTCGACCCCTCCCTCCTTGCACTATCAAGTAGTCCCCACTGTCTATTGTTCTCATCTTTATCCCCATGAATACCTAACGTTTAGCTCCCACTTATAAGTGAAAACATGCGGTATTTGGTTTTCTGTTTCTGTGTTAATTCCCTTAGGATAATGGCTCCAGCTGCACCCATGTTGCTGCAAAGGACATGATTTCATTCTTTTTATGGCTGTGTAGTACCCCACGGTGTATATGTGCCACATTTTCTTTATCCAGTCCACTGTTGATGGACAGTAGGGTTGATTTTATGTTTTTGCTATTGTGAGAAGTGCTGTGATGAACATGTGAGTGAATGTGTCTTTTTGATAGAATGATTTGTTTCCTTTGGATATATACCCAGTAATGGGATTGCTGGGTCAAATGGTAGTTCTAAGTTCTTTGAGAAATCTCTAAATTGCTTTCCACAATGGCTAAGCTAATTTACATTCCCACCAACAATGTGTAAGCATTCCCTTTTTCCACAGCCTCACCAACATCTGTTGTTTTTTGACTTTTTATTAATAGCCATTCTGACTGGTGTGAGTATCTCATTGTGGTTTAGATTTGCATTTCTCTGATGATTAGTGATGTAGAATATTTTTTTCTGTTTATTGGCCACTTGTATGTCTTCTTTTGAGAAGTGTCTGGTTATGTCTTTTGCCCATTTTTAATGAGGTTGTTTGGTTTTTTTCCTGTTAAATGGTTCAAGTTCCTTGTAGATTCTGGATATCAGCCCTTTGTCAGATGCAAAGTTTGTAAATATTTTCTTCTACTCTGTAGGTTGTCTGTTTCTTCTGTGGATAGCTTCTTTTGCTGTGCAGAAGCTCTTTAGTTTAATTAGGTCCCACTTGTCAAATTGTTGTTTTTGTTGCAATTGCTTTTGAGGACTTAGTCATAAATTATTTCCCAAGACCAATGCCTAGAATGGTATTTCCTGGGTTTTTCCCTAGGATTCTTGTAGTTTGAGGTCTTACATTTAAATCTTTAACCCATCTTGAGTTAATTTTTGTATATAGTGAAAGGTAGTGCTCCAGTTTTATTCTTCTGCATATGGCTAGCCAGCTGTCCCAGCACCATTTATTGAGTAGGAAGTCCTTTTCCCATTGCTTATTTTTGTCAACTTATTCAAGGATCAGATGGCTGTAAGTGTGAGGCTTCTTTTCTAGGTTCTCTATTCTGTTCCATGTGGTCTATGTGTCTGTTTTTGTACCAGTACCATGCTGTTTTGGTTACTGTAGCCTTATAGTATAGTTTGAAGTAGGGTAACGTGATGCCTCTGGCTTTGGTCTTTTTGCTTACGTAGCTCTGTCTATTCAGGTTCTCTTTTGGTTCCGTTTGAATTTTAAAATAATTTTTTCCAATTCTGTGAAAAATGACATTGGTAGTTCAATAAAGATAGCGTTGAATCTGTAGATTGCTTTGGACAGTATGGGCCATTTTAACAATATTGATTCTTTCAATCCACGAGCATGGCTGTTTTTTTTTAATTTGTTTGTGTCATCTATGATTTCTTTCAGCAGTGTTTTGTAGTTCTCCTTGCAGACCTTTCACCTTTTTGGTAAGGTGTATTCTTAGGTATTTTATTTTTTGTATGTGGCTATTTTAAATTAGATTGTGTTCTTGATTTGGCTCTCAGCTTGAACATTATTGGTGTATAGAAATACTACAAATTTTTGTACATTGATTTTAACCTGAAACTTTACTGAAGCCATCAATTAATTTTTAGAAAAATGAAAGCAGATGGGTGAATACTAATTCCTTTGGCAACTGGAGAAAGCACATAAGAGAGAAAGCAGAGGACCCTGAAACATCTCAGGAATTAGAGATATCAGGTGGCTCTGTGGTAGGGTGAGGAGTAGAACTGAAAACAGTAAGAGTCATTAAAGCAAAAGATAGCACCATCAATGTATTACTCCATCCTCACATTGCCATAAAGAAATACCTGAGACTGGGTAATTTATAAAGGAAAGAGGTCGAATTGGCTCATGGTTCTGCAGGCTGTATAGGAAGCATGGTAGCAACTGCTTGGCTTCTGGGGAGGCCTCAGGAAACTTAAAATCATGGCAGAAGGCAAATGGGGAGCCAGCACTTCATGTGGCCGGAGCAGGAGGAAGAAAGAGAAGCCAGGGAGGTGCTACACACTTTTGAAACAACTAGATTTTATGATAACTCACTCATTCACTATCACGAGAATGGCACTGAAAGGATGATGCTAAACCATTCATGAGGACTCCGCCCCCATGATCCAATCACCTCCCACCAGGCCCCACCTCCCATATTGGGGATTACAGTTGGACATGAGATTTGGATGGGTACACAGTTCCAGACCATATCATTCACTATCACTACTAGTGTCATCAACAGCACCACCACAACCAACACCACCTCCACCACCACTGTCACCACTACCACTTCCAACACCATCACCAACCACTATCACCACCTTCACCATCACCACCACCACCACCATCACCACCACCACCACCATGACCATCATCACCTCCATCACTATCACCACTGCCACCACTACCATCACCATCACCACCTCCACCACCATTACCACCACCACCATCATCACAATGACTATTGCCACCTCCATCACTATCACCACTGCCACTGCCACCATCACCATCACCACCTCCATCACTATCACCACTGCCACCACTACCATCACCATCACCACTGCCACCACTACCATCACCATCACCACCTCCACCACCATTACCACAACAACCACCACCACAATGACCATTGTCACCTCCATCACTATCACCACTGCCACTGCCACCATCACCACCACCACCTCCTCCACCATCACCACCACCATCTCCACCACCATAACCACCACCACCACCATCACCATCACCACCTCCACCACCATTACCACCACAATGATCACCACCATGACCATCGCCACCTCCATCACTATCACCACTGCCACCACCATCACCATCTTCACCACCATTACCATCACCACCACAACCACCACCATGACCATCGCCACCTCCATCACTATCACCATTGCCACTACCACCATCACCATCACCACCTCCACCACCGTTACCACCACCACCACCATGACCATCGCCACCTCCACCACCATTACCACCACCACCACCATGACCATTGCCACCTCCATCACTATCACCACTGCCACTGCCACCGTCACCATCACCACCTCCACCACCTTTACTACCACCACCACAACCACCGCCATGACCATCATCACCTCCATCACTATCACCACTGCCACCACCACCATCACCATCTGTTGATAGTGCCTCCACCACCATTACCACCACAACTATCACCACCATCATTACCACCACCATCATCACTTCTACACTGCTACTACCAGCATCACCACACCATCACCATCATCACCCTCACTTCTTCCCCAAATAGTGAATCCAAGAAAATGTTCCTCCTCTATCATAATAAAATACTGGATGCTTTTATTTGGTGGACGATAAACCAGAAAAGACACGGGGCTTCACTCAGGACAGGGGCAAAAGTCTATTTTAGAGGGGTATTAAATGAAAGTTTCATATTGAATAGTGAGACCCACACTGGCTCCCAGAGTAATAGTTCCCAAGCAGCAGACTGGAGAAGCGCTTTCTAGGGAAGTTGACCAACCTAAGAGCAAAATCACTAACTTTTCATCCAATAGTAAAGCTCATCAGTCAACAAGATTATTCATGAGCTTCTAAACAGCTTTTTGGCTCTTAGATACGAACATCAGCCACAGTCACTGGGCAATCAAACAAAGCCTCTGGAACAAAACAGAGAAAAAGGAGCCCAAAGGTGATAGAGACATTACTGGGAGCAGAAGAAAACTGTGAACAATGGCTAAGAAGAACAATAACAGTATTAAGCTCAGAAAGAGTGGATATTACAGAGGCCAGGCATGGTGGCTCACGCCTGTAATCCCAGCACTTTGGGAGGCCAGGGCAGACGGATCACTTGAGGTCAGAGTTTGAGACAGCCTGGCCAACATGGTGAAACCCTGTCTCTACTAAAAATACAAAAAAATTAACCGGGCGTGATGGCTCATGCCTGTAATCCCAGCTACTCAGGAGGCTGAGGCACGAGAATCGCTTGAACCTGGGAAGTGGAGGTTACAGTGAGCCAAGATCGTGCCACTGCACTCCAGCCTGGGTGACAGAGTGAGACTCCCTCTCAAAAAAAAAAAAAAAAAAAAAAAAAAAAGAAAGAAGAAAGAAAGGAAGGAAGGAAGGAAGGAAGAAAAAATTACATCCCTAAGATTAGACTAAGAGGCTATAAAAATGAAAGGTCAGAGAATAAGAAAGAGCTCTTGTGAAAAGAAAGAATAAAACAGAGAAATTCTAAAGTGCTTTGACCCTTCCAGAATCTAGGGAGGGTAACACATTGGAAAATTAAGCAACCAGATTGGAGAGCAGAGAACCTCATTCCCATCAATATGTGGCAAAGAGATACATTTGAAAACCAGTGGGTTTAGCTATCAGATTTGGTCCTGGCATTTGTTGATACTTAATCTCCAAAACAGTCCTGCTAGATATAGATTAATATCTTCATTTTATACACAGACTCTCAAAAAGGTATGTATTAGATTGAACCACATGAAATAGTTTTGTACGTCAGAGATGGTTGAGTGCCTGCAATTTCAATGATTCAACCTAATATACGGCTCAAGGTCACACTGCAACTTTTTTGGCCAAAGATATGAAATGTTAAAAGATAAGTCATTATCATCTGGGGCCTTGAACATGCTGTTTTCATGTGTCATTCTTTTTTTTTTTCTCTTTTTTTTGAGACAGAGTCTCACTCTGTCGCTGAGGCTGGAGTGCAGGGGTGCGATCTCGGCTCACTGCAGCCTTGACATCCCAGGCTCAGGCGATCCTCCCACCTCAGCCTCTGGAGTAGCTGAGAGTACAAGCACATGCCGGTATGCCTGGCTAATTTTTGTAAATTTTTTTTTTTTTGGAGAGAGGGGGTTTTGCCATGTTGCTCAGGCTGGTCTCAAACTCCTGGGCTCAAGCAATTCTCCCACCTCACCCTCCCAAAGTGCTGGCATTACAGGCATGAGCCACCGCGCCCAACCTTCATGTATTATTCTTGAATCTAAAAGGAAAAAAGAATATGTATTTTTGTAGTGATTGCTGGAGCCCTCTTTCCTAGGTTGGCTGTGGTCAGTTTGCAGCACAGTCCTAATGTTAATGGTGAGTGTGTGGGGAGGCGGGGGAGGTTGCGGGGCGGGGATGGGTGTGGGTGTATGTTTTCAGTGAAGAAATCAAATTATTGTGTCACCCAAAGTTGCAAGGAGCCTGAGCATACATATTGGTGAGAGTGTGGGTTGGAAACAGGAATCTCGTTGCTGGATCTTTCTGCCAGGCTGACTGTGTAAGTAGGTGTAGTGCTTCACAGAAAAGCAGAACTCCTTAGGTTCCAGGCGCCAAGGAACTTCATTTCTCCTTATGACTGTCCTCACAAACCGCCAGCTGGACTCGGACTCCCTGACCCCTGGGACAAAAACCTTTGAGGGGTAGAAACTCAGCCACAATTTCTCTGATCATTCATCTTAAACAATAAGTCCTCTAGGGAGGCCAGCGAGGCTATGGAGGGAGCCTTGTGTGGTGCAGCAAGTGGGGCCAGGGGACAACTGATGGTTTAGCATTTGCAGATGAGTTCCCTATGAGCATGTGTAGTCCAAGTACACACTCCACATGCAGAAACACGCAAATGTGCATGCATGCACCATGCCCTTATGTAGAGATCATGTGTACAACTGCAGAGATCATTTCCACACACCATGCACACAGGTGCATATCTATGCATTTACATCCCAGCCTCATATTCTCTCCACAGGCACAAAGACTCATACACCAGCACCTTCTTCCAATATATCACACCTACCAAGCACATACTTGCATATGTAGTACATTGATATAGCAATATACCCACAGAAAACATTTCTGTGGTAATTTTGCAAAGATCCCAAGAAGCTGAAAACAAACATTAGGTGGCATATTCTCTGTCCATTCTAAAGTGAGGAGCTTGGGCTCTCACCAGCTTGAGAATCCTGGCATAGCCAGGCCATGTGGAGTAGCGGGCACGCTGTGAGGGACAAGAGATTACAGCGAGCTCAGAAGCAGAGCAAGGTATTTATCTTCCCCCTCCCCATTGAGTAGAACTAGAACAAGGATTTGATTTTGCCTTAAATCAAAAAGCCTCTCTTTTGGTTTTGCCTCTTAGCTGAATGCAAGGGGGAAAAGCGGGAGAGATTCCTGCCAAGATTATCGCATTTGTGAATCGAGGTTACTTCCCCCTCATCTTTGCACATGGGCCACATGAGCAGCCCATGTGAGTCTTAAGTAGCTGCCATGTGACCCACTCATTCTCGTGTCTGCGGTGTTACAGGGCAATTAGAACGATCGCATCAAGGTCACTTTGTGTGTATGTGTGCGTGTGCGTGCGCGCATGTGTGTGTATGTGTGTTTGGGCCCTCGGAGAGGACAATCAGGTGTGTGAATGAATGTCACTGGAATATGTCTTGGAGTCCAGTGGTCCATTTCCGTGGCAACGCAAAACGAAAGCCTGGGAATCAGGGAAATGCTGCCAGTTGCTATGGTCAAGGCCTGGCTCACTATAGGGGAGGAAGGAAAATCCCAGCTCAAGTGGGGAGGTTTGCGGAGAGGTTTGTTCTCTGCTTGTAAAGAACATGCTGTTCTTTCTGCTGCGTGTGACCGGCAAATCCAGTGTCTGGGGGACCAGCATTTGCACTTCTACTGACCTTTTCTCAGAGGATCCAGGACCCCACCCCGGTACCCTGGACAAACCCAGCCCTGTTAGTAAAGGTGCTAGCTGAAGGGTCTAGTTGCTGGGCAGGCTCTTCAGGAGATCGCTAAAGAAATGGGGAAAAGATCTACTTCTGCAGTTTGGGCCAATGCCATGCAATTACCCAGTAAATCCACCCAGCACAGTTGATTGTGAGGCAATTGCAACAGCAATGCCCTTTCCTCTAGGAAAGATGCAACACGGAGAGTCTCGGCCATTCATTGACTCTTACAGCTGGAAAACTCACGCAGGTCACAGCCTCTTTGCAGACGTGCACACTGATTCACTGGATACATATTTACTGAAGATCTACCATGTGCTTGGCACTGGGCTCTTGAGAAACATCAGTGCAAGAGTCAGGCAAGGTCCCTGACCCCATAGAGCTGACATTTTAGGGAGTCAATAGACAATGTAAAAGAACAGTCAGTGAGACGTATAGTGTATCAGATGGTGATAGACAAGTATAGCAAGGTAAAGGGTAGAAAAGGAGGTAGATCAGTGGAGGGATATGACTCCTCATAGAGGGGGCACAAAGATCTCTCCAATAATACGGTCTGTGAGTAGAGATCTGCACAAATGGAGGAAGCATACCATGGTTATATCAGCAGGAAGAGGGGCCCTGGAGAGGGAGTGCAAAGGCCCTGGGGCAAGAGCCTGCAAGCATATGCAAACAACTGCAGGAAGGCGGAGAAGCTGGAGCAGGGTGAGCCAATGGGACCATGGTAGCAGTTAAAGTCTCAGATATGACAGTGCCAGAGTATGTGGACTTACAGGCACTGCAAGGACTTTGCTTTCACCCTGAGTGAAAAATGAGGCCATAGGATGTTTTGATGGGAGAAAGGATATGATCTTCAGTTTTTAAAGGATCACTCCGTTTGCTGTGTCAGGAATACATTGTTGAGAAGGGGGTTCAAGATAAATGCAAGGAGATCACTGACAAGTCAATAACAGTAATCCAGGCAAAGGGTTTTGGGCTTGGAATGAGATGATAGCAGTGGAATGAAGTGGGTAGATTCTGAAGGCTGAACAGATGGGATTTACCGATAGCTCAAATGGGGGACATGAGAGAAAGAGAGAAGGTAAGGATGATTCCCAGATTTTTGGTCTAAACAATTGGAAGTGGAGTTGTCGTTTACTGAGATAGGATTCTTTTTAGATGTACTAAATTGGATGTCTTCTATTTGTTTATTAAAATGTTGAGTTAGACATTCAAGTGGAAGCATCAAGGAGAGAGTGGATATATAATGGTCTGGATTTCAGGGGAGAGGTGCAAGGTGGAGAGCTGTATTATGTATGTATCTATGGTATTAATGTATGCATTAATGGGATGTGGAGCCATGAGTCTGGCTGAGGCCTCCTACGGAGTACGTACAGATAGAAAAGGGAAGAGAAGGAATCACTGGGTCCCAAGCACATTAGCATTGACGGGTCAGGAAGCTGAGGAGGACCAGCAAAGGAGATTGAGACGTTGAGGGTGGGGAGGTACAAGGAGAACCAAGAGAGAGTCCTGTCCCTGAAGCCAGGTGAAGAAAAGGTTTCAGGAAGAAAAGAAGGAACAACTGCAACAAAGGCCACCGACAGTCAAGATGGGACTCCTGGATTCAGCACTGGAGAGGCCCAACAATAGCTCCCAACACAAAGCCTCCTTTGAAGAGTGAGTGCTGTTACCTTTTTAAACATTTGTTTCATTCATTTATTTCAACCGATGTTTATTGAGCATTCAGGATAATACAAGCAAAGATATAACATTTGTTAAGTACATACCACGTATCAGGCACTGGATTTTACATTAGTATCGCATGCAAGACTCAGGTTCACCCCAAGAGACTGGTAACGTTGTTCTTTCCATTTACATCAGAGTTCAGGTTGTAACCCAGGCCTCTCTTCTCAAAAGTCCAGATTCTTTTTCTTTTTTAAAATTGTAGTTTAAAAAAAAACACATAACATGAAATTCACCATCATAACCATTTTTGAGTGTACAGCTCAGTGGTGTTAAGTGTACCCGCATTGTTGTGCGACCCACTTCCAGAACTCTTACATCTTGCAAAACTGAGACATATGTATGAAACAACTCTCCACGTCCCCTCGCCCAGCCCTGGCAACCACCATTCTACTTTCTGTCTCTTTGAGTTTGACTACTTATATAAGTGGAATCATACAACATTTGTCTTTTTGTGACTGACTTATCGTAGTACCCTCAATTGTCTTTTTGTGACTGACTTATCATAGTACCCGAGATTGCACTACACTTAGCGTAGTGCCCTCAATTTTCATCCACATTGCAGCACGTTATCAGAATTTTCTTCCTTTTTAAGGCTAAATAATATTCCATCGTATGGATATACCACATGTTGTTTATCGACTCATCTGTCAATAGACACTTGGGTTGCTTCCTCCTTCTGGCTATTGTGAAGAGTGTTGCTATGATCATTTGTGTACAAGTATCTGTTTGAGTCCTTTCTTTCAATTATTTTGGATATACAGTCAATCCTTGGTATCCATAGTTTCTGCATTCGTGGATTCAACCAACTGTGGATGTAAAATATTCAGGAAAAAAGTGTGTCTGTACTGAACATGAGCAGACACTTTTCCTTGTGATTATTCCCTAAACAATATAACAACTATTTATACAGAACTTATATTTATTAGGTATTATAACTAATCTAGAGATGATCTAAAGTATACAGGAGAGGTTGGGCATGGTGGCTCACACCTGTAATCCCAGCACTTTGGGATGCCTAGGCGGGCAGATCACCTGAGGTCAGGAGTTCCAGACCAGCAACATGACAAAACCTCATCTCTACTAAAAATACAAAAAAAAAAAAAAAAAAAAATTAGCTTGGCACGGTAGCATGTTCCTGTAATCCCAGCTACTCGGGAGGCTGAGGAACGAGAATTGCTTGAACCTGGGAGGCGAAGGTTGCAGTGAGCCGACATTGCACCACTGCACTCCAGCCTGGGTCACAGAGCAAGACTCCATCTTAAAAAAAAAAAATAGTAAAAAGAGTATACCGGAGAATGTGCCTAGGTTATAAGCAAATACCAAACCATTTTATATCAGGACTTGAGCATCCTTGAATTTTGGTATCTGAAAGAGAGTCTAGAACCAATATCCTACAGATCAATACCAAGGGATGACTATATACTGAAGTCTGGATTTTATTTATTTATTTATTTTGAGACAGGATCTCACTCTGTCACCCAGGCTGCAGTGCAGTGGTGTGATCTTGGCTAACTGCAGCTTCAACCCCCTGGGGCCCAAGTGATCCTGCCACCTCAGCCTCCCAAGTTGCTGGGACTATAGACACATGCCAACATGCTTGGCTAATATTTAATTTTTTGTGGAGATGGGGTCTCCCTATGTTACCCTGGCTGGTCTCAAACTCCTAGGCTCAAGCAATACTCCCTCCTAGCCCTCCCAAAGTGCTGGGATGACAGGTGTGAGCCACTGCACCTGGCCAAGTCTGGATTCTTAATCTGTCCACTATTAACACAACGATAGCCAAGGGAGGGGTGGTCCCACCTAAATAGAGCACCTCTGGCAGGAAACACAGACACCGAACAGGTAACTCCAGGAATTCTGAGTGCTATCCACAAAAATGAAGGTGTAGAGTCACCACAGACAGGAATGCCTACTGTGTGACTTGAAGGAGAAGAGAATGATGAAGAAGATCCAAACACTGCCCGCAAAATTCTCCCAGAGTATTAAATGGTAGCCAACCTCACTAATCAAAGGGACTTACAAGTTTAGATGGGAAGGTCTTATGATCTTAATGTGCCTGGGGCAGATGGAGTAAATATTTTAGATCTAGAATAGTAAAATAATGATGATGATAATGATGATAACTATCCTTTACTGAGAGTTTATCCTGAGCTGGATACAGTGTTAAAAGCTTAAGACGCATTATCCTGTTGAACCCTTACAATGACCTTGCAATGTAAGAACCGTTATTATCCTCCTTTTACAGATGGAGAAACTGAGACTGAGGGAGGTGAGCTCCTTCATTCAAGGCGTGCCGCTGGCATCAGAGTTGGGGTTGAGCCAGCTCTGCTGACCCTCAGGCCAATGCCCTTGGAAACCACCACCCTGCCCACCCTTGGCCCCTGCCCACAGACCCCTGCGCCAGTGTCTCCCATGGCAAGCTGAGTGAATGAGGCTTAGGTCCAAGGGGCAGCATGGGCCACGCCCCATTCCCCAACAGGGCAGAGCCTTTGCCATGCACAGCCACAGTGGATTTCAACACTCTGATTTCCTCATCTTCCTTTCCCAACGTGTGACCTGCTGATCCAACATGTGACCAGGCAGGGGCAAATGGGCTGAGATATGAGAAGGGGACAGGCCTCACCTCTTTCCTGGACTCCCACACTCACCTCCCCACAGCTCCCGTGGATTCCAGTGTCTTCCCTGGCAATCTCTGCTCCACAGCAGCTCGAGGGAGCTTGTATTTTATTTTATTTTTATTTTTATTTTTTTGAGACAGAGTCTCACTCTCTCTCTCAGGCTGGAGTGCAGTGGCGCGATCTCAGCTCACTGCAAGCTCCGCCTCCCGGGTTCAAGCGATTCTCCTGCCTCAGCCTCCCGAGTAGCTAGGATTACAGGCATGAGCCACCATACCCTGCTAATTTTTTAAATTTTAGTAGAGATGGGGTTTTGCCATGTTGGCCAGCCTGCTCTCGAACTCCTGGCCTCAAGTGATCCGCCTGCCTTGGCCTCCCAAAGTGCTGGGATTACAGGCGTGAGCCACCATGCCTGGCCTGAAGGAGCTTTTAAAAGTGTCAGTTTGATTATGTCACCCCGCAGCTACATTTTTTTGTAATTTGTCTGCTGCTTAGAATAAGAGTCACACTCCCTGCTCTGGCCTCGAGGCCCCACATGCAACTGCCTCCCCCCAACCTAGCTCTCCTGCCTGACCTCTCTCCACTCTGCTCCAATGTCCCTTCCCAATGAGGCCTTCCACAGCCATCTCAGGTGCATTCACTCACTCTCCATCTCCACCCAGTTACTCTCTAGCACATAACCTTTTTTTAAAAAAAGTCATTTTTTTAGCTGGGCACGGTGGCTCATGCCTGTAATCCCAGCACTTTGGGAGGCTGAGGCGGGTGGATCACAAGTTCAGGAGTTCGAGCCCAGCCTGGACAACATGGTGAAACCCCCATCTCTACTAAAAATACAAAATTAGCCAGGCATGGTGGCGGGCACCTGTAGTCCCAGCTACTCGGGAGGCTGAGGCAGAAGAATTGCTTGAACCCAGGAGGCAGAGGTTGCAGTGAGCCGAGATCATGCCACTGCACTCCAGCTTAAGCAACAAAGGGAGAACCCATCTCAAAAAAAAAAAAGTCATTTTTTTGGTGGTAAAGCATACATATATAAAATGTATCTTTTTAGCCACTTTTAAGTATATGCTTCAGTGGCAGTAAGTTCATTCCCATTGTTGTGTGACCATCACCACCATTTGTCTCCAGTCGTTTTATTCATGCCAAAGAGAAACTCTATACTCATTGAACAATAATTCTCCGGCCCCTGGTAACTTCTACTCTACTTTCTATCTCTGTGAATTTGACTACTCTGGGAATCTCATATAAGTGGAATTACACGGTTTGTGTCCTTTTGTCACTGGCTTATTTCCCTTAGCATAGTATCCTCAAAGTCCATGCATGTTGTAGCATGTGTCAGAATTTCCTTTCTTATTAAAGGTGAATGTAGATACCCACATTTTGTGCATCCATTCATCTGCTGATGAACAGGAAGGTTGTTTCCAACTTTGGGCTGTTGTGAATAGTGCTGTACGCAGCTGTGAACAAGTGTCGGGTGTTGCACAAGCTTTTGTATTGTGTCTCTAACACACCACTGCTTGAAATGATTTTGCTCATTGCTTTGTTTGCTGACTTGTTTTCTGTCTCCCTCCGGTCATCTCCTTGGATACAGGAGCCTTGCCTGTTTGGCATTCGATTGTCATCACAGGCCCATAACGGTGTCCTGCTTATGCTAGGTGCTCAACAAATATTTCCTTTTTTTTAATCGAGACAGAATCTCACTCTGTTGCCCAGGCTGGAATGCAGTGGTGCGATCTCGGCTCATTGCAACCTCTGTCTCTTGGGTTCAAGTGATTCTCCTGCCGTAGCCTCCTGAATAGCTGGGACTACAGGTGTGCACCACCATGCCCGGCTAAGTTTTGTATTTTTTGTAGCACTGGCATTTTGCCATGTTGACCAGGCTGGTCTTGAACTCCTGACCTCAGGTGATCCGTCCAGCTCGGCCTCCCAAAGTGCTGGGATTATAGGCATGAGCCACTGCACCCGGCCTCAATAAACATTTTTGAATGAAGGATGAATAACACTGCAGATGGCCCAGCCTGTTGGGCACAGGCCTAATCACCACTTCTAAGTGAGTACGTGTCTGAAACACTAAAATGCTCACAGGCATTCACAGGCAGCATTTTAAAAATTTCATTTATTTGTCAAATTTAATATAACATTTCCAAGAGTAACATGTACCCTGTGGTCCATGGAAACGAAAGGTGTGTGTGCAATCAACAAAACCACAGGGACTGAGAGAGCAAGGTTAAATGTAGGAATCCAAGGAGTATTCCACCGATCCGCCAGAGCGTGTCTGTGCTGCTTAAGTCAGATAAGGCGAAGGTTTGGAATGTCCTGAGACAAGGGAGTGGTATTCGCCTCCCTCATAAAAACTCACCACCATGTTTTGGGCACATGTTCTTTGCCAGTGTCTGATTATCTGGGACTGCTGTGAATAGGAAGATCGTTTCAGGGGAGAAAGCAGCCCCTTAAGCACCAATGAAACAACAGCATCATCATGCCCAAAACTCTTTCCTCAGCATAGCAGTGTCAGAAATAGCAGCCAGGACTCCTGCATTCAGCCTGCTTTGCCACCCTTGGTTGGGACTGGATGGGTGTTGCTTGTCCTTTTTGCTATTCATGGCTTCTTGCTTTTTCTGAGCCAACCAAGGTCCAATCTCCCGTATATCCTTTTCCTCGCATGTGTGTATGTGAAAGTGTGTGAGACAGAGTGCCTGTGTGTATGTATGAGTGTGTGAGTATGTGTGAGACTGTGAAGGGATGTGGGGTGGAAGGGTGTATAGAAGTGTATATATGGGCTGGGCGCGGTGGCTGACGCCTGTAATCCCAGCACTTTGGGAGGCTGAGGTGGGTGGATTATCTGAGGTCGGAAGTACGAGACCAGCCTGACCAACATGGAGAAACCCCGTCTCTACTAAAAATACAAAAAAATTAGCTGGACGTGGTGGCACATGCCTGTAATCCCAGCTACTTGGTGGGCTGAGGCGGGAGAATCGCTTGAACAGGGGAGGCGAGGTTGTGGTGAGCCAAGATCATGCCTTTGCACTCCAGCCTGGGCAAGAAGAGTGAAACTCTGTCTCAAAAATAAATAATTAGTTAATTAATTAATTAATTAAAAAATAAGTGTATATATGTACATGTGTGTGGATGTGTGTGTGTGTGTGTGTGTGTGTTTTAACTGCAGTGACATTGGATAAGTCACTTAAACTCTTTGAGCCTCTTTTTTGTTGTTCATAAAAACAGACAAATGAAAAAAGCTCCTCCCTGCCCGGGGATGTGTGAACTCAGTGGGTAACATCTGTGGGCATTCCACATGGTGCTGGGCACATGGCAAGTGTTAATAAATGATACCTGTCACTTTCAGACTCTCTATCACGCAATCTCCTGACCAAGAATCTAGCTGTCAGTCACCTCTTAAGCTACATAAACTACACTCTGCTTTTATTCAGCTGGGGGTAGAGTGCAAAGAGGGGATATTTGTTGAAGGAATGGAAGAGACAGTTTTCTATGCTGACAGCATATCAGAGTGGCACATTTTCTCACTTCACTTTGTGTTTTATGTCCATTTTCTCACTGGATCCTCACTTCAGCCCTGTGTAGTTGCTTTAGTGATAACCAGTTTACAGATGGGAAGCTTGAGGCTCAGAGAACAACAGATCACACATCCAGCAAGTAGCAGAGCAGGCATTTGACTCCAGACCTGGGCACTTCAAAGCCACCGTTCCCTCTACTCTCCAACACTGAAGGATGGCTCTGGAGTCAGCCAAAATGCCTGCTGGGGAGGTTGTGTGCCAGGCAGGGGACACAGGATAACCAAAGGCCAGGAGAAGAGAGAAATAATATGTATGTGATTCTGGAGCCCAAGGAGAATGTGAGGAGAGAAAGGGTGAGGCTTGAATTTAGGGTGAGGTTGAATTTTGCAGAGCCTTGAAGTCTGCATTGAGACGTTTAGGATTTATTTCAACAGAGAACCTAGACCAGATTTGAGTTTAAGCAAAGTGATTTTGACACATCCAATAAAAATGATCATAGAGCTACCCCCAAGGAAGAATCCTGGAGAAATAGCAGTGGCCTGGGCTGGGGCAGCTCTCGGAGAAGCTGGCTGGGAAAGCCACCACCCGCCAGGATCCTGCTGGAGCCTCATGCTGACCACCCGGCTCTAGGGCCCAGTTGCTCCCTCTCCATCTCTCACTGCTCGGAGCAAATGGATCTTGTGCTGCAGGCAATAACTTCAGGAACCCACTCAAATGTCAGTGGGGGATCTATGTTCCATGGCCACAGGGGCCTTCTGGAAAAGAGAGGTTTCCAGAAGCAGTGGGTACTGTGGCCAGTAGGAACACCCTAGCTGATTGCCATGATGACCAGTGGGGTGTTGCCTTTCCTTTCTGTGCTCCTATACTCCCTCTTCCTTCCTCCAGTACAAACTAGCCCCATGCTACTAGAAGGTACTCAATGACAGGCTGCCTCCTCTGGCTTTGAGTAAAAGCCTGAACTTGAGTTATTATGCTGCAGGGGAGGGAGAGAGCCAAGTGCCTTTGAGTGCAGTGAGACAGAGGGAGACTGACCAGGACTGGGTGGGGGTGGAAACTTCAGTGACCAATGGAAATGGCTGAGTGGCACATTTAATTCAGGGAGGCTAGACCCTGGCACAGCAGTACAATAGATGCCTACCTATAGGGGCCCCCACAGAAGGGATGAGGAGAAGATCAGCAGTAGCCAAGTCTGCAAGGTTGGACTGAAGACTGATTTCAGGTGGGAGCTTCACAGATGGTGCATTGCCCTGAAGAAGAGGGGTCCTGGGCCAGGCGCGGGTGGCTCACGCCTGTAATCCCACCACTTTGGGAGGCTCAGGAGGGGGATCACTTGAGCTCAGGAGTTCATGACCAGCTTGGCCGACATGGCGAAACCCTGTCTCTACTAAAAAATACAAAAATTAGCTGGGTGTGGTGGCACACACCTGTAGTCCCAAGCTACTCCACTTTGGATTTTATGTCCACTTTGTCACTGGATCCTCACAAGAGGCAACAGAATCCCTTGAACCTGGGAGGCAGAGGTTGCAGTGACCTGAGATGGCACCACTGCACCCAGCCTGGGTGGCAGAGTGAGACTCTGTCTCAAAAAAATATAAAATAAGAGAGGTCCCCCCCATCTCATCTCACAACTGAGATCAATTTTTCAGCTACCTCAGCAAGAACGTGGAGTCGGGGTCAGATTTAATTAGACCTCAAGGAAATAAAATAATGTAACATTTCTTATGCAGTCAAGTTTATGGAGTAGGATGCATATCCCAGGATCTTAATTAATAGGACACAGACATCGTCATAACAGTGAGGTCTTTATCAGGGACTATCTGGTTGCTAGAAATGACCTTTTACTAAGAAAAGTTTACATAAATGGGAACTAGCCATCAAGATTCAAAGCAATCTCACAACTGAGGCTGCAGAAAGTGGGCGGGGCTTCCAGAGAGCTAAAGTGTCCTCCCCATGTCTCGCTGGGGCTCCTGGGGTGCTGCCCTGCTTCTCTCCAATCACATGCTCCATCACTGTCTCTGCAGATCCACATTGTCTGTAGGTTTTTTCTTCTTCCTTTTCCAGAAGTTCAGCCCACCTGGGATTTTAATGTACAGGGCTCAGATCTGGTCCAGCCCTCAGCCACCTCTGGGGGAGGCAGGAAAGTCAAGTGATAAAGACCCAGGTCATATTCTGTCTATGGAACTTTGTTACTGCAGGTGCCAGTGGAGTAGCATTGCAGCCAAATTGCAGCAATGCAGACAAACTACATCCACATCCCTCCTTTCCCCACCGATCTATCCCGTGTGTCCATGTTGCTGAGAAGAGGCCCGTGCTGAAAACGTCAACCAACAGATGCTAACGGTAGATATAGGCTCAAAAGATCTCAGGGAATGTCCTTCCCAATATATAAAACCCATGTTCACTTCACGCCTTAAATTCTTTATCTGCTGTGTCAGTTCCAAGAAATGTTTTGTTTCAGAGTTAGTAGAACTTATTTGGAATTTCCTATTGGAATTTCAGTCCATGGTATATAGTATTTACATAAACAAAATAATATAGGTTCCTCTAGAGATACCTTACAATTATTTTTAGTATATACTATATATACTAAAAATGGAAATATTTAGCTTCTGGTATATTTTTAGTATATATAATATGTACTATACTCAACTATACTAAATATGTACATTAATATATACTAAGCTATACTAAAATATTCTAAAAGCTAAATATTTTGATTTTTACTTTAAACTTTTTTCTTGGAGAATTGGGATGCATCGTAACCAGCTACATGCCATAATCTGACAAACATGGTCCTTCATTAAACTTGATTTCCTCATCTATAAAATGGGTATACAAACAGAGCTTACTTTGCAGGGTTGATGTGAGAACGAAATAAAGCTCAGCAAACACTAGTCTTTCTTCTTCTTATAACCTTGCATCGAAGGGCTAACACTATCTAATTGATCCAGAGCCTGGATCTCTTGGTTTAAATTCTCCAAAGGATTCATCTGATTGGCTGTGAAGTGTGTCTCTCCAGGTTCAGGAATATTCCAGAGCCAGGTTGGAGGAGAAGGATCACGTGAAGCAAGCATGAGCGCACAAGCTAACCTTGCGGCTGGTGGGGAGGGTGATTGCTGAGAAGCCAGGATAGGCAGGACTGCCACGGCAGATGCAGAATTGACAATAAGAAGATTCTAGAGTCCTAGAGCTGGAAAGGCAATTGAGACCATCTGGCCCAGTCTCTCCAGTTTTCCATGTTTAGAAACCAAGGCTCTGAGAAACATAGTGACCTACTTGAGTATTGACCTACACAGTGAATCAGAGGCAGGAGCTCTGCTCTTCCCACCCTGCATCCTATCTAAAGGGGCAGGAGGACTGCCAGGCAGGGAGGCCAGCCCATCACTCACCCTCCTACCTCACCATCTCAGAGCTCTGAGTTAGCTGGTGTTGCAGCCTCCTCCTGTCAACACCCTGGAATCCAGGCTGCAGGAAGTGCTCAGTCTCCTGGCCTTCTGCTGCCCAGCCCTGGCCACCTGTACAACCAGGTTCCACCCATTCCTTCCAGCTAAGCAGGTTTGATGGCCACATGCATGCCTCCCTCCATACGTTTGCTCAGGTAGTTCCCTTACCTGGAATGCCCACCTTCCACTCCCCACCCTCCTGAGTTCCACAGACTCTGCTGGAGGCCACACCCTCTGAGAGGTCTTCCCTGACGCATATCCCTACCCTACTCCAACCTAACAATTTCTGTGTCTTTTTCTCTCTCTGCACTGTCAACTGCCACCTGCCCCATCCAGGGGGCACATAGTCACATATTGCCTGCCAATTTTAATTCAATTATAAGTTCTCTGTTGAGGTTCAAAACCTTGTCTCAATCATTGCAACAACAAAGCACCCAGTGCTGTGCTGGGTGCCTGGAAGGTGGTCAGTAAACATTCGTTGAAGGAGTGAGTGAATGGAGTGAGTGAACAAAGTGAGCGATTGAGTAATTGATTGTCAGTTGGGAACTGGACCAGCAGGAGCCTTCCTGCTCCAGGATGTCCCCGGAAGGGTGGTGAGGTCCCTGCTTAGAGCAGTCCCGGCAAGTCGTTCACAGGGGCTGAATGCAAGCTCCGTATCACCTGCTGCTCACCACAGCTCACAACAGCCCCGTTATGAGGACACTGAGGCTCAAAGATGAAAGTGATTTGCCGGGGGCCGCCGGGGCAATGTGCACCTGAATGGGGATCAGGCTGACTCCTTGACTTGGGCTCTGACCACCTACCCCATGCACAGATGCAAATGAGCAGGACACACTCTTGACCTTCAGGAGCACCTGGGGTGGGGGTTGTGGGGCTGGCAGAGTGTGGCTGGAGGCCAGCCCTGAAGAAACCATTGAAACCCAGGGGCCCACACACCCCTGGGAAGGAAGCAAAACCAGGGGCAAGTGACCTCTCTCTCGGCATAGCAAAGTCTCTGGGTTCCCTTTGACCTTCAAAACCTCCCTATAATACAGGCAGGACGAGGGTCATTAAATCTGATTCACAGGATGGCAAAATGAGGGTCAGAGAAGTTGGCGGGTGGCCTTGGGAGCCACTCACAAAGACTAGATGGGGAACCAACTTTCCCAGCCTCCTTCCTAACCACCCTTCTCCCCACTGTCCTGTGGGGGAAACCCTGTGCCAGAGGGTCAGTCAACACTTGGTTCCCAAACACACTCTTCGTTATCCAGCTGCCTGGCCTCTGTTACCCTTGCCTGAATGCCCTTTCCCCACCCCAAACTCCGCTACTGCAGGGCCCAGCCCAGATCTCACCTCCTCTCCAAACTTTCCCAGGTCTCCTCTGAGCGAATTGCTCCATCGACCTCAAAGTCTTTCTCTCTATATCATACTATGATTTAGTACCTTTTAAAATAGGAACACAAGTGCCTGGCACAATGCCTGGCCCATCGTAGAGCCCGAGGCAGTATTCTCTGGAATGAAGTGGTACTCAGCAAAGTTTGGTGTAAAGAACGTGTGAATGAGTGAATGAACAAATCAATGGGTCTCTTGCCTACATTTCACTGCTGTTAAGGGGATTCATTTCCATGAAGTAACCTCCAAAGCTCCCAGCACAGAGCTGGGCACAGAGTGGGTGGCTAGTCAGTGCTCGCTGGCATGAGTTGGTTTGAGGCAATGCTGTCTTCTAGGCCACACCTAGCCTAGACTTCCTGACTGGGCCAAATGCCAGCATGAAGGCCCCAGTAGGCATAGCGCCGGGGAGCTGCCTACGGATCTCCCAAAAGGAGCAAAGTCTGCGGCCCTGCCCACCTGCCCACCCTGTCCTGCTAGCTCAGGTGCAGTCCATATTGCCCCAGCCTCCTTCCTGGGCATGCAGTCTGGGGAAGAAAAAGGAGGAGGAAAAATCAGGTTAAACCATATGGCAAAGCTGTTCTTTTAATCAGCAGTCATGGAGCCCTGGAGCGGGGGCCAGGAGACATGGTTGTGAAGCAGGCCACAACAGCTAGTGGACAGGGGCAAAGGCCCTGGCGTCTTCAGGATCTGGGTTCAAATCCTAGCCTGTGGGCTTCAGCTGTCGTGATGCCGGACAAAGCCCACTCCCTCTCTGAGGCTCGGATTCCTCACCTGTAAAATGCAATAACAGTAACTTGCCACATGCTGGTCTGCAGACAAAAACTGACTTGGGATAGGTTCTTACCCTATGCAACATAAACTAATGACAAATTACTGTATCTCCATATGTATGTGTATATATGTCAACATAATAGGTCACGAATTGCCCTCCCTTAAGAAGGATTGGCCCTTATTCTGTGATTATATTCTTTCTTTATTATTATTCTATTTTTATTACAGAAACAGGGTCTCACTCTATTGCCCAGACTGGAGTGCAGTGGCATAATCACAGCTCACTGCAGCCTTGAACTCCTGAGCTCAAGCGATCCTCCCACCTCAGCCTGTAGCTGGGACCATAGGCACACACCGCCATGCCTGGCTAATTTATGCTTTTTAGCGACAGTCTTGAACTCCTGGCCTCAAGCAATCCTCCTGCCTCGGCCTCCCAGTGCTGGGATTGTAGGCATGTGCCACCTCACCTGGTCCCTTCTTTGATGATTATTTTTTCAGTGGAAAGGACTAAGGGCCTTTGAGCTGTTGTTCCCTCTGCCTAGAGTCCTCCCCCACCCACCCCCACCCACAAGACTCACTGCCTCACTAGCTTCAGAACTTAACTCACACGTCTCCTTTTCAAGGACACCTTCCCTGATCACCCTATTGGAAATTGCCATCCACCCACAGTGTGCCTTTCCCCCTTGCCTGACCTGTTTTTCCTCCATAGCACTTAGCCCATCTGACCTATGATTTAGTTCCTGCTTGGGCCACTGTCTGACTCTTCCCAAGAGGGCAGGGATTTTTGTCTGTCTTGTTCACAGCTGTATCCCAAGGCTTGAAAGAATGCCTGGCACAGAGCAGACCCTCGATAAGTATTTGTCAACTGAATAAATAATTGAGTGGATATTTGCTTTATAATGTCTTTCCATGGCAAAATAAAAAGTGAGCAGCCCTATGTCACCTCCCAAAATTGAGGTCTTGGAAAGGAGAGGATTTCACTGGTCTATGAGGTCCTTACATTACTGAGAAAATGGAGGTAAAAAAAATGCAACATGGACAGGCGCGATGGCTCACGCCTGCAATCCCAGCACTTTGGGAGGCCAAGGCGTGTGGCTCACAAGGTCAGGAGATCGAAACCATCCTGGCCAACAGGGTGAAACCCCACCTCTATTAAAAATACAAAAAAAGAAAAAAAAAACTAGCTGGGCATGGTGCTGCACACCTGTAGTCCCAGCTACTGGGGAGGCTGAGGCAGGAGAATCATTTGAACCTGGGAGGTAGAGGTTGCAGTGAGCCAAGATCGCACCATTGCATTCCAGCCTGGTGACAGAGCGAGACTTGATCTAAAAAAAAAAAAAAAAAAAAAGCAACACGTATTATGGCACCTGGAAAAACTCACTGAACAGTAATAATTATTCTCCTCCTCCTCTGGTCCCCTTCCTCTCCCCACATTCAGTGTAAGGCCTTATCTGTGTCCAAACACTGCAGAACTTACGGGCCCATACACCAGCTTTTCCCTGCACTAAGCCAGCAGCCCTCTGTCCTCTCATTTTGCTTCATTCATTGATTTTCTTTAAAGATCCTGATGACAGACCTGGCTTGGGAGAGCCAGCCAGATCTGTGAATGGGTCTGATGGAGGCCTGTCCTGCCTGGAAGACCTGGACACTGGTATAGGTGAGCCTGGTCAGGACTCCACAGCGTTCATGATCCCAGGTCACAGGTGAAAGAAATAAAAGGTTTGCATGCGTTTGCTTGCTTTTCAGTTCCAGGCCTGCTGCTGAGGGAAGTCCAGGTGTCAAATACTAAGGCTAACTGTAGCCCTGGAGGTGCTGGCACCAGGCAGAAAGGTTTTACAAAGCTGATGACCCATATCCACTGGCCTTAGGAAGGACAGGACCAGCTTTAGGACCCTGGGCCAGAGCCAGAAGGAAGCACAGAGACTAAATTGGTTGACTCTGGGAAAGACTAAGGGCCAGAAACGTTGTGGGCCTTACTTCAGATCTCACTTGGAAATAGCAAAATAAAAAAGCTGATTTCCTGCCGGGTGTGGTGGCTCACATCTATAATGCCAGCACTTTGGGAGGCTGAGGCAGGCAGGTCATTGCAGGTGAGGCATTCAAGACCAGCCTGTCCAGCACGGTGAAAGCTCGTCTCTACTAAAAGTACAAAAAAAAAAAATTAGCAGGGTGTGGTGGCGTGCACCTGTAATCCCAGCTACTCAGGAGGCTGAGGCAGGAGAATCATTTGAATCCAGAGGCAGAGGTTGCAGCGAGCCAAGATTTTGCCACTGCACTCAGCCTGGGTGACAGAGCTAGACTCAGTCTCAAAAAATAAATAAATAAATAAATTAATTAATTAATTAATTAATTAAAACCCTAATATTCTTGCATCTCCAATTCCCTGTCCAGCACTCTCTGATCAGGGTAAGAGGGGCTCCAGCCCTGGGCCCTGCATTTTAGAAGGTCTTGCTTAGACACTGCCCCTCCCTGCGAGTGAGGAGTCTTGGGGAACAAAGGGCTGTGCCCAGTTGGAACTCACATGCCTCCCTTCCAGAGGACGCTCTGGATTCCCAGGACCCTGGGGTTCCCCGTCCAAATGACCATGCCCACTTCTGAGGCCTCCTGGACCTCTCCCATTTTCCCTAGTGTGAACCACATGGCCAGTGGGTGCTCCAGCCCTGAAGGCTGGACAAAGGGCAGCTGCTTTGTGGGACCCGGGTAGAGCTTGGCCACGTGGGCCGAGTGCCCGGTTTCTGTTTTTCTCCCGGTGCAGGAAAACATGAAGAACGGGGAAAGTAGCTGCCGCATGCCAATGTGAAACTCCGAGGAGTCTAGCCATTCTGATCTGGCCTTCCAGGTCATTAGGAGGCTCTGCCATCGTGTGAGGAGGTATGCTATATTTTATCTAGCAGTTTGTTAGCTTGCTTTAAAACTTTTAATACTTAGACATTTGGTTTGTGACCCTGCCAGGGAAAGCCTGCTGTCTGGAGAGCACACTGGTCTCCAGCGTGGGGAGAGAGAGCACTTTCGGGCTTTGCTGAGGAGGGTCTTCAGAAAAAAGAGTAAGTTGGCATCTCCTCGCACAGGTGCTTGGCTTGCCAGACCTAGGGGCATTCTCACATCACCTTTTCAGCTGAGGAAACTGAAAGTCCCAAGGTCACGCAGCTGGGAATATATGACCAAACGGCCTTCACCTTCCCCTAAATGATGTTTCAAATGACAAAATAAGGGGACAAGGAGAGATGGTTTTGTCTTTCTTCTGGGGGCGCCTTCAGCACCTGCAGGCTTTCCTTCCTGCGCATCTGCCTGGCCACTTTGTCCAGCCAGCCCAGGTGTGCAGGGGCTGCGTGTCTTTCCACCTGGCGGCTGCAACAGTCCAAACCTCCACTGTTGATTTGACTTCCTAGAAACGAGCCTGATTTGGGGGCTCTGGGGTGAGAATGCAGGAAATATTGGGATGTGGTTTCCCAGAAAGTCACACATCCCTTTAGCTTTCCCAGAAAGTGCCGAGTCCTTGCTAAGACGATTTCCTATGGAGGGAGACACTGGGTCTGCATGAGTTTCTGTTTAATTGTTTTAGAGAAAATGATCTGGACCAGAGGGAATGAGTCTGGACCAGACCTCGACACTGCCCCAATGAAAGAACTTGAGAACACTGGTCCCGTCTTCCCCTCTAATCTCCCCTCTTTCCATCGCCTCTCCCGGTGCCCTGGGCTCCACTTACAGGCCCCTGAGCAACCACTGCATTTTTGCACATGCTGCTTCCACCCAGGATGGATGGCTTTTCCCTCCTTTCTTCACCCCACCAGCTTTCTCCTTCAGGTGCCAGCTTAGTCCCTGGCTCCTTGGGTCCCTCCCACTTGTCCCCCGGCTGTAGCTTTCATGCCTCCTCTGTACTTCCCAAGCTCTAGAGTGTCCTTCTATAAACAGACTCTGTGTACCGTACTGTGGGCTGATTGCTACCTGTCTGTCTCTTGTCATTGCTGGCAAGCAATTTGGGGTAGTGATTACGTTTTATTCACCTCTCTGTTCCAGTGTGCAGCTCGGACATGGAGGGCAGAAGGTGCTCAGGAAGGATCTTCTGCATGCAGGAGCCTCCTCTCTCGAAGGGTGTTCTCCAATCATGAGCTTATTTGCTGTTTACATGCCCGAGGAGGACTGACCTTAGCAGCTATGATGACCTCATTTATCACTGTGGATAAGCACTTGGCCAGGGTCTCAGCCAGCACCCCAGGCCCAGCCTCCTGGTTTACTCATTTCTGGGGGTGGTGGCATCTGCCCACTGTCCTGAACTTTCCTCTGCTTGGGTAGGGACAGGGAGCCCCAGCAGCACTTGTTCCAGGATGACCCAGCAAATTGCAAGGTGGCATTTGGCCTTTTCCTCAGCAATTGCCAGACTTTGTCCCAGGGTGAGGAGGAAGCCAATGGAAGAGCTGGGGTGAGGAGATCAAAGACCTTTCCAGAGATTCAGGCAGGGGCCCAAACCAAGGGCATTTCCAGGCGGGCACTGGGACCAGCCCCAGGGACACGCCAACGCACTGCTGGGGCCAAGGGGAAAGGTTGGTTTCAAAACCACATGTGCGGCAGCCTCACCACTGAGTCATGCTTGTGAGGCCTGCTGGAGACCAAAGACAGGGGCTACAAGCTCAAAACCGCCTGGTTAGTGCTGACTCTATTGATTTCCTGGCCTTCCACTTCCAAACCTTCCTTGGATGGCTAAACTCCTTCTGGAAGACACACCTGTTTTTTATATTTGCCTGGTATACCTCACTTCTTTGAGTGACAGCACCCCAGAGATCCCCTTCTCCACTCTCACTCTTTGTAGTTAAGGTGAGGTTGGATTCTCTCCTCTCTGCACCCCTCAACCCCCCTACCCCCAGCACTAAGGACCCAGGCTCAGCCAATCAGAATATCTCTCATGCCCATCATGGGCTCTAGGATGGGAGCATGATGGAAGAGTGGCCATTGAGGATCAGTTCCAAGACTTTTGTGAGAAATGCGGGGGAAGAGACCCTCTCTTTTCCTATAGGGATTGCTCACTGTGCAAATATGCCAGCCTGGAACAGCTGGGGCCTCCATGTGCACAGTGGAGAATCAGAGAATCAGGTCACCCCACAGGAAAGCAGGACCATAATGGGGTACTAGGCAGAGACCTAGCCTCCTGGCCATGCACCTCTGAGCTGTGTGGACTGATTCTTTTTTGCTTAAGCATGCTTTTGTTTTCATTTCATTTATTTATTTATTTTCAGACACAGTCTTGCTCTGTTGTCCAGGCTGGACTGCAGTGGTGTGATTTCAATCTCAGCTCACTGCAACCTCTGCCTCCCCGGTTCAAGTGAGTCTTCTGCCTCAGCCTCCTGAGTAGCTGAAACTACAGGCATGTGCCACCACGCCAGGCTAATTTTTGTATTTTTAGTAGAGATAGGGTTTCACCATATTGGCCAGGCTGGTCTTGAACTCCTGACCTTGTGATCCACCCGCCTCAGCCTCCCAAAGTGCTGGGATTACAGGTGTGAGCCACCGCGCCCGGTGAAGCATGCTTTCAAGTGGGGTTTCTGTCAATTGCAAACAGAAGATTTCTGACTAATATTCCCTGGATAATATTTATTCTACCTTCCTCTCCATTCTTACTCTCTGCCATAGCTTAAGCCTCATCATCCACTTCCACATCTCCTACCTTAGATGATTTTAGCAGACTACCAACTCAGAATTACAATGGAATCACTGCAGTAGATGACTAACTGCTATTTGCATGCATGTTTTATTTGTGAATGTGACCTTACAAATCGATTTTCATGTCTCACTGATGAAGGCACCAAGCGTCAGGGAGACAAGGGACTTGTGTGCAGCCAGTAAGTAGCAGAGCTAAAATTTGAGCTCAGATCGTCTGACTCCAAAATGCATGCTCTTTCTCCACAGCTCACTGTCATGTCTTGCTTCTTTCAACTCTAGGTACTGCCAACAAGAAGGCCCAATCAAGATCCTCCCACAACAAGAGCAGATTGTGAGGTAAGAACACTTTGATCCCTTGGGAACACAGAGCCATGAGTGTGGCCAGACTCTCTCAAATATCTTAGACTTCATGGCTATAAGGCACAAATTCTAGTTTTGGTTTATCCTTTTCCTCCTGCCCTCATCTGCCCTCCACTCAATTTCCAAGCTCATCTTTAATTTTGTTGCCATGATCTCATGGGCCAGGCTTGGGTGACATGCCCATCACTGAGCAATCTCTCAGGTCAGGGGATGCGCTGTCCAATGGGGTTGTCTTGGGTCATATGCCCTGCCGTGCATTTCGGTCAGTCCTATTCAAGCCAGATGGATGGAAAGTGGGGAAGATGGTTCTCCAGAAGCAAATAAGGTGCTGTTACCAGGAAGGGTGGCCACTCCTTCTCACTCCCTTGCCTAAGACCTCAGCCACCCAAAGCAACAATCGTCTATTTGGTTCTATAGCGTGGCAAGCTCTATGCTGAGCACTGGAAGGACAAAGAGAGATTGGGCACAGACTTCTCACTGATCCAGGTGATGAAGAGCTCACATCTGAGAGGATGTGACCATGGATGACCCACCAGAATGTCATGGGATCCAGCTACAGCCAAGGAAGCACAGAGCACCGTGGGAGCGATTTATTGTGCTTGGGGATGGGGAAGGGGACATGGGAGGAGCCATATTGAGAAAGTAGCATGGGTACTTGGCTTCACAGAGTGTGGCAGCTTTCATCAGGAAGTGATGGTGGGGGAACAGCGTCTCTGGCGGAGGGAAGCAGCAGGTGCAGAGGTGCAGAGGTGTGAGGAGTCTGTCACATTCTGGGAAGGGAGTATGGTTGGGTGACAATGCAAGACAGAGAAAGCAAGGAGGGAAGGAGGGGCCTAGCCTGAGGAATAAAGAATAATAAAAGCAGGAAAACAATTGCTGAGAGTTTGGATACCTTTTTCTGGCCTTTCATCTAAGCTTTGCTAGCCAGCCAAGAGAAAGCTGGCACTTCCCCTCCCCGAGCTTCCCTCGAAAGAGGAAGGGTTAATTCAGAACAAGACAAAGAAATGTCTGGGGACCTAAGTGTGAAAAGGAGAGACAGAGTCAGCCTGAAACCTGAAACTTGAGCAAGTGAAGGGGGCTGGAGAGGAGAAGAGCAAGCCAAGGAAGGGACCAGTCAGTAGCTGAATCCAATAAAAACTGCCACGTCTAGCCCTGCACTGGGCCTTGGGGCTATGGAGACAATAAGACAGGGCTCCTGGCCCTATGGCTCACAGGCTGCCTGGAGAGGCGCACAAAGACCCAGGCAAAGACAAAAGAGTGGGCTGCGTTCAGTGGCAGCAGAAGGCCAAGGGGCTTAGGGAGCACCAGGAGCATCTGCTCCAACACAGGGTCTAGGAAAAGCCTTCCTAGAAGACGGGACATTGGAGCTGGGCCTTAAAAAATGAATTGGAGTTTGCTACTTAGACACTGAGGAGCTCTTAATTCCCTGTATCCCACCTTGCACTGTGACTGACCACACTGTACTGCCGGCCTACGTCTCTCCTTTCTGCTGAGCTCCATTGGGTGGAAACTGCAGCTGGCTGGTTCATTGAGTTATCTCCCATGCCTAAAAGGGCACCTGACATATAGAAGATGCTCAATTAATGCATGTGAGAGAACAGCCTGTGCAAAGGCCCAGCAGAGGGTGTAGACATGGAGCTTGGTACAAGGTGGGTGGAGCAGGTAGTGTCCAGGGCAGGAATGACCGTTTGCCTATCTGAGTAGTTTGGATTTTATCTTCTGAAAGGGGAGGAAGGTGATCAAATCTGCATTCATTCATTTATTTGACAAACACTTATCAAACACCTGCTATGAGCCAGGTATTGTATTAGGCCTTACAGATAACATGGGAACAAGACCAACTCCTTCTCCACGTGGAGCTTACATTCTCATGGGAAAATAGAGACCAACTTGTGAGCAATTCAAAAATCATACCTTGTCAGCCAGTGATGAAGTACTAGGTAGAAAAATAAAGACTGGTAAGAAGCTAAAGTGATGGTGGAAGACAAGGGAGGCTCAGTGGTAGGTGGGAGTGTCTCAGATAGCATTGTCAGCTGCAGGGAACAGAAAACCTGCTCACAGCCGCCCAACATGTAGCAGGTTATTTATATCTTGCAACAGGAAGCCCGAGAGGTAAGTAGTCCCAGGCTGGCTGGAGACTCCGTGGTGATATGAAGAAACCAGGCTCCTCCTTCCTGGTCCACCTCCTCAGCGTTATCTCTGATGCTTTAACTCTTTTTTCTTTGAAATTGACAAATAATAATTATACATATTCATGGGGTACATAGTGATGTTTTGGTACATATAATATATAGTGATCAGATCAGGGTAATTAGCATATCCATCGTCTCAAACCTTTATCATATCTTTGTGTTGGGAGCATTCAATATCCTCCATCTAGCTATTTGAAACTATATACTATATTATATATTAACTATAGTCATCCTGCAATGCTATAGAACACTACAACTTCTTCGTCCTATCTAGCCATCTAGTAATTTTGTATCCTTTAACAAATCTCTATCCTTTCCTTCTCCCTATTTTTTAATGAAGAGAATGAAACCGTGTATGTTATATTTAAAAGTATATAATTGAAAACACTGAAGTTGATATCTTGCTGACATGTGAATTTCTCCATCCAGAAATATTCAGAAAAGCCTGATGCTCACAAAAATAACCAGCATGAGCCTTCTGGTGTGAAAAATAGGGGAAAGGGGCCAAAGCCACATCTGGGTGGATGTGATGTGTGATTGGATGGCACCTGATAGGTATATGTGTGTGCGTGCTTGTGTGTGTGTGTGTGTGTGCACACATCCATGCAAGGTGACTGATTCCTATACTAAACTAATTCAGTGGAAGCAAGCCAGAAACGACCATGAGAATATAGCTCCCATCTCTACTCATCTCCCACAGAGAAACATGGAAACGTTTTAGGAAGAGCATCTGGCTTCCTAAAGCTCATAGAATGGGAGCCGTGGGACAAGTCAACAGCTGCTGAGACATGGTTCTCAAAAGGATTGCTCTGGGACAGTGGGGAAGATGGATTTGGAAAGCAAAGTCTATAGGCAGGGAAATAAAACAGGCCTGGAAGAGATGGGGAAGCCTGGACTAGGGCAGGTGATGGGGATGAAGAAGAGGGGGCAGCTTTGAGAATGATGGGGGGAGAATGCTGGAACAGTGGCAGCTGAACAAACATAGAAGTGAAGGATGGCCACGGGGGTAATGGGACCCAAATGCAGCAGCAAGACTTGGCAAAGCTGCTTCTAGTCACCGATAATGTCAGGCTCTCCGTCAGAGAGTTGCTTCTAAGAGGCAAGCCCCAAGAGTTCTCCAAGGAGTCCCTGCAGGGGCCTGAACTTCTTTTGTTGGTGATGCCAGCCAGTGATGGAATCCAAATACTCAGTACTCGGCACTCATTACTGCCTTGGGAGCCAATGGCACATTTGTTAAAAAATAAAAACACATAGCAGCAGCTCTTTGGGGAGTTTGGGGAAAGGCATATCAAGCAACCTGGGTCGCTGGACACTTGAGTGAATGGGTCATGGTTAGTGGAGACTCCTTTGGGAGGTGGTGTAAATCACTCTAAAAAACTTAGGGCTATGACTATACCTTAGCAAGAAAGGGAGGTGGATTAGTTCCAGAAAGGTTTCTTTCCCATGCCTGCCTGCCTTTCTTTCTTTCCTTTCTTTCCTTTCTCTCTCTCTTCCTTCCTTCCTTCCTTCCTCTCTTTCTTTCTTTCTTTTTCTTTCTTTCCTTCCTTCCTTCCTTCCTTCCTTCCTTCCTTCCTTCCTTCCTTCCTTCCTTCCTTCCTTCCTTCTTTCTTTCTTTCTTTCTTTCTTTCTTTCTTTCTTTCTTTCTTTCTTTCTTTCTTTCTTTCTTTCTTTGACAGTGTCTTGCTCTGTCATCCAGGCTGAAGTGCAGTGGCATGAACATGGCTAACTGTAGCCTTGACATCCTGGGCTCAAGGGATCCTCCCGCTCCAGGCTCCCATGTAACTGGGACCACAGACATGCACCACCACATCTGGCTAATTTTTTTATTTTTTTGCAGAGACAGGGTCTTGCTTTGTTGCCCAGGCAGGTCTTGAACTCCTTGGCTCAAGCGATACTCCCACCTCAGCCTCTCAAATTGCTGAGATAACAGGCATGAGCCTCTGTGCCTCACTGCATTTATTTTTCTTTAATGTAGCTAGTTAAACTGGTTTCAACTGATCAAATATCCACCCTTCCTGGGCCAGGCACTGTTCTCAGTCCTGGGGAACAAAACAGGCAAAAATCTTTCCTCTCAGAATTTAGATTTCTAGTAGGAGGAGACACCCCAAATCAAAAATAAACACTGTAGTCTATTTATGGTATGCTGGTTCCTTTTGTTTTTCTGTGTTAAGCAGGGCTCTTAGAACATATTAGAGCTAAATGTTGTGCACATACATTCTTTATTACATAATAAAGCATGTAATAAATAAGGATTTACACTTATAAATTATTCTACTTGTTTCTTCTTTAACCACAAAATCAAAAGGAGATTTGGCCTATGACACATGCCAGTCAATCAGTAATAGGCAACCTTTTGGGCTTCTGTTGCTCCTATATTTTTCATTCAAGCATTTGAGAGAATTCAAGATGGATGCATTGAGGGCTCAGAAGCGAAATGTGCAAAGATCAGTCCATTGACAAACAAGACCCAGGGATCTCAAATCATAGACTCAGGTGGTACACATTCTCCACTACCTGCCTGAAACTACCTGTTCTATGCTCCAGACAAAGCTGGTTGTCATGGGTACACATGCATACGTCTCATGGAAAAGATATCATGAAGTGTACAGCTTTCTGTAGGTGACAAAGCATTTTTGCGTTTGTTATCTGACTCCACACTCCACATAAGGTTGCCAGATTTAACAAATAAAGTCATGAGACACACAGTTAAATTTGAGCAATATTTGGGACATGCGTACTGAAAAAAATCATCATTTATCTGACATTCAAATGTAACTGGACTTTCTGTATTTTATCTGGCAACCCTAACT
Organism: Homo sapiens; assembly: GCF_000001405.40. Lineage (NCBI taxonomy): Eukaryota > Metazoa > Chordata > Mammalia > Primates > Hominidae > Homo > Homo sapiens. The sequence continues at coordinate 173,782,662 of NC_000005.10, read as the reverse complement.
CTACAACCCTCAGAAGTAGACAATATTAGCGTCCCCATTTGATCACTGAGGCTGAGAAAGTAAATTGCCTAAAGTCAATAAAGGATCAAAGGGTGAAAGAACTGCCCCTTTGCCCATTCACTGGTTGCTGGGAGAATGATCACTCCTGGATCTCATCTTCAGGCATCAGATGTGCTGGGGCCAAGTGTGGGGATCTCAGGGCAAGGAGGGAGGGGAGAAATGGAGGGACTGGCCATCATGAGTAGTGGACTACAAAGACTTCATAACAGAGGGCAGGGGCAGGGAGGTGTTGATGCTTTGTTGCAACTTAGTTTTGGTTTGCTTACTTTACCAGGGCCTGGGCACCCCAGCCAACAGGCTGGAAATGCAGGAAGCCATCTGGAGCCATGTGCTGAGTCACAGGGCCCAGAGAAAAACAAGAACATCGTGACGTCAGAGCAGGGGTGGGGAGAAATCTCCCTCGAGATCTCCGTGGGCACCGGAAATAGAAACTGCTCCCTTTGAAGCATCTATTAGAAGATCCAAGTCTCTAACAGATCACCATGAGATTTCAATTCAGTTCCTATTAAGCACCAACTGAACGCATGTGAGAATGTCAGGGAATCAGTTGGTGAAGAGGCAACCGTTTTAATTTAATTTTATTTATTTGAACAGAGTAAGCCTCTGTTCAATCCTGACTCATCTTCTTTCTTCTCTTACTACCCATTTGCCCTTGAGCAGTTCACTTAAACTTTCTGACCCCATTTCCTCTTCAGTAATAATAATTCTTGTCTCATTGAGATAGTGTGAGGGCTTAAAGGGAATTACATTTTTCAAAAGCATCTTGCACAGATCTGGCACAGTCAGTGGTAGGTCTTCTTAGCATAAGGATATAAAAAGATCTTTCTGTAAGGTTGGTGTGGGGATTAAATTGGATGACATATCTTTACTTTCAAGCAAGCTCTGGACTGAGCTCTTACTAAGGTTTCAGCTAAGGAGAGAGATTTCTTTCCTCCTCTCTAGACACTGGGGTAACTGGTTCTGGTCCCCCAGTGTTCTGGTTAGTAGAACTAAATACGTACACGCACAATGAATGTTTACACAACATCCGCTCATTCCATTCCACAAATATTTCTTTTAACATTGTACACATTACTGGCTCAGCCTTTGTAGAGGTCTAGAAAAACAAAATTAGGATGAATATCCCCATTTTGTTGCTGTTTTTTGTTTTTGTTTTTGTTTTTTAAGACGGAGTTTCACTCTGTCACCGAGGCTGAAGTGCAGTGGTGCCATCTCGGCTCACTGCAAGCTCCACGTCTCGGGTTCAAGCAATTCTCCTGCCTCAGCCTCCCAAATAGCTGGGACCACAGGGGCACACCATCTCGGGTGGCTAATTTTTTGTATTTTAGTAGAGACGATGTTTCACCATGTTGCCAAAGCTAATCACGAACTCCTGAGCTTAGGCAATCTGCCCGCCTCAGCCTCCCAAAGTGCTGGGATTGCAGGCATGAGCCACCGCTCCCGGCCTGCTGCTGATTTTTTAATAATCATTCTGTGGGAGGCACTATGCTAAGTATTTTGCATGCATCGAATTCTTGGAGCAATCTTTTCAAATTCGTGCTATAGTAACCCCCATTTTATAGATGGAGCAACTGAGGCTCAGTAGAGTTGACTGTGCTGCCCAAATGCACAGAACTAGTGGGTGGCAGAGTTGAGGCTCAATCCCAGCCCTGATTATCTCAAAGGTTCTGACTGTCACACTATGCGTGAGCTCCCAGAGAGAGAAAAACACTCAGTTGAAAATTTAGAGTTACTCATGCACAAAGGTATATAAACAACACAAAGTGGTTAGATGGGCAAATGCTGACGGAGAGGCTGGTAATCAGAGTTATGGGCAGTTCTGGGCTGGGAGATCTCCCTGAGAGCTGTACTATGAAAAGGGGCTTTCTAGAAGGTGAAAGTTTAGGTGGGGAGTAAAGCTAGACCTTGAAAAATGATGTGGAACAGGTAACAAAGCAAAGGCACGTTGAGCAGAGGCCCAGATGGTTTGGCCAAATATGGGCTGAGCTTAGTGAAGGTCAGGTAACCAAGGCAAGGTGTGCTTTGGAGAACAAAAGGAGGAAGGTTGAGCTGGCACAGTCTGGCTGGCTGGTATTAGCTTCTTGAATGATAAGCTCTTCAGCCTGGCTGGGGTGACTTCTAACTTCGGAACATCACTGCTTAGGGGATTCCTGTGTATCACACATTGGGCCTGAGCAGCAGAGCTAGGAGTTGTTCCTGTTATTGGAAAGGGAGGAAGTTTCTGCAGAGTAAGTGGGCATGATCTGTCTTGCTGGAGGGCCTCAACCTTTACTCTCCTGGGTAAGAGGAGACAATGATATTTCCATGGTCTTCAGAGCATTCTGCTGAGAAGCCCACAAGCTAAGGGCCATTACAGCAAACTCAGAGATGATACAACCTTTCTGCAGACCATGGTAATATATATGAAGAGGATTAAAACGATGTAACCCTTTGTTCCCTCAATTTTACTGCTAGGAATTAATCCAAGGGAAGTGGTCATGGAGAGATGAGAAAATGTGTGTATGGACAAAGATGGTCACTGTAGAATGTAGTATTAACTTACAAACACAAGAATCAGAAATGTCCCACCTAGTCAGTAATGGGGGCTTAGTTAAAAATTATGATCCAGGCCGGGTGCAGTGGCTCATGGCTGTAATCCCAGCACTTTTGGAGGCTGAGGCAGGCAGATCACCTGAGGTCAGGAATTCGAGCCAATATGGTGAAACCCCGTCTCTACAAAAATTAGCCTGGCATGATGGTGTGTGCCTATAATCCCAGCTATTCAGGAGGCTGAGGCACAAGAATCACTTGAACCTGGGAGGCAGAGGTTGCAGTGAGCAGAGATCGTGCCACTGCACTCCAGCCTGGGTGATAGAGTGAGATTCAGTCTCAAAAAAAAAAAAAAAAAGAAAAGAAAAGAAATTTTGATCCACCCATACAAGGGAATGCTACACTTCCATTCAAAGTCAAGGTGGTCACACCATAGCAGGGAAAAATCAGTTATAAAAACATTAAATATAGTATGATCCTAGCTCACAAGTACATTAATCCAATTCATTCACTTATTAACTATGTAATGAAGATGTGCTGTATGCCAAGCACCATTCTGGGTACTGGGAATATGGACAGGAACAAGCTCAGGGTGGGAAGTTGTTTAGGGAAAGACAGGTAATACATATATGGACTTAAGAATACACAAGATAATTTCTGAGCATGGCACACAATGCCATGAAGAAAGGCATGCAAGATGGACTAGTTTAGTGTGCGTGAAGATGGAGGGACTATCCAAGGAGGTGACATTTCGGCCATGACTTGCACGCTGAAAAAAAAAAAATCCAGTCATGATTTCCAGAGTCATGAAATCCAGAGCATTTCAGGCAAAGAGGCGAAGGCCTTGAGGGGAAATGCCATTGGTGTATTAGGAGGGAAAAAGAAAGAGAAATAATGTGTGAGTAGAGAGAGAAGAGGTAGGAGAGGCAAGCAGGGCCAGATCACACAGACTGAAAGTCAAGGTGAAGTGTTGATAAGGAGTGTGGATTTCCTTCCAAGTGCTGTAGAAAGCTACCGGGTTCTATGTAGGCAATCATCATACAGTTGACCTTCAAACAACACAGGTTTGAACTGCACAGGTCCACTTACAGGTGACTTTTCTTCCACCTCTGCCACCCCTGAGAGAGCAGGACCAACCACTCCTTTTCCTCCTCCTCAGCCTACTCGAGTTGATGATGACAAGGGTGAAGACCTTTATGCTGAGTCACTTCTGCGTAGTGAACGTAAATATACTTTCTCTTCCTTATGATTTTCTCAATAACATTTTCTTTACTCTAGCTTCCTTTATTGTAAGAATACAGTATACAATACATATAACATACAAAATATGTTAATTGACTGTTTATGTTCTCAGCAAGGCTTGCAGTCAACAGTAGGCTATCTGTAGTGTTTTGGGGAGTCAAAAGTTGTATGCAGATTTTCAACTCTGAGGGGGGTCAACACCCCAACTTCCATATCGTTCAGGGTTCAACTCTCTTTATGTATCCGGAAGGAAATACACCAACAGGTTAGTAGAGATTATTAACAAGTAGTGGGGTAATAAACCGTGTTTAAAAATCTGTGTGCTATTCTGTAACTCCTGAACTTTTGTAATTAGAAACAAACAGTAATTTCCATTTTTAAAGAACTCACCAGAGAGCAACATCGACAGATGACAACCATCACCTGGAGCTCCAGTTTGAAGAGGCTTTTCCCTGAGCAATCTCTTTTGATTTTCACGATAACCCTGTGAGTGAAGCCAGACCATTGTCATTAAGACCTCCATTTTGGAGGTGAGGCAATTGAGGCCGGGAGTTGCAAAGAGGCTGAGGCAGGAAATGACAAAACTGGGACAGGAATCAAGGTTCCACAACACTGGTCTAAGCTTCCTGATTTTGTGGCCCAGCCAGGCTAATGGCTGAGTCTGCATCAAATTCACCCAGAGACCCCAGGGCCCTAACAGGAAGTCTACAAGGTTACTCTCCTGCTTCGGGGAGGGCAGGGATGGACCTAGAGCCCCCAGCTGCCGATGACTGGAACAAAAAGAGGGTCTTTCCCACATAGTAGATGCTCAACAAACATTTGTTGAATTAATGCAATAGCTTGCTTTTGGGGGAAATGCCACCTTGGGGAGGATGGTTTTGCTGACTTTACAATTTAGTAGCTGTGCATCCTCCTCTGTCACTCCCCTCCACAAAGTTGGAGTGTAGGCTCTGGAGCCGGAATGTCTGGGCTTGAATCTGCCTCTACCACTGACCACCAGCTGTGACCTACCCTTTCCACCTCAGTTTTCTGATCTGTAAAGTGGGAGTAATAATGATGGTCTCCTTGGGTTACTGTTTGGATTAAATGAATGAATGAAGGCTTTGAAGAGATGTTGGCATACAGTGTGTGCTCCATAAGCGTCAGAGGTTACTAGCATCAGCATGAAAGGGCTGTTGAAAGGGTGAGGTGAGGCTCCTGGCAGCACAGGCAGAGCTGAGCAGGGTCTCAATGGGTGATGGCTACCGCGGCTGTCCTTCTACCCCCATGACTCCCCTTGCTGGTGCCTCAGTGGTTATTCACAGGAAACATACAGAAATGCACTGCACATCATTTTTTAGAGAAGGGACACCCCTATCCACCAGAAGGGTCCTTTGCCAAGTCAAATAATAGACCTGTACTCTCTCATCTCAGGAGGTTTCTGTCTGTTCAAGGTCACGTGAAGAATTTCCTGGCACTTTCCAGTGTCTCTGACTCTAATTCATTTAAAGAGCCACCTTTTAAATTTCAGGCTTGACATTTGCTTAATAACATGTGTGGAGCCTGCTCTGGTGAGCGGCCCCAGGGTCACCAGCCCATCCCTCTGTCCTCCACTCCTGCTTTCAAACTTCAATGGTTTAAGGTCTACCGATAATTTTGCTATCACTGCATATCATGTGGTCTAGTCTTTCCCTCATTATTTTTCCTCAACTTGTCTCCCATTTAAAACTTAAAATACATTTCTTCAAAAGGAAAACTTACTACCATAGATGGAAAGCCAATCCCACCTGCTACAAATAGAAGCTATCCAGAAAAAGATATACCACGAAAATAAAATGATATTATGAAACTCTAGAATATTTAATTCTAGAGGAATAGGGTTGCCTGTGGAAGACTCTGGGCTTGAGGCCTGTTTGATTCCCATTTGAAAGGGAGATTTGGAGAGGTGTTAAAGTTTGAGGGAGGCGTTAAAGACCTATTAGTACCAAAGTGAGATTTTCTTCTTGGTGTAATGACAAGGATTGAAAGAGAATTTTCACAGGAGAAAAACTCTCTTACCACAGGATGCAATCTATTTGTTTCCCTGTCTTTTCACTTTCCCCTACTCCCCAGGGGCAAGGGGCTCCCTATTGTATGATTCAGTTCTTTATTGAGAAGAGTTAAAGAGAGAGCAGCCCAGCCCCAGCTTCTTGCTTATTATATCATGCAAATAAGATTCTTTCCCTGCTTTGAAATGAGGGAGCCGAATTAGAGAGATGTTCTTCTCAGAGGATCTCCAGGCCCTGAAAGTCTGCGAGGCCCCATCCAAAAGTTCATTTGGCTGCTGTCTTGGTCATTCCAGGCTGCCATAGCAGAATACCATAGACTGGGTGGCTTATAAACTACAGAAATTTATTCCTCGCAGTTTTGGAGGCTGGAAGTTGAAGATCAGTCACTGGCAGTTTGGAATCTGACGAGGGTCTGCTTTGTGGTTCACAGACAGCTCCTTCTTGCTGTGCCCTCACATGGCAGAAGAGGCCAGGCAGCTCTCTGGGGTCTCTTTCTAAGGGCACTAATCTCATCAATGGGGCTCCACCCTCATGACCTAATCACCTCCCAAAGGCCTCCCTACTAATACCATTGCCTGGGGGTTCACTTTCAATATAAGACTGGGTTGGGGGCAGGCAGACAAAAACACTGTCGATAGCACCTGCACATAAACGTGTTCTCATCCGCTCAGCAACAGAGTTGAAACCTATCAAGAGGATGGCCCCGTGGCATGGGTTGTGTAGCTGAATCTTCCTAAGGAGTAAAGACGTAGGATCCATCACATACCCACAAATAAATTCACGTTTCCTGGGGGTGGATTTTCTGCTTGTTGAACTGAGCAGATGGCTGTGCTTGAGACGAAAAAGGAAGTTGCTAAACCCTCTCTCTGCCCAGTGCAGAATTTGGAAAGAAACAACCAAATAACCCGCTCACTTCAGGTTCTGTCCCCTGTTTCAGTAGCCCCTGCGGATTCCTCCTGCAGTGGTTTCCTTATCAGAGTCCCTGGGAGGCGCTGCCAATGCATCATTCCTAAATTACTATGTTTTCATATCTCCTCCCTTCTCCTAAATCAGAGGGGACCTGCCTCATCTGGGTGCTGCATGCTGGTTTCTTAGCCTGATGCTCAAGACCTCATGCAGTGTGATTTCAACCTACAATCCTATGGCAGCCCTGGCTGCTGGGATTTCCTTCCTTGAATCTTCTGCTTCTGACAAGCTGGTTACCTGGCACACAGCAGGCATGAAGAAATGTTTTTGCATGAAAGAATATGCCTTCTGCTGTGCTGCAGTTTGCCTCCGTTCATCTCAACATATATTCCTTGAGTGACCGGGACAACTGGTGCTTGAAGACTTCCTATATGCCAGACACTGGTAGGGTGGGCACTGCTCCAATTTGCCCTGGACTTTCCTGATTTTAGCCCTGGAAGCCATGTCTCAGAAATCCCCCACCCCACCCCAGGCAAATTGGGACAGTTGGTCTTCCTAATAAATTGGGCTCCATGCATTCTATTTTCATGGGACTTCCAACATAGAGTAGATGACATTAAACAAATTATCCCACAAAGAAATGCATAATTATAAACCATGGCAGGTGCAGAGGAGAAGTCAACCCTGAGCTGGGCACTGTGGATATGAAGAGAAAAAGACACAGTCAGGCCTTGGCAAAGCATCCTGCTTGTAACTAGGAGAGAGAGGGACACACAGCTTATTTAATGTAAAGTGGTGAGCACAGTGAATCAGAAACCTACACTCTCTTATCCCTGTTCACATTATACTGTTTCTATTTTAATTGGGGTTTCAAACATTGGAAACCCACTCTGGTGAATTAAATAGAGGTGTATTGAAAGGGCTTTGGAAGGAAAAGCTGAAAAATAGGCCTTGGAAGAGAGAGAAACAATTGCTTCTTAGGGAGTTGAGATAGTCAAAAAATTATGCCAGAACAAAAGAACATGCTTTGTTCCACTTCCATTAGAAAAACTGACTCTAGCCATTCAATGCCCTTGGGTTTCTCTGGCCAATATCCTGATTCCAGGAAGAAAGTATATGGTGGCCAAGCTTGGGTCTCATGCCAGCCCCTTGGCCAGTCTAGCAGGGCACCATAATTAGAAATTCCACCAAAACCGCGTGCAGCTGGGCATGGGGACAGGCAGTTGCTATGGGCAATGGAGGGGCGGGAGCTGGGAAGGTGAAGGCCACAGCTGCCTGCTCTCTCCTCTTCAAAAAGGGGCCCAGACATTGCCTTCTCCAGCATCTTTTTCACCATGGCCACTGCCCTTGGAGTGCCTCTCTGCTTGCTTTTGGTCCAGAATATTCTGTTACCATGGATAGCATCAGGCTGACAGCTGTTGTGTCTTATCCAGCCACCCGACTATTATCACCTTGGAGCATGTGCTGTGTCCTTGGGCACAGCTAGTACAATGCCTGGCACAGCAAAGGGACTCCATGAATGTTGCTGAGTACTTTCTGGAGAGTTTCACAGAGCAAGTGGCCATGATGATCCTGCCATCCTTCCCTGGCCCATTGCCCTCCAGCCAAACCAGCCTTCTTCCTGGATCTCAAACACTTTGAGCAGCTTTGCAGCCCGCCTGGCTATTCCTTCATCCCATGTTGTCCGCTTTGCCAGTCTCGTGACTCAGGGGTTCTCAACTGGAGGTGGTTTTGCCCTCCAGGGGAACACCTGGCAATGTCTGGGGGCATTTTTTGGTTGTCACCCTGGAAAATGGGATGCTACTGGCATCTCGTGGGTAAAGGCCAAGGATGCGGCTAAACATCTTATAATGCATAGGCCAACCCCCCAACAAAGAGTTATGGGATCCACAATGTCCACAGTGCCAAGGTCGGGAAAGCCTACAGCAAGCCTCAATCCCCTCAGCCCAGAGACCCTCCCGTTCAGGAAGGCTTCCCTGAGCATCGCCCGTTTCTTTCTCTCTTTTTTTTTTCTTCTTTGAGACAGAGTCTCACTCTGTCACCCAGGCTGGAGTGCAGTGGCGCAATCTCGGATCACTGCAAGCTCCGCCTCCTGGGTTCACGCCATTCTCCTGCCTCAGCCTCCCGAGTAGCTGGGACTACAGGCGCCCGCCACCACGTCCGGCTAATTTTTTTTGTACTTTTAGTACAGACGGGGTTTCACCGTGTTAGCCAGGATGGTCTCAATCTCCTGACCTCGTGATCCACCCACCTTGGCCTCCCAAAGTGCTGGGATTACAGGCTTGAGCCACCGCACCCGGCCTCATGCCCCCCACTGTATTTCCTTCATGACACCTTGTCACAGCCTAAAATGATCCTGCCTGCTTGTTCAGTTGCTGACTTGGTGCCTGTCTTGTGGACTAGATCGGTCCTATGAGAGCGACCCCCATGGGCCTTGCTCGTGGGGCGCTCCCCTGCATGGAGAGTGGCACATGGCATATGGCAGGCTGCTCAGTAAAACGTGTTGCAGGAATGTTGAATAAAGAAATATGACCTCAACTTTTCTTTTACTTTACTTTTTTATTTTTTGAGACAAGGTCTCACTATCCACCAGGCTGGAGTACAGTGGTGCAATCATAGCTCACTGCAGCCTCAACCTCCTGGGCTCAAGCGATCTTCCTGTCTCAGCCTCCTGAGTAGTTGGGACTACAGGTGTGCACTACCATGCCTGGCTAATTTAAAAATATATATATATATTTGTAGAGACAGGGTCTCTGAGTCTTTCTATGTTCCCCAGGCTAGTCTTGAACTCCTGGGCTCAAGCAATCCTCCTATCTCAGCCTCCCAAAGTGCTGGAGTTACAGGCATGAGCCATTGTGCCCAGCCTCAACTTTTCAAAGATCAGCAGTCAGAGAGCTCCGCTGTGAAGTCCAGCTTCTTTCAGGCTGGCTATCTTTGTGTGTCTGTGTTCATTTCCGCAGCCAGTTCACATTCAGTCTCTGTTGTTGGCTGGCTGTGTGGGCCTTTGGCAAATTTCTGAAGCCTCCCAGGCCTCAGTCTCTGCATCTCTAAAGTGGGGCTATTATGATCAGCCCCTTCATCACAGAGATGTAGTGGGAAGTAAATAAATGAATCTACAGCACTTAAGAAAATGCCTGACTCAGAAAGGCCTCTGTAAACGTCATCTATCAGCAGCAGCATCATGTTTTGGCTGGGGCAGGCAGTGGGGGCGACAGAACGAGCTCTGGGGCCCTACCAGAAGATTAGGGGATGAACGCAGCTTGCAAGGCCAAAGCTGTCCCCATTTGGTTTTGCCAGCTCTTGCTCATCCATGAAATAAACCGGATGAAGCCTTCATCCAGCCCTTGTTTTGAGAAGGAGGCAAGCAGAGAGCGTGGATTTAATGTGGCAGATGGTGCTGTCCTTGAATTATGAAACCAAAGGAGGAAATTAAAGTGCTCCATTGCAACAGATATGGGCCAGCCGGGGCAGAAGGCAGGAGGTGGGGCAGAAAGGAGGGCAGGAAGGAGGTGCTGTATCAACTGGGCAATGGCTATTTTCAAGGGTAGCTGGAGTCCTAAGATAATAGAATTCCGTAGCCCCATATAATTTTAGAATCTTCATCTTACATAGGCAAATGAGGCTCAGAGAGGGAAAGTGACTGTGAAGGTCACACAGCCAGTTAGTGGCAGAGCAACTCACACGTCCTGATTCCTTGAACAGTATTATTTTCTGCTGCCCCAAGCCAAGGCCAGTGGCAGACCCTGTCTCAGGGCTTCCTGATTTTGGGCAGCTCTGCTTTTCAGAGGACTTCTCTGGACAGGCACCCAGTGTCCAAAGAGAACCCAGGGTCAGGCAGCACAATCCCAGGGGCTTCTCTGCAGCTGCTCTCCTCCCAGCACACAGGGAGATACCAGCCACCGTCCCGGAGCCATTCGGCCTGGGTCTGAAGCCCAGCAACCCGAGGTAAGTTTTTTACTGTCCTGGAACGTCAGTTTCCTTATCCGTAAAACTGGAAAAATAATAGGCTCTTCCTTATGGAGTTGCTGTGAGAATTTGATGAGCCATCATCACATACAGTTTTCGGTCCTCAGCTTGGCACATAGTAAATGTTCAATAAAAATGTTAGTTCTCTTTGCAGCCCAGAATCGACTTCAGAGTCTAACGGCCCCCTAGGCTGTAAGCCCCTCAAGGCAGCTGTGTATGGCACAGCTTTTGTTCTCTGTGCCTTGTACAGCACCTGCCACCTGCTAGGGGCTCGGGAAATGGCGGTGGCCAATGCCAGGTCCCCTCGAAGACACCCATTTCTCAGTGGGCACCGTGGAGCACCGGGAAATGCTGCCAGCGATGCATGTGACTCTGTCACTCGTTTAGACTTTAATCCTAAACGGATAAAGCAACCTTTCCGTCCAACGGTGAACCAGCCTCGTGATGAGGGCTGTGTTTGTTTTTCCAGCCTTCCTCTGTAGCAAGGCGCCTTTCCCCAACGACACCGTAGGCTATTTGCATTTAAATTGGTTTTCTCTCATTATAGAAATCTCTTAGGTCAGCTGGAGTTTCCATTTTCCTCCCAGTCAGTTTGGAGCCTCCATTTCTCGCTTGAGGGTCCCTCGTGCTTTCCTCCCTCTCCCTGGCAGTGAGATGTGATCACGTATTCTCACTGTGGAGACCAGATATCCTGAGAAAGGCGTCTGCGTCCCATACGAGCTTGGAGTGTGTCTCACAGGAGAAGGGGGAGGGGAGGGAGGCGGGGAACGGAATATCCTGGCCCCTGCAGTTGCGGGAGGAGACCCCGTGGTCCTTCAGCTTCAGGATTTAGAACTCATTTTCTCATTTATTCCAGAAACATCTACGAAGCATATTGCTGGGTGCTTGGAATGCGGAGATAAATAAAACACACTTGCTGCCTTCTAGGAGCTCCCTGTCTAGTGGAAGAGACAGAAAAGCAAAATTTAAAAAATATATATGTTCAAATAATTGCTTTAATATGGGTCAGAATATATTCCAGCCAGACTAGAGGCTTTCAGATAATGTTCATCATAAACTAGAGTCTCTCTCTCTCTCTCCCCTCTCTCTCTCCCCCCTCCCCTCTCTCTCTCCTCTCTCTCTGTCTCCCCTCTCTCTCTCTCTCCCCTCTCTCTCTCTCTCCTCTCTCTCTCCCCTCTCTCTCTCCCCTGTCTCTCACACACGCACACATCACTGTACATACATGCACACACACGCACACACAGGTGTGCATACATACTAGCTAACATGGTTATAGCACTGCTTAAGTAAACAGGTAGTCTTGTAAGATATATAGATATAGATATAGATATAGATATAGATATAGATATAGATATGCACACACACATACATACACACACATATTCACACATTCACATATGTATGATATAAATTATATGCTTATATATTAATGTAATATACATTATTCACTTAATCTTCATGAGAAACTATGAAGAAAGTACTGTCATTATCATTGTTTTACAGATGAGGAACTTGAGACACAGAGAGATTAAGTCACTTACCAAGGTCATTGCTAATATTAGGTTGGTGCAAAAGTAATGGCGGTTTTTGCCATTACTTTTTAAAATGGCTAAAACCGCCATTACTTTTGCACCGTCCTATAACTATAGAGCCAGACTGGAACCCAGGCAGTCTGGCTTCAGAGCCAGTGTTCTTCATCCTATGCTAGAACCACACAATAAAGAGTGATGTGCTCTTGCATTTTCTCATCTAGCTCAACTTTCAAAAGGTGCTGGCCAAGATCCATGACCCCAATTTTCTGACCCATTTATGGGCTGTGAGCCATGGTTTGTGGAGACTAAAGTGAACCCTGGAAGGAGTGCTCAAGTCCTCCCAGAGAATCAGGAAGAGTGTCACAGGGAGGAGATGCTTGTGTTGGGGCTTCAAGGATGACTTGGAATTTGGCAGATGAAGAAGAAGAAGGGCAGAATAATTCATGAAGAACAAGCATATGCCAATCCCCAAAGTATGAGCAAGCATGGAGGCCTAGGGTCTAGGGATCCCCCATTGTAGAGCAGTGCTCAGGTGTGGTGGAGGCCGAGCAGGTGGTGAGACATGAGACTGGCAAAGACCAGATCACAACAGGCCTTGAATGTCACACGCAAAAGCATGGGCTTTTCCTGAGGGCAGTGGGCATGAATGAATTTGAGCAGGAGAGGGACATGGCCAGTTAGGAAGATCACTGTAGCTCTAGGGTGGATGGCCGCCTGGACAGGGAGAAACTCAAGGCTAGGAGACAGTGTAATCAATAAACCTGGCCAATGGTTGCAAAGGCTGTCAGTCATTGGGCATAATCAACAGGGTTTGGGGTTTTTGCCCAGCACACCAGTGTGTGACATGGAGCTTCATCTACCCAGAGGGATGTCTTTGTCTCATTCACCCACAGACACTTTACAGGATGGTGGTGGTCCTGACTTGTGCTAGTCAATGGGAGTTGGGACAGGGCTGAACTGAGCAGTGGTATTTGAGGAAGCGATGGGAGATTAGTCGCATGAGATAGAATGAGGCAAAGTAATCTGGTGGCCAACCAGCGTCAGGGCTGAGGGAGAGCAGAGAGGTGGGAATGGTGCTCAGGTTTCTGTCTTGCTCAACGAAATAAACCTTTAATCCTTTACTTTTACACAAGGGGTTGGCAAACTTTTTCTATAAAGAGCCAGATGGAAAATACTTTAGGCTTTTCAAGCTCTGTGGTCTCTGTCATAGCGACTCCACACTGCCATTTTATTGCTAAAGCAGCCACAGACAACACATAAATGAACTGTGTTCTAACAAAACTTTATTTAACAAAACAGGCAAGGGGCCAGATTTGGCCCTAGGGCTGTCATTTGTTGACCCCTGTACTATACCATGAGGTAAGCAAAGTGCCAAGTAGACTGCCAACTAGGTGTGCCAGGTTGCTATTAAGTGAGAGAAAGGCAAGAACCCTTCTCAGACACAGAGGAACTATCTATCTCTCCTTGAGGGTGCTTCATGATCATAAAAAGATCCATCTGAAATTGTAGAGTAATTCCAACATCTAGCCCTGGGAAACCAGCTCTGGCAGGATGGAGGCAGGGTGTCTAGCCAGACGCTCAGTCTCTGTTACAGTCAGAGTGGAGGTCCTGGTCTGATACTACCATTGGGTACAAATGCAACACAATAGTAACACTAGCAAAACTTCATTAAATATTCTTTCTACACCAGCAACTGATCTCATTTAATTCCAACAAAAACCAGCAGGGCAAGTAGGTACTATTACACATCCCCGTTTTACAGATGATTAGACTGAGGCCCAAAGAGGCTCAATACCTCACCCACATCATATGGCTAGCAAGTGGCAGAACTGAGGCTTGCAACTCAGGCAGTCCAATCCCAGAGCCTGACTTGCCAACCACTCTCCAAAACGGAGGCCGTCAAGCCACATGGATGCCCACTGCCATCACGGCAAACCCACATGCTAGACCTGACACTCAGGCTGAAGCTACTCAAGGACTTGGGAACCTTTTGTCCTCTGGCCTGCGTGGTGCAGTTGTTGAAAACAAGCAGATGCAGGGAGACAGACCCATCTGCTTCAAAACCAACATCAGCAGCCACAGAGGAGGCACAGCTCTCTGAAATCTCTTCTATTAAGCCAAATGGTTGTCAGAATTAGTTCGGATGAACTGAATATATTTATATGTGAAGGTATTGCTGGAGGGTGTGGGGGCAGAAAACGAATGATCTCTGTGTGCTTGCTCTGCAAACATCCACCGAGGACTGCTGGATACCCTGTCCCTGACCTCCTGGAGGGCACCCTCTGGGAGGCGGCCAGGCACAGAAGCAGACGGTTCAAATGCCCTGGACGTCATGCACAGTGGGGTGAATGCAGGGTGCACTGGGGACACAGAGCAGGGATATCTGCCTTAGCCTGGGCACAGGAACCTGGATCCAAGCCCAGATTGGCTGAAGGGTCGAGTGGCAGCCAAGGATATTCCAGGCAGGGGGAACAGCATCTTCAAAGACAAGGGGGATTTGAGGTTTTGCTGAAGGTGAAGACGTCATGTAGAAAGGATCCAGTTGGAGAGACTGGGGACAGGTACTAGGGAAGTCTGCCACCCAGCCAGCTGGCCTGGACCACTGTAGGCCAGAGGCCACCTTGTTCTCAGCTCCTCTCTGCAACTAGAACAGCCTCTGAGTTCTAGATGAAACGCAAGGTGCTTGCCAAGAATGCGGTAATGCCAAGAACACTCTGCTGAGGTTGCATCTTGAAATAGTAAAAACGAGAGATAGTAAATCACTGCTGTCACACTATGCATTCATTATACCTGCGCTTGCAGAGGTTTAATTTGCTACACTCACTGAAAGTGTGAAAGTGGGCAGACATTAATATTGCTGTCAGCCCCTTTGTAGTATTAAAAATGTTAACAGCTCCCGTTTTAGGGGCCCTCACATTGGCCAGCACATTGCCTTAGTGCTTTATATATGATGCTATCCTATTTAACAGAGGGACAATCTGAGGCTCAGAGAGGTCCAGGAACTTGCTCAGTGTCGTATGTTGAGGAAAGGAAGAAGTCAGGGCCCAAACCCACATCTCCCTGACATCTGCGCCCAGGGTCCTCCCTCTGGGCCCCCTTGCCTTGACATCCTATGATTTAAGGACTTTGTGGATTTCTGAAAACGTTTTCATCTATTGTTATATTTGCCCCTCCAAGGAACCTTCTCATAAGGTAAGGAATCTTGGCTCAGAGAGCTAAACTGTCTTCTCCAAGGTCACACAGCTTTTGAAGGGGCAGACTGGAGACTTGAACCGAGCTCTCACCACTGCAAAGCCAAAGCTGTCTCTTTACCATGGCTCCCAAGTTCACAGCAAAGAAAATGGACAGCTAACATTCCATGCAGCTATGATTTTTTTTTTTGTTCTTTTTTTTTTGAGACAGTCTTGCTCTGTCGCCCAGGCTGGAGTGCAGTGGCGCTATCTCGGCTCACTGCAAGCTCCGCCTCCCGGGGTCACACCGTTCTCCTGCCTCAGCCTCCCGAGTAGCTGGGACTACAGGCGCCCGCCACTACGCCCAGCTAATTTTTTTTGTATTTTTAGTAGAGACGGGGTTTCACCGTTTTAGCCAGGATGGTCTCGATCTCATGACCTCGTGATCTGCCCGCCTCGGCCTCCCAAAGTGCTGGGATTACAGGCATGAGCCACCCGGCCGCAGCTATGATTCTTTAAAAAAAAAAAACCCACACTCGTGTTCTCTTGATCTTTGGCAGGTATTCGTTAAGCAATCAAAAGACAAATACCTAGGAGAGCGGAATGTGCAGGTCACAGCCAGAATGACATCATAAGGAGCAGACTGTGCCAAGTACATTTCATTTCCTCTGACAGGATGGCAGGCTGGGAGATAAAGCCCAAGCCACTGACGTTGTCAGTTCCCTTTGTTCTGAAGGACAAGCTAGATCAGCTCCACAGAAACGACTGAGGACAGAAAAGGAGACAAGTCATGCCACACACCCACAGAGGCACACCCACATAGACCTTCACAGACACACCAACACACACTCACAGGCACAGAGAGACACGCAGACAGGTAGACACACTGAAAGACATATCAAAAGGCACACGTGTATAGAAACACACAAAACACCCACACATCCCCAGAGACACACGTGCAGACTCACAGATACACACACACAAATACACACACACAGTCATGCAAACACACCTGCCTCTCTTCCATGTGTAGTCATGCAAATACACAGACAGGCGCATATACACAGACATTTTACACACTCACAGAAATGGGTGCAGACACACACACACACACAGACACACATACATGCATATATCCACATCACCCCTTGCTGCCTACTCAAACCCCCTCCTCAGTAGTCCCGGAATTATATTCTTCCCACATTGGAGACTTGGGAAAAGGAATACCTCTGGTATTTGTGCATTTTCTTGCCCCTTTCTTGCCTGATGTCTTTATCTCAAAGCTTTGGCAGTCAGCGAGGGAGGAGCTGCCTATACTACTTATTTGTAGTTTTTTGAATGTCTGTCTCCCTTGCCAGCCTGGGAGCCTAGCACAGTGTCTGTCAAGCACGTAGTAGGTGCTCAGCAAATATCTGTGAAATGAATGAATCAAACAAGTCTATATCCTTGGTGTTTAGCACAAGACTTGGCGCAAAATATGTGCTCAACTGAAGTGTGTCAAAAAAAGTAATACATGATTACGTATTATGTATGATTATGAACCACGTTCTGTTATATGCCAGGCACCTCTATGACTTCATTTTATCCTCTCCAGACCAAGAAATAGACACCAATTTCTAGACTAGGAAAATGAGACCCAAGGAAGTTAAATAAGTTACCCAAGTTTCCCAGATTCCTGGGGAAGCCATTCAAAGCCAGGCCTCTGATTGCTAAACTGACACTCAAAACAACAACTGTAGACTCTACGAAGAAATGGATGAATGAATTTTTCCCTGTGTGACACAACTCAGTGATGACCTCCACAGCCGGCTGTGACTTATCCAGGTGTGAGGTAACTCTGGAGAATGAACCGTCACGTTGTCTTCAATCCCAGGGTGACGGCTCAGTCTCCAGCCTCTGTCTGGAACCTTCCATGGGATTGTATTTTGAACATATTACATTACATTTACAGATACATATAGTGGATATCCATAGATCTATATCTATATATAGATATAGATATCCAAAAGCTGCTGATGTTTGCATTTCTGCGTGCTTCCTCTCAGCTTACACACACGCACACGCACAAAGCACATATATATTATATATATGTTTGTGTATTATATTACTATATATCTGAACATTTGTCGTTTGAGGCCCATTCTAGCCCCAGATGTTTTTCTTCTATGTTTGTGTAAACCACACAGCCCCACCCAGAATCTGTCAAATATTTTCATTTCCTTTGCCTTGGTACAATCCGTGGGTTTAAAACTCAACCAACCTGTAGGCCAATTAAGCTACTTTGCATAACAGCTGCTTTTGGCAGTGATGGATGGTGCCTGGTTGAGCATCTTGCGAATCCCGAAAGGCTCCTACCTCTGTATTATCTGCATGCCTGAGACCTGCTCAGATTCCCCTCTTTGGCCCCCTCACCCCCACAGTTTCCCTGAAAAAAGGAGGGCTGTGCAGAGAACCTTTGCCTCTGTCTGGGACAGGCAGAATATGGATAGAGACACAGAGCACAGAGGTCAGACTCTTTCCCCACAAAGGAAAATAAAAATGTCCGGCGGTAGTGGCCTCCTGGTAGGCAGGGGGCCAGGGCAGGCGGTGGTGACTCATCAACACCAGGCGGCCTGACTCAAGGCAGAGCAAGAGAGTGTCTCCGGCTCCTGTAATGAGCTCCACACTTACTCATAGCTTTGCCAGGCTAAGCACGGAGACATCTGAGGGCAAGGGAGGCTCTATTTCTGATAGCTTGACCCCAAAGATGACGTAGGTTGTTGTCTATCACTTTCTTTAAAAAAATCACTCTGTTGTGGCCAGGCACAGTGGCTCACGTGTGTAATCCCAGCACTTTGGGAGGCCGAGGCGGACAGATCACCTGAGGTCAGGAGTTTGAGACCAGCCTGACCAACATGGAGAAACCCCGTCTCTACTAAAAATACAAAAATTAGCCGCGTTTGGTGGTGGGTGCCTGTAATCCCAGCTACTCAGGAGGCTGAGGCAGGAGAATTGCTTGAACCTGGGAGACAGACATTGTGGTAAGCCGAGATCATGCCACTGCACTCCAGCCTGGGCAACAAGAGTGAAAGTCCATCTCCAAAAAAAAAAAATCACTCTGTCGCTTCCCAGTTGCACACTCTATTCACTGGGGAGCCCTGCGTGAACAGAGCAGAGTTTTAAACACTGCTTTAAAAGCAGTGGCCAAGTAGCCCATATTTTCCCTACCTTAGCCACCTCAAATGCCTCTCCCCACCAGCAGCTACCTGAAATTCCCCATTAGGAGTTCACTTCATGAGACTGAACTTAGCCCTCTCCTGGGGTTGTTCTTTAAACTATACCCTCATGAGGAGTGAGATGAGATGGAGGGAAAGGGTGGTAGCAAAATAAAGGAGAGAGCTACTGCTGGCCCAAGCCAGACACGACAAAATCATCTTCTGGACACCCACCATCCCTAAATCTCATTTTCAGAGATACTGCAAGGGACAGAAAGAGGACGTGACCTCCTGAACATTCACAGAAAGGCTAGATTCAAATGCAGGTGTATGTGGCCCCAATATACTCTTTCCACATATCCCTGCTGACTCCCGAATGCTTTACGGTCCTACGAAAAGACTGCAAGACACCACACTGTGTCTGCATCGGGATTACAGATAAGAGTCCACTCAAGTGTCAAAGCTAATACGCTGGTAGGACCCAGAAAAATGTAATGCTTCAGGGAACACTGGTCTATTTCATGGAAATATTGAAATTTAGAATACACCACCCATCTTGCTAGCAAGGTGACCAAAAGCCCGCAGCAAAGGATGGCAGAGCAGAAGGAAAGAAAGAACGTGGGTCTCCTGATGGGATAGTGAGCTGCTGACTCCAGCCCTGGAACTCTCTTCTTCAGCGAGTCTTAATGCCTTATTTATCTGGGCCACTGTCAGCTGCACTTTTTTTTTCCTCTCTGTTGAAAACATCCTAATTGACTACCACCCATGGCAACTATGGCAAAGTACTAGAGTTCCACAGCTGCCTCTTGCATGTACTTCCAATCTGGGCTTTTCTGCTCCAGAACCTTCTGCTAAGGTTCAGAACTGCAACACTGAGAGGTTTCTTATCCACGGGATCCTGACTCCTTCCTGGACTTCAGACTAAACCAACCCTCTCCTCCTCCCCAACCCTTTTTTTTTTTCCAGACACGGTTTCGCTCTGTCACCCAGGCACCCAGCCTGGAGTGCAATGGTGCAATCAGGGCTCACAGCAACCTCGACCTCCCGGCCTCAGGCGATCCTTCCGAGTAGCTGTGACCACAGGGGTGTGCCACCATGCCTGGCTAATTTTTAAAAAAAAAAATAGTTATATAGATGGTTAGAAGTAATTTTGTCCAGGTTGGTCTCAAACTCCTGGGCTCAAACAATTTTCCTACCTCAGCCTCCCAAAGTGTGGAGATTACAGGCTTGAGCCACTCCATCTGAACCTCAACCTCTATTTCTTTGGGTGTCCGTCCTGTCAACTTGGCAAATGGCACCATTAGAGGGCTTGGAGTTGCCCTGGTTACCCACATCCCCTCAGATACCCAGTCTTGCCAGCCCTACCCTCCAATCTGGGAATTTATCCCCTGCACGTCCCATCCATCTTCCCAGTGCAAGCTTCAGGTTGCCTTGCCGGTATGGCTGTCCCAGGCTCCTCACTAATACCCTATCTCCAGCCCATCCTCTACCCTGGCCCAGGAAGAAAACACTTTCTAAACACAAAGCCTGCCATATCACCACATGCTTAAAACTTCTCCCATGAGTCTACATTTCCTGAAGATAAAATCCAAATGCCTCAGCCTGACATCCAAGACGTCTTGTTACCTGATTCCTACCCACTTCTCTCCAACCTTATCTGCAGCCATTCCTGGAGACACAACCTGTGTTCCCTTCAAAGAGACACACCCACACCACTGACTGTTCAGAGGCTGTCTTCCTACCACCCCCCCGCAACCTTCGGACGTACTCCTATCTCTGCTGAACTCCCCTTTCCTTGATTCTATAACTCCAGTCCATCCTTCAAGCTCAGTCCTGGGCTCCCAGAGGGTCAGCCTGCACGGAGTGCCTCCTCTGGCATCTCTTATCACACTATGCCTGTCAATCTGTTTACAAGACTGACCTCCACTTTTCCTCATTAGGCTGCAACTTCTGAGGACTGATGCTAGGTCTTTATTTTGTTTTATTTTTATTTATTTATTTATTTTTTGAGATGGAGTCTCGCTCTATCACCCAGGGTGGAGTGCAGTGGTGCAATCTCGGCTCACTGCAATCTCTGCCTCCTGGGTTCAAGCAATTCTCCTGCCTCAGCCTCCCAAGTAGCTACAGGCATGCACCATCACACCAAGCTAATTTCCGTACTTTTTATAGAGACAGGATTTTACCATGTTGGCCAGGCTGGTCCCGAACTCCTGGCTTCAGGTGATCTGCCCACCTCGGCCTCCCAAAATGCTGGGATGAACCAGTGTGTCCAGCCTTGGTGCTGAGTGTTTTACTGTTTTTGTCTTTAGCACCCAGAACAGTGACTGACCCATGGCAAGAGCTAGTAAATGCATATTGGATGGATGTGAGGGGCAGATAGTGTTAAGAAGGTCTGTGGTTTCCTCTGGCTTTTTATTTTCCTGCCTTGGCCTTCCCTGCTTGAAGTCAGTTGAGGCTGTTCCCTGTGACAGCAGAAAGGAGACAAAAATGAGTCTTCGTTGGCTTTTCAGCTTTGAAGATGAGTTTCTCAGGAGATTGGAAAAAAATCATGGCTTAGCCAAAAAATGCTGGAGGAGGACATCATGAGCAAAGGCTCTCCCTGGGGGCCTGTGGACCAAGAGAACATTCCCAGGCTGATGTGGAAAGGTTATCACAGCAGGAGTGCTGAGACTGTCAGTGTCCTCGAGAAACTGATCTTTGTGCTCTGCTCTCTCGGCCAGGTGTCAGGGCAAAGACAAAAGTCCCTAGAGGCATGGCCCATGAAATCTCACAGCAGAAAGGAAGAGGGGGTGCCTAGGGATGAGGGAAGCGCCAAAGGAAGTGGCCACATAGTACATCTAGGAGACTCGGGGCTTACCTGCCTCATGGATCCTATGAGAAACAAGAGATAGAACAGTGATGACTGTGAGCCCCAGAATGTCACAGAAGCACAGAGTCACCTGACTGGAGACAGGTTGCAGACGGGAGCAAGGGACAGCTCCATGGTGGCCTGCATTGACCC
Organism: Homo sapiens; assembly: GCF_000001405.40. Taxonomy (NCBI): domain Eukaryota; kingdom Metazoa; phylum Chordata; class Mammalia; order Primates; family Hominidae; genus Homo; species Homo sapiens. The sequence continues at coordinate 173,761,035 of NC_000005.10, read as the reverse complement.
ATGACCCAGAATGATAAATGCCAGGGACAGGTGGCATGGGAGAGCAGGTGGCCATCCTTCTATCACCTTTGTATAACACGCAGAAATGCAATCTCTGGGAAAAGGAGGGGCAGATCAGCTGAGACTGATTTGTTACCTACCTGGGCTGAGTGGAGGCTCAAAATAGGAACTGAACTCAATTATGATAGAGATATTTCTATCTACCCCACACCTGAGTTTATGGACTGAAAATTATACCTTCTACAAGCACAGGACTGAACTCAGATGATAAAAAACAACATGCCCCAAACACACACATATTCAGAGCTGGGGCCTGGCCTGAAATAAGGTCCATCTCTTTCCTCCATTCTGACTGCCGGGGCAGTGCAGCATGACATGCCAAGAATCCGTGAACTAGATCCAAAGCCTCTCTGGTTGAGGATGACAACTACAGCTGAAGGTCCAAACACAGTTAACCATACAAGGAACGAGAGTTGAACAGTCAGGGCCCAGACTTCTGTTTGAAGGCAACCTTTTGGGGCTACCCAGTACTGAGTAGGGCTTCAGGCACCCCTCCTTCCTGTGACTCAGAAGCAGGGTGTCCAAGAAAGTCTTCTTGGAAAAAATGAGTTTGGGGATGAACTTTGAAAATGAGTAGAACTATGAAGGGAGAGAGGGAAGAGTCACCAGGAAAACAGAACTACACAAGCAAAGGCCCCACGGGAGGAGGAGTTGGGCTTGCTCATGGAAGGAAACAGGCCCCATGTCTGGAGCCTGGGAGTGGAGGTGGGTGGATGAGGCAGGACCTCGCTTGGCACTTCCAAAAGCCAATTGGCACCTCCCTGCCCCGAGTGATCCCTTCTTCTGATGTTCATGCCCATGTGGAATCCCCTCACTTGAGTTTGGGCTGGACCTAGTGACTTGCTTCTGATGAATGGAATAAAATAGAGAAGGATGCCCCTTCTGGGGTTTCGTTATAAAAGACTTCCATCTTGCTCCCATTCTCTGTCTTCCGTTCTCACTAGCTCATTCTGATGAAGCAAGCTGCCACGCTGTGAGCTGCACTATGGAAAGGCCCATGCTGCATGGCACTGAGGAGGCTCCAGCCAGCAGCCGATGAGGAGCTGGATCCTGCCAGCCGCCACGTGAGTGAGCTGGGAAGCAGATCCAACCCCATATCAGCACTGAGATGGTCACAGCCCCACGGACAGCCTGCTTGCAGCCTTGTGAGGGACCTTGAGCCTGAGGACCCAGCTAAGCCACACCCAGCTTCTCAACCCAGAGAAACAGTGAGATGATAAACTGAGCTGGCTTTTAAGCCACTAAGTTTTGGGGTAATTTGTGACACCGTAATGGATAATTAGTACAGCCAGTAACATAGGCAGATATGAGACAGTGCAAAATATTTTAGATTTTAGTGGTTATCCTTTGGGTTTTAGAGTTCTCCAGGTAGGTTCTCAACCTGGTACCCACATGTAATCCATCTGAGCTTCTGGTTCTGAACCTTCCTGATGCGTAAAATCTATGTATCATCTGAAGTTGGATGAAAACCGATGTTGCTTTATTAACATCGAGGTGGTAGGTGGGCAATGGGAGGTTGAAAACGTCGGGGACTAACCTCAACTGACAACCTATTGGACTCTGGCCCTTGCAGGATATTTTGCTGAGCGTTCAAGTATCTCACTGATCCTTAAGGGTATCCATGAATCCTGAGATGTGCAGTTAAGTAACTCACCCAGGAATAGCCAGCCAGCCAGAGGTGTGGCCAGGACCTTCCTGCAGCTCTGCCTCTGAGACCACCTGTATGCCACAGGGTTCTGACCTTACTCTCACCAGTGGCCCTTTCCAGAAACAGCTGGTCCACTGAGTGAGGACTGACGGTGGAGAAGGCAGAAAACCTGAGATACTTTATTGTTCCTGGGGAAATATGCCCAGGAAACCTTTCCAGGGAAGTTGAAGAAGCTGCATGTTGGCTATGGCAGAGGTGACATTCTGCCATTGCTCTCTACTAACAGAACCCCTATTATTACTGGGAGCGTCTACCTGCCCCATAAATTTCCCAGCCCCTCTTGCCATAGAGGGTACCCAATAAGATGTAAGTTGAAGTCATTGGGAGAAGCTTCCGGTAAAGATTTTTTAAAGTGCTGACTCATCTGAGAGGTGCCTCCTCTTGCACTGCTTGCCCCTTCTTGGTGCCAGGAATGTGGACATAATGGCTGGAGCTGCAGTAGCGTTTCATGACCATGCAGTGACCTTGACAGAGGAAGCCACTCTCTAAGGGTAGCAGAGCACAAAGATAGAGCCTTGTCTTCTTGGAAGGGATGACTGAGGAGCCATCATTCTAGCCTTTGACTTTTTGCATCAGGATTTATTTTATATGAGAGAAAAGAAAGTAAACTCTTTTGTTGTTTAAGCCACTGTTATCTGGGTTTTCTGTTACAGGTATCTGGTACCAGCCCTGAGTGATATACTTGCATTCTTAGTAAGGTGTTTAAGCAGGATTTGGGGATTTCATTTTTAAATGGCCAGGATCCCAGACTCTCAGAAAAAAAGTTCCCCTTCTCCCTCTCTTAGTTAAATAATTATTAGAGTGCTCTCCAGAATACAGGGACACTGAAATTTCCTGAGCACCTGCTCAAGGAAAAACCATACCCCACGCACTGTGCTCAAGTTGTATTCTTTGTACTTGCCTCACAGTGAATTTGTGAGATGGGATCACCAACCCATTTTATGGACGAGGAAATGGAAGTTGGACAGACTATACCACTGTTCAGGGAGACACAGCTAGAATCTGAACCCAGACCTCTCTGACTCCATGGCCCAGACTTTCTCTGTCTCCTGGGTCTAGAACTCTGTGTTCCGGTTTGGGCAGAAGGTGGGGCCAGTTGGACCATTCAGAGGGCCCTGGCTCAGGGTGCCATCCCTACCCCCAGATCTTCCACCTGCAGCCACAGGCAGAAGTCTTCTCCACTGCAAGGTGATAAAGCAGACAGCCCAGCTGGCCGTCCTCTCCTCACTCGCTGCCATCCTATTTAGTGGCCATCTGGCTTTCATCTCTGTGATTCTCGGACTGTCCCTCCTCGAGGTCCCTCTTAAAGAGGCAGACACACTGGCTTCAGTAAAGGACCTCCACTCCCAAGCCAATGCATCCCCAGCCTTTACCAGGACAAGCCTAACAAAGAAAAGGCCACACAACAGGGGTTTCTGGTAGCAACACAAGTCTATTTCAAACCTCGGATTAGAGTATCCGAAAGAATTACCTGTTCCAAGCAAACACGTTCCCACCCTCTGGCAGAAATGCGGTTGGAGCAGCCTGACGCCACGGCAGACTCCAAATACTCTCCACTGAAGCTTGCTTTATCCTGTTTGAAACTCCTCTGTCTGTCCCCAGAGAGTCTGGAAATACACTCTTTCTAGGAGCTGATGGAAAATTAACCCACATTATGAGAGAGCTAGTTGATGCTGCATTGGGGACAGGAAGGTCCATTTGAAAGGGGGAAAAAACAACAACAAAAAAAAAACATGTTCTTTGTAACCAGGACAAGGCTAACCATGCCTCCTCTCTATTGGTCCAAATCTATGCCAGCCTCCCACTGGCATCTGCGGGTGTGCTGAGAGCAAGCTATGGATTTCTATAGAGATTGTCACCATGGTACTAGGTATCTTATTCTGTTATGTCAAGAGGAAAAATAATCAAAAGGTCAAAGGAAGAAAATCTGCCAGAGGGCTTTTCTGTCTACAAATATTTATTAATGCTTTGGTGTGTTCCCGGCATCACATTAGATGCTAGCAATAGCAAGATAGGCCCAGAGAACTCACCTGTATTGCAAATCCACCGTGCGGCTATAACACAAGCCTAGCCACTGTTTATCCGTGATCCCATTTCTCTCTCATGGCAGCATTGAAAGGGCAACAGCATAATCCCTATTTTCTCAATTGGGGGATAAAATGAAGTGTAAGTGACTGCCCAGGTGCATCTAGAATTTGGGATGAAGGGTGTGGTCTGGACCAGGCCATCTCACTTGGAAATAGACAGTATGTGCGGTGGGGATTTGGAATATAAATGAATGAAAGGTCTAAGATGTGAGACAAGGGAGCCCACAAGGGTGTTGAGCACCTGCACCTAGCCACAGGGAGACTCTCTTGCCTCCCATTGGCTTGAGAGGCAGGAAAGGAAACTGCATTACCAGAGTCAGGTGGGGGCTGCAGTGGAGGAAGGGGCCTGGGCTTGGAGCAGGTGAGGGTTGGGCAGAGAATGGACAGTGGGTGAGATGGGAAATCAGGAGTCGTCGGCACAGATACGCTTCCTGACCAAGCTTGGGTCATGGTCCCCACCCTGGTGTTGAAGGCCTGGGACAGGGGATGCACCCCTGTAGTCATTAATCAGTTATCACTGCACTAATTCTGGGAAACAACTACAAAACTCAGTGGCTTATGCTAACAAGCCTTTCTATTTCTTACTCATGAATCTGAGAAAAAGTTGTGTCCCTGCTGGGAGGGACTGGGCTTGACTCTAGACTAATGTTGGGTTTGGGTCTGTACCGTGTCCCTCTCATCCTGTATAGACCAGGACACATGTTTTTCTCACCGGATAATAGGGGCACAGAAGACCAAATCACACAAACACATTTAGAGCCTCTGCTCAGCTCGCAAACACTCATGTGCCACCGGTTCACAAGAGTCACATGGCCAAGCTCGACTTCAGTCCCTTGGAGAGACAAATTCTCCCCTTCAATGGAGAGATACTGAAAAGTCATGTGATGAAGGGCATGGATGTCTAATTCTCTTAAAGGGGAATGAAGAATCGAAAGCAATATTCCAATCTATTCTATTCCCCAAAGTAAATAAAATGTTAACCCCAAACAAGAAATAAACGTAGGTTGAAAACCACCAATGCCCACCACAATGGTTTTGCGTAATACCCACTCGGACAAGTTGAAGAAGTTTGGTGGCAGGGGGCGGGAGTGAAGATATTTTCACTGGATTCTTTCTTGTCCTTGGGTCAAGACATGAAAAGTGCTGGTCAGTGCGACCATAGAGACTGGGATGGGGCAGGTCTCTGATGGAGACTTCAGGAGTCTGAACACAACACTGTCCCATTTGTGACATTTATGAATGCCATGATGATGAAATTCAGAGAAATGATGAAGTTGGGGATCATACCCCAACTCTGGGTCCTGAAACATTTGGAACTCCAACATATTATGAATGTCACGTCTGAGAAACTGAATCCAAACTCACTATTTTCACAGTGGTTGTTATCGGTCCTGCCCATTGGGCTTCAAAACCTGACCACATGGGCAAAAAGATTGGGAGATTTTGCTTAGTTCTGTGATCCTAATTATAGCCCTTCTCTGAACCTCAGTTGACTCATTTGCAAAATGGGACTAATAAGACCTGCTTCAGAGACATATGGAGACAACTCAAAGCAACACTGTGTGTGAACTAAGCTTGGAACCCATGAGGTGCTCAATGCATGTTGGTGCCTAGGCACCCTCCCCTTTGAAGCACGCCCATAACTGGTGGTTCCAGAGGACTCAAAGATCATGTTTTGTAGGGTGTGCCCAACAGAAAAGCTGATGAAGCAAGCACTCACTATTGGAGATGGGAAGCCTGCTCATTCCCGCACTTTAGCCCTCATTGGAAGTGGCCCATTCGACTTCAGGCATACTGCTTAAAGGGACACTTTGACAAAGGGTAGCAGGTTCAGCAAGAGCCACAGGAGAAAAAAAAAAAGGAACTCAACATCCTTTCTAATAAAAAAAAGTTGGAAGAGCAGAGGAGCATTAGGAAAGACAGAAATATAATGCCAAATATTTGCCAGAGTGACTTCTATTTTGAGAATATAGAACACTATCAGATGCAAATGGCAGGCTGGGGATTTTAGCTCAAAGTAGGGAAGGAATTTGCACCCATAACAGTTGCCTGAGTTTAGAACACACGGCCTTATCATGGGGCTTGGGTCAGACATATCTAGTTCAAATCCTGCCCTAGCTCCTCACTCCTCAGACAGCCTTGGGGCAAACATGTCTACTTCTCTAGGCTTCAGTCCAGACCAGAGTTTTGATCACATTAAAAGCTAAGAAAGGGGCAACAGACGACAAAGATTCTTGGATTTGGCCTTCCAATCATTCCCCCAACCCCCAGAACCAGAGACAAGGCAGAAGCCATAGGAGGGGAAATACTGATCCTCCTGGTGCCAGAGGACACGGAACAATGGGAAGGTCATGGTTTATCGCCTGCACCTTGCAAGATGGCAGGTTCACAAGAGAGAGTGAAGGAGAAGGCAGCATTTGCCTGGTTCACGCCATCTCTCCAGGACCAAGCACAAGACCTGACATAATGGCAGCCCTTGATCAATATTGGAAAGCAAGAAAGAAGGCAGGAGGGAAGGGAAGGGAAGGGAAGGGGAGAGAAGGGGAGGGGATGGGAGGCATTCTATGTGCTAAGCCCTCCACTTTACAGAATCTAACCTTCCCAAGTACCTGGTAAATCAGGAATTATTATCCCTTATTTTCCCAATATGTGGAAATTGGGCTTAGCAATTTACCTTTTGCAATTTATGTGACCTTGCGATTTGCCTTTTGCAATTTATGTAACCTCTCTGTGCCTCAGTTTCCTCATCTGAAAAATAGGAGGGATAATAATAACATATTTTGGCTCATAGACTTGTCATGTGAGTGCCTTGTCTGAGACACGATGAACTCAGATTCAATTAAGTTATTATTATCACATTGCAAAAGGCAGCTTTGGGACTCAAGACCTGGTCTTTCTGATTGAAAGATTCTTTTTACCTTACCATGCACTTCTGCAAACAAACATTTAAAAGAGTCTACACTGTAATCAATGCCCAATATATAAATTAATTTCCATTTAGTTTCCTTCTCCCAAGTTGAGGCCTGAGCACAATTTTGATAAGCTACAGATTTATAAATTACTCAGAGCTGGATTTACTGGGGAAGGGTGGTGAAAATGTGGCACAGGGCAGAGGAGGAGAAGTAATTCCTATAAAGTAGTGTCAAAGCAATAAATGCAGATCGTGGGATTCATGGTGATGACAGCTCATCGGCTTCCATGAATATTTGATCAGGTTGGGTTGCAGGAGTGTGGCCTGGAATTTCCAGGCAGGCTGTGACTTGGGCTTATAAATAGTGAACATGCAGGAATGAAACGGACTCCCAAACCTGAGTATCCCTCCCACCAGAAATTTGTGCTGCGTCAACTGGGGGAAGGTGGTGGGTCAACTAGAGGGACCAAGGGGCGAGGAGGAAGAGGGGAGCTGCTAATCACCCACCATCACCCCACGCCTCTACCCTGCTCCCTCCAGTGCCCCCAAATGACCAGTGGTTCCCCTGGCACTGATCTGAGATGGCGCCATTAACAAGGGCCAGAAGCCATTTAGTCTGCGTTGGAATAGCTGGGATAGTGTGAGCCAATCTCCAAGCCCCAGGCTGTTTTCCAGCCCTCTCAGGAGCAGCTCAGGTTTCTGGCCCAGTGAATGGCGCAAGCTGGGGCCTCTCTAAGCAGATCCGGTTACGCTCCCGCACTGCCTGCCGAAGCCAGGGACACTCCGTTAGAGGAGATCAGACTCTGGCTTGTTGGTGACCCTGAAGTGAGGGCCTATCAGCCCTAACCATCTCCACTGCTGCATCCAGGCTTATGACTGTGACCTGAACCTTTGCTTAAGGGGGAGACCATGGACGCAGGAAAATTTGGTTTTCCAAATTTCCAAATCCTAGATCTGCCACTTTCTAGCTCAGGGACTTCAGCAATCCTTTAGCCTCTCTGAGTTTCAGTTTTCTCATCCTTAGTGTAGGGATAATATAAGTATCCAGCTTGTGCCTTTATCAGGAGATATAAGTGAGATGGGCCATGCAAAAATTATTTTGCTCAGTGCTTAGCTCATACTACGTGCTTCATAAATATTAGCTACTTTTATATTTTGTTATCATTGCTGCTGCTAAGAGTATGTTTCTAGGAAACAGAATTTTGTGCCACATTGGCCAAGGTAATCTTTTTTAGACTCAAATGGAAAAATGAGATCTTGTAGTGTCCAACTATTTCTTAGGGACAGACTGCAGCCCAGATAAGCAACTTCCTCCAGGTCACACAGTTAGCTGGGGGCAAAGCTGAGCCTGAAACCAGGCCATGTGAGCCACATTCTCCTCCTCCTCCTTGTTGTACACTATCCAGTGTACAAAATGTTTTCGCATTTATCTGTCTCCATCATGCCATGCCGCAGCAACACACATGCAGAACAAAGAGAACTGGGCCCGTGCAGCCTTGTCTGCCTCACTCACAGTGCATTCTGGGAAACTCCTCCAAGCCCTGGGAAGCCTTGTCAATTAGCATCCTTCTGGCAGGCTTTTTAACGTCCAAAGGAAATCAGCATAGTCAATCTCTTCAGGATTTTAGTTTGAACTTTAATTTCAGCCCCAAGCCTCAACAATATCTCTGTTCTTTGCTCCCTCCATTTCATTTTTTTTTTTTTAAGACAGGGTCTCAGTCTGTCTCCCAGGCTGGAGTGCAGGGGCGCAATCACAGCTCACTTCAGCCTCTGCCTTCTGGGCTCAAGTGATCCTCCCATCTCTGCTTCCCGAGTAGCAGGGACTACAGGTATGTGCCACAATGCTTGGCTAATTTTTGTATTTTTTGTGGAGACGGGGTTTCACCATGTTGCCCAGGCTGGTCTTGAACTCCTGAGCTCAAGTGATCCACTCGCCTTGGCTTCCCAAAGTGTTGGAATTACAGGCGTGAGCCACTGTGCCAGATCTTACTCCCTCCATTTCAAAGGAGAGCTGGAGAAATGAATCTATCCCTGGGTGTGTGTGTATCTGTGTCTGTGTCTGTGTGTGTATGTAAAAATTAAAGCAAATGCTCATGGCACAGGATGTTTCCCCTCCCAAGGAAGAGCAAAGGAAAACCTGGGCTGTAAAACTTGCGCTCTAGGCACCAACCTTGCTGCTACAATTTGGAAGTCACCTGTGTTGTTATGAATTTTAAAATAAACCTGAACTGAATTGTAATTCAGACAAAACAGTGTTTTGCCTAAAAACAAAACCCTAAAACTGTAAGCCACGAGACACACGGGGGGTCAGGGTCAGGATGCAGGAGACACAGACTTCAAACCCAGACAGACTTGATTTCAAGTCTCAGCTCTACCATGCACTGGCCATGAGGACTTGAAAATACCACTGAGCATCTCTGGGTCTCTGTCTTCTCATCTGTAAAATAGGGACAGTATCAACCACCTCATAGGCTCCTTGTCAGACATAAAATGAGAGGATGTATAGAAAGTACCTGATATAGGAAATGTGCAGTCAATAAGAGCTGTCATTAAGTGTGACTGTCACCATGGCATGACTTCCCCCAGTGACATTTCTGGCAGAATTCCTAGATGGTTCTGCTGTGGCGGGGAGGCCTGAGAAAGCACTGACCCCTTCTACCCATTTTTTCAAATGAGGAAACTGAGGTCCAGAGAGGTGATTTAGAAGGGAACTAGGAAAATTAAAAGCTGGAAACGTCATGGAAAGTCTGTTCTTGAGCTGTTTCAGGGCAGTCCTGCTGACTCAAGGGGCTAGGGAGGGACGGAGAGTGGAGTCAAATTTTTGAGACTTATTTACAAGACCAGGGCCCACAGCCTGGACCGCAGTGATGTCAGTGCCACAGCCAACTGCACCACCTGCTCCACCAGAGGATCGGGGGCAGAACCAGCCAGGGGGTGGTGGTCCCTTCTTCAAGGCTGTGGGTTGACTGGCTGGTCACCGCAAGGTGCCCTTAGGTCAGGTTTCTTGCATAAAATGGGGATAACGTCTCCCCCTCAGACTCATTGTAAAGACAAATGCTACATGGGATGAAAGGGTTGCTAACCTCATCTGTGTTCTGGGCTGGGCTGAGTGTTTCTCACACGGTCACTCATTTGGTTCCCCGGTCCCCCCCAGGAGGGAGGAACCTTCACTTCCCCTTATTGCACAGATATAGAAACTGAGGCTTGGAAGGTGTAACCCACTCAAGGTCACACAACTACTAAGTGGAAGGAAGAATGGGGTCTTGGCCTCTGCCTGTCAGGATGCAGATGTCTGTGATGCTGTTCTGGACATGCCCAGTGGGTCCTCCGTGAGTGGCCTCCACAACCAGCAGAGAGTCATAGAGCAAGGCAGGTAGAACAGCTAGCTCTGCTCCCCCGAGATGGAAAGGAAGGCCACCTCAAGGCAGCTTCTAGGACCTAGACTGTTTCAGTGACAGTAGATCATGCTCTCTAACACCTCTGCATGGGATGGGAGGGCTGGGGGAATGGAAGGGCAGGTTTCGTGCCTCCTGTGCTAGCTTGCTCCAGCTGCCACGACAAAATACCACAGTCTGGGATGCTTAAACCACAGACATCTATTGCCTCCTAGTTCCGGAGACTAGAAACCCAAGATCAAGATGTCAGCAGGGTTGGTTTCTCTTGAGGCCTCTCTCCTTGGTGTGCCGATGCCATCTTCATTCACTTGGTCTTCCCTCTGTGTGTGTCTGTGTCCTAATTTCCTCTTCTTGTAAGGACACCATTCATACCAGAGGAGGGCACACCCTAATGGCTCCATTTAACTTCTTACCCTCTTTCTTTCTGCCTGGGTGCCGTGGCTCGTGCCTGTAATCCCAGCACTTTGGGACACCAAGGTGGGTGGATTACTTGAGGCCAGGAGTTCAAGACAAGCCTGGCCAACATGGTGAAACCCCATTTCTACTAAAAATTACAAAAAAAAAAAAAAAATAGCTGGGTGTGGTGGTGCCCACCTGTAATCCCAGCTACTCAGGAGGCTGAGCATGAGAATCACTTGAACCTGGAAGGCAGAGGTTGCAGTGAGCTGAGATGGTGCCACTGCACTCCAGACTGAGTGACAGAGCGAGACTTTGTCTAAAAAAAAAAAAAATGCTCTCTGTAAATGTGGTCACATTTTGAGGTACTAGGGGTAGGACATCAACATATGAATTTGAGGCCAGGGGGACCCAGTTCAGCCATGACACCTCCCTTTACTGTGAGGGGTCAACGTGCCTTTCTGGGTCCACCCACTGTGGCCTATGGAATCTTTCACAGCCTCTCAGCAGCACAGTCCTCGGAGCCACAGCCTGGCCTCCTTGGGTCTCCGGCCAGAGAAGGCTCTGCTCAAGTGTCATCTCCTCAAAGAGGCCTTCACTGACCATCCTGTCTAAACAAGAGCTCCCCTCCCCTAGCCACACAAATTCTCTTCACAGCCTCTATCATCGCCTGGACTTGGGTGTGTTATTTGCTGGCTTACATATTATCCCTCTCCCTACTAAAATGTTAGCTCCCTGAAGACAGAAATTTTATTTTGTCCTAGCTGTACTCCCAGCATTGAAAAAGTCACCGGAGCCATGGGTTGGAGGGAAGGGGCGGGAAGCGGGGAGGGCTGAATAGGTGGATCACAGGGAATAGTGGCATCATGCATATCACGATGCCTTTGTGCAAAGCCATAGAATGTACAACACAAAAAGGGAACCGTAATGTAAACTAGAGGCTTTAGTTAATAAAAATGTATCAGTATTGGCTCATCAGTTGTAACAAATATAGCACACCCATGCAAGATGTTAATAACAGGTGGTAACGGGATTGGGGGGCTTTGGAAGTAGATGAGAACTCTGTATTTTCCACTCATTTTTCTATAAACCTCAAACTGCTAAAAAAAAAAATGAAGTCTACTAATTTCTTCTTTTTTTTTTTTTTGAGATGGAGTCTTGCTCTGTCACCCAGGCTGGAGTGCAGTGGCACAATCTCTGCTCACTGCAAGCTCCACCTCCCGGGTTCATGCCATTCTCCTGCCTCAGCCTCCCGAGTAGCTGGGACTACAGGCGCCCGCCATCATGCCCAGCTAATTTTTGTATTTTTAGTAGAGACAGGGTTTCACCGTGTTAGCCAGGATGGTCTCGATCTCCTGACCTGGTGATCCGCCCGCCTCAGCCTCCCAAAGTGCTGGGATTACAGGCGTGAGCCACCGTGCCCGGCCGAAGTCTACTAATTTCTTAAACAGCACGTAGTACATAGTAGGTACACAGTAAATATTTGCTGATGACTGAAGGATTCAAATCATCAGCCTCAATTTATGGAGGTTTATGCCATGCCCCACATGGTACTGCAAAAAACCCAAGTGAGGTACAAGGCATAGACCCTCCAAAGAGTGACAGAACTCACAGGAAAAAAACACAAGGTCAATGGCAATTAGGTCAATGATAATTAAAACACAAGGTCAGTGGTAAACACAATGTGAGTGGTGATTAATTCATTCTGAGGCTCCTGTAAATTGCCTGCAGGGAGGCTGTGCTACTGGCCACCTGCAGACAGTACCCCAGCCCCCACCTGAGGCTGTGGGAATGCCTTGTAGTCAACAAAGCGAGAGTGACCCCCAACCACTGAGGATTGCCTGGGTAGGGTATTCCATGGCGTGAGCCACATGACTTCTCAGAGGTCCCCAGCAGGCTGGAGCCCAGCTAGCCTTGGCAATTACCTGTCCATCACACACCATCCCATGGTTTTACTCTGTTCCCTGTGTCACTTCCCTAGTCTCTCACCAAGATGCCTGGGGTCACCTTCCAAATAAAAACCTTGCCCCAAATCATTGTCTCAGTGTCTGCTTCCTGAGGGACCTAAACTAAAACACTACCCACTGTAAAAGGCGGTACAGAGAAGGCTCTCCATAAGGGGTAATCACTGTTATCATGTTACTAATAGCAACAGTAATAACGAGCATCATAATGATGAAATAACTGAGACCCCAAGAGGGAGGGTCTCTTGCCCTAGTTCACTTCAGAAGGTAGATGGCATAGGGGTTTCTAATCTAGTCTGTCTGACTTCAACATCTGTGAGATCCCACACACCCACACACCTATGCACTCTGAGTTGAAATGCCTGCTGCAGATTCCCAGGGCTCCCAAGGAGCTGCTCTTGGGGGTTAGATGATAAGGATGGCTGGAGTAATCCCAGAGAGCTTCCTGGAGGAGTTGGCATGGAGTCTCAAGAGAAGAACACAGATTCTGGAGTCAGGCTCAGATTTGTGATTGGGTTCTATGTCCCTGAGCAAGTCACTTTAACTACTTGGAGCCTCAGTAATCCCATTGGAAATGGGAATAATGGGGCCCAGCTCACACAATTGTTATGAAGAGTAAATGTATTGGTGAAGAGAACAGGTTTTAGACTGAGAGAGCTCTGAGTTGGGATCCCGGTACTGTCACTGACAAGCTTAGAAAAGTCTTTTTTTTTTTTTTTTTTTTTTGAGATGGACTCTCACTCTCTCGCCCAGGCTGGAGCACAGCGGCACGATCTCGGCTCACTACAAGCTCTGCCTCCTGGGTTCACACCATTCTCCTGCCTCAGCCTCCCAAGAAGCTGGGACTACAGGCGCCCGCCACCACGCTGGGCTAATTTTTTGTATTTTTAGTAGAGACAAGGTTTCACCATGTTGACCAGGATGGTCTCAATCTCCTGACCTGGTGATCCGCCTGCCTCGGCCTCCCAAAGTGCTGGGATTACAGGCATTAGCCACCGCACCCCGCCTAGAAAATACTCTTAATCACTCTAAGCCAAAGTTCTTTCATTTGTAAAATGGAAATAATATTAGTTCCTACCAGTAGAATTATAGTGAGAATTAAATAAGATAGCACATGTAAATCCCTTAACATGGTGTATGAAATACAGTCAATGCTCACTAAATGTTTGGTACTTTTCATCAAGATGTTAGCGGCAATGGAGTAAATTGTACAAACTATTTTGGATATAATGTGGCACATCAAATTAAAACTGAACACACCTATGGCCCAGTGATTCCACTTTTAGGGGTTTATCCTATGGATATATCAAGATACATGTGTGAGAATGCTGACTGGAATACTGTTTGTAACAGCAAAACACTGGAAACAACTCAACTGCCTCAGTAGTGAGGGAACTGGTTACATCAATGGCAGCAATACCCACAAAGAAATGCCACGTAGTTGTCAAAGGAGAAATGCAGATTCATGAGTGGGATGTACAGAAAGATGTCCAAGGTATACTGATAAGTAAAAAGGCAAGTGATAAAAGAGGTGTATATATTAACCTGTCTCTTTAAAACTTTTTTTTTGAGACAAGCTCTCACTCTGTCACCCAGGCTGGAGTGCAGTAGCTCAGTCACAGTTCACTGCAACCTCCTCCTCCCAGGCTCAAGTCATCCTCCCAAGCAGCTGGGACTACAGGTGTCTACCACCACACTTTACTAGTTTTTTGTATTTTTAGTAGAGATAGGGTTTCACCATGTTGCTGAGGCGGGTCTCAAACTCCTGGGCTCAAAGAGATCCTGTAATCCCACAGTGCTGGGATTACAGGGGTGAGCCACTGAGCCTGGCCTTGTCTTTTTGTTGTCGTTGTTTGGTTTTGTTTTTTAAAGGCATACACATGTGCTTAGAAGTATTCTAAAAATATTCTCAAGGAAGTGTGAACCCAAAGTATCTGAGACAGTCTTAATCAGTTTAGAAAGTTTACTTTGCCAAGGTTAAGGACGCACCCATGACATAGCCTCAGGAGGTCCTGAGGCCAAAAATTGTTTGGCCCCAAGGTAGTTGAGATACAGCTTGCTTTTATATGTTTTAGGAAGACATGAAACATCAATCAATATGTGTAAGATGTACATTGGTTTGGTCCAGAAAGGTGGAGGGGGTGGTTTCCAGGTCATAGGTAGACAAGAGACAAATAGTCGCATTCTTTTGAGTCTTTAATCAGCCTTTCACTGAATACACAATTTACATGCGGTGGTGGGGGGCGGGGGCGTAGAAGAATAGTCACTTATGCCTTAGTCTGGCTCAGTGAATCAGCATTTTTACATAAACAATAGGGCAGAGGAAGCAATCGGATAGGCATTTGCTTCAGGTGAGCAGAGGGATGACTTTCTGTCCCACATCTGTGAAGATCAGCTGTTGGTTTACATTGCCAGGGTGAAATTCAACAGAACTAATTTAGGGTGAAGATCTTGAGGCCCACAAGGAATTTCCTTGTGGGAAAATTGTGAGGAAGGTAAGTAGCTTTTAAAAATCTTTGTAGCTATCTTCTTCAGGAAGGAAATGGGTGGTGGGTTTGCCCAACATGGTTTCCAGCTTGACTTTTCCCTTTGGCCTAGTGATTTTGGGGTCCCAAGATTTATTTCCCTTTCACAAAATGATTAACAGTGATTATTCTAGAGCAGTGGTTTTGCAGGGGCGATTTTTGCCTCCTACGGGACATTTGGCAATGTCTGGAGTCATTTTCTTGGTTGTCACGGGGCGGGGAGGGGGGTGCCACTGGCATTGAGTGGCTAGAGGCCAGGAATGCTTCTAAACATTCTACAGTGCACAGGTCAGCCCACGACAAAAAAAAGAAAAAAGTTTGGCCCAAGATGTCAATAGTGCTGAGGCTGAGGAATCGCTGAGAGGTTTAAGAGGTTGAGCGCTCTCAAATGTGGGGAAGAAGACTTATTTTTCATATAATGCTTCTCTGATGCTTGCATTACATTAATAGCAACAGCTACAAAATCTGCCCACTCTTAGCTATGAGCTAATGCGTGTAAGATGCCAGCATATAGTAGGTGCTCACAAGGTGTTCCTTTCTTGCTGCGCTCTGGCTTTCACATCTGCAGAAATGGGTGTGCCAACACCTGCTCTGGGGGTGGCTGCAAGGCTCATTTTAGGCTACAGTTCAGGCCCTGACCACCTGGCTCTGGGTGCAGCTGTTAAAAGCGTCACCAACCTGCCCGGGGGCAGCTTCCCATATCCCTTCCTCTGCCACTGGTTATTCTGCTGAAGTTCAAGGGCCCCCAGCTGCTTCTCAAAGCAGGAACACTTCTGCAAAACACATCCTGAATTTGAATAGCCATGTTGCTGTGTCTCTGACAGACAGGGCTGCCAGATAAAATTCAGGACATCCAGTTAAATGTCTCATGCAATATTTGGTATATACTTATACTAAAGAATTATTCATTATCTGGAATTCAAATTAAATTGAATCCATATGTATATAGCTGTTGTTGTTGCTGTTTTAATCTGGCAGCTCTACTGTCCAAGCAAGGTAGAGATGAACTGTGTGCTCTTTTCCAAGGAGCTAATCTCATCAGATAGAGATTTTGCTTTTGTTCCATCAAAAGTCTTGCTCACTTACCAAGGGAGCTTGGATCCTGCTGGGAGACTAAGATGGTCACTGCCTCTGACAATTTCGTAAAAATCTCAGGCTCCTGGGGCTTATTCAGGCAAGTTGGGAGGGACGTTTCTGAAACACGTTTGGCCCGGTCATTACGGAGGAGGAGGGATTGAGAGCAGAAAGCAGAAGCGAATGGAATTCAGGCCTCAGGATGCCTCCCCGGCATAGGCCCCATCAGAAGCCCTATTGTATGTTTGTAAGTTCAGAGGCTCCTTCTTAAAGAGGCGCTACACACTGTATGAGCCCCAGGGTCCACCAAGTCTGGGGTCTGGTCCTGGCTGAGAGGGCAGTGCACTGAAGCTGTTTATCCAGTACCTGCTACGTGCCCAGCCATGAGCACACTCCTGGGCCAGCATCCTGGGCTAGGGCTCACTGTGGGTATTCTACAAAGGGGGAAACCAAGGCTCGGAGTGGTGGAGTAACTCCCCCAATGCCACCCAGCTGGGAAGTGGCAGAAAAAAAAAAAAAAAGGATTTGAACCTGGGTTGAGTTTCCTCTTTGCTGGGAACAGCACCTCAGGGCCCTGGTTCCTTGGGGCCGGTTGAAAGGAGAGAGTTGCCTCCCTGAGGGTCTCTGCTGGGTGTAAGCACTGCAGGAAGGGGCTGTCTCCTTAGGGGAAGTTAGGGCCCTAGCCAGGGCCAGAGCAGGAGTAGGTTCTGGGAGGACAACTGAAAGTTTCAGAATTATGCTCAACATCTAAAAATATCAAGCACCGATTTCATGGCAGGCAAAGTTGCTAAGAGACTTCACAAGCATCATCTCATTTAACCTCCCGGCAACCTTGTGACAGTTTGATCATGTGCTGCGTTTTGCAGATGAGAGAACTGAGGCCCAAAGAAATGCTGCATGTACCCAAAAGCACCCGGTGGGTAAGGAGAACAAGGATTTGAAGCCAGGCCTTCTGAGAGAGGGGAGGCAGGAGAGAGGCAGCACTGGACTCCCACGCGGGGCAGTTCGGGGACTGTTGGATTAGTCTCCTGTTACTGCTGTAAAAGATTACTATAAGCTTAGTGGCTGAAAACAACACAAATTTATTACCTTCCAGTTCTGAAGGTCAGAAGTCCAAAATAGGTCTCACTGGGCTAAAACCAGTGTGTCAGCAGGATTGCATTCCTCCTGGAGGCTTTAGGGGAGAAGCCATAGCTTTGTTTTTCCCAGTTTCTAGAAGCCACCTATATACCCTGGTTCACGACCCTTCCCTCCACTCCAAAGCCAGCAGCATAACATCTTCCAGACTCTCTCTGACTCACTTTCGGCCTCCCGTCTCCATTTTTTAAGGACCCTAGCGATTACCCTGGGCTCAGCCAAATAATGCAGAATAATCTCTCCATCATGAGATCCTTGACTTCATATCTTAAAGTCTCTTTTGCTATGTAAGGCAACATAGTCACAGATTGTGTGGATTGGGACATGGATGGCTTTGGAGGGGCCATTGTTCTGGCTATCACAGTGCTGCCTTGGCCTTCGTTGGGCTTTGCCTCTGTTCTGGGAGTGAGGGGTGAAGTCATAGAGCTGGAGGAGGGGGTAGGAATGGGGCTGGGCTGGTGGTTGAAGAGCGGCAGTGAAACAATGATCCTTGATGTGGGACCACGGGCATGGGGGTCACAGGATGGCCTCCCTGAGACGTCTCCAGCCAAGAATCTGAGGAGAACACTCTGGGCACTGCCATATTCCAAGGGGCATGGAACCATGCCAGGGGCCACATGGCTGGGCTCAGCACCTCTCAGAACTGTCGCCCAGGTCTGCATCATTGGGTGGGACTAGGGAGGGACTCAGACAGAAGGACATGTGGAGTGGCCCAGCGGTTCACAGCCAGTTATGCTAGAATAGTATAACCCTTTCACCCAGAAGTTCTATTCCTATGAGTTTATCCTGCAAATAGATCTACCCCTGCATGAAGTGATATATGCAAACTTAATTACAAGATTATTTATAAATTAGAAATAACCTAACTGTCCATCAGTAGGGGACTATCCTGGTGGTACAATCATAGAGTGGAGTTCTACGTTGTCATCAAGAAGGCTCTTTACATATCACCATGAAAAAAATCTCAGAGAAAAATACGGATCAGGATACTATGTTGAGCATGCTACAATTAGTGCAAAACTGGACAAAAGGAAGAATGTATTATATATAAAATTTATATTTGCATAAAACATCACTGCAAGATGACGCATGAAACTGAAAGCATTGGCTGCCTTGAGGGAGGAGGAGGAGTGTGTGCCTGAGAGACAGGGTGGAAGGGAGGTTTGTCATGATTGACTCGTTTCACTTTTCAAATGTGGAACAATATGAGTATGTTCCCTACTAATAAATGAATGGTTAAAGTGTTTTAAAGAATCCTTTGAAATCATATGTTCAAAGAAATACTCAATTGTCTAAGTTGGAAGAAACTGTGAGCCAAGCTACCCCTGAGTGATGGTCTTGAGCATGAGTTCTGCCCGTGACCCTCTTTAAGAGCCAGGGAATTTTTCCTTTTTTTAATTTTTTTTATTTTTTTTGAGACATGGTCTTGCTCTGTTGCCCAATGGAGCAAGCTCTGTTGCAGTGGAGTGGTGCAATCACAGCTCACTGCATCCTTGACCTCCTGGGCTCAAGCCATCCTCCCACCTCAGCTTCCTGAGTAGTTGGGACCACAGGCACGGGGCACCACACCTGGCTAATTAAGGGCCAGGGAATCTTGTTGCCCAACATAGTCACTTCCCTCCCACCATTCCCCACTCCTACACCCAGGGCCAGACAGCTGAGCATGTGGCGGTGCCCCGGTTCACCTTGTTAGTATTCCTCCAGACTTTGGCACACAATGATCCATCTATCTGGGGTACCCTCCCACCTGCTTCTTGCACTGCTTTCAGCAATGGCCATGCTCTCCTTGTCTGCCTGAGCACGCAGCTGAATTGCATCTTCTAGGCTCCCTTGCAGTTAGGTGTGGTCAAAAGTTAGGGCTTTTAGGAGGTCACTGAGGTTAAATAAGGTCATAAGGGTGGGGCTTTAATGCAGTACAAGTTGTGGCTTTATAAGAAGAGGAAGATCTCCCTCTCCCTCTCCCTCTCCCCTTCTCCCTCCCCCTCCTCCTCCTCCTCCCCTTCCTCCTCCTCCTCCCCCTCTCCCCCTCTCCCCCTGTCCCCCTATCCCCCTGTCCCCCTGTCCCCCTGTCCCCCTGTCCCCCTGTCTCCCTGTCTCCCTCTCCCTCCCTCTCTCTCAGCATTATTTTTATTTTCATTACCATCATCATGTTTATTGGCTTAGTATATATTTTTTGGCCACCCAACATCCCTCCTGTTCCTTCCCTTTCCCCAGGAGAAGCTGATCCAGGTATCCATTCTCTCTTCCTCCATGCTGCCCTGGGCCCTGGGGAAGCTGATTTTTCCACCTTAGCTCAAGCAGTGCCTTCGGTTAGTCAAGGGTCCTTCCCACCCCTGCAGCAGTGATTGGGTCTGTCTCCTTGTTGCCTCTTCCTGGTTCCTCCTCATTCCCTGACTCTGCAGGTCGCAGAGTCTGGCAGTGCTCAGTCTCTGACCTCTTTGCTTCTGTAGCTGTATTCTCTCCCCAGGCCGTCACTGCCAGATCCTTCGATTTAAATCCCATCCTTATCAGAGGTTCTCAACTCTGGCTGTACGATGGAACCACTTGGTGAGCTTGTAAAATTCTCAGTGCCCCACTGCACCCCACCGGTTCTATCAGACTCTGAGGACTCAAGCATCCACAGTTTTGAAAGCTCCCCCGTGAATCCACAGAAGCCAGGCTTGGGAAGTGCCGCTGGAGGCAGGGGCAGAAGACCTGGAGGTCAGGAGGACCTCGGTTTGGGTAGCGGCAGTGGATGTGTGAGCAGCCGTGCTTTCTGGGTATGTTTGAAGGTAGGGTGAGCATGGTCTTCTAAAGAATCAGATGTCAGGTGTTAAAGCAACAGAGGAACCGAGGATAACACTAAGGTTTTGGCCTGAGGAACTGGACAGAGGACACCACAGGAAGAGCAGGCTTGGGGAGGGGTCAGAAATCAGATTGAGGTTCAGTTAATTTGGAGACGATTATGATGATGATTTGACATCCAAATGGAGACCCTAAGTTGGAAGCCGACATCAAAATATGGACATCAAGGGAGAGTCACGAGTCGAGAGTCAGAGATAAGGATTTGGGAGTCCTCGGCACACAGACCCACGCCTCTCAACCTCATCTGCACATAGACTCTCCTGTGTCTTTTAAAAATCCTGATTCCCAGGCCCTATCCCTGACTGATGACATCAGAACCTCTGTGGGTGGGCCCCGGGCATCTGTATTTTCTAAAAGCTCTCCAGGTGATTCCACTGCGCAGCCAAGATTAAACACCTCTGTTTTAAAGCCTAAATGAGATTGGGACATTTCTCCATTCAAAATCCTCCATGGGCCTCCTATCTAAGTCGAAGTAGAGGCCGGGTGTGGTGGTTCACACCTGTAATCCCAGCACTTTGGGGGGCCAAGACGGACAGGTCACCTGAGGTCAGGAGTTTGAGACCAGCCTGGCCAACATGGTGAAACCCTGTCTCTACTAAAAATACAAAAATTAGCCGGGCAGGTAGCAGGCACCTGTAATCCCAGCTACTCAGGATGCTGAGGCACGAGAATCACTTGAACCTGGGAGGTGGAGGTTGCAGTGAGCTGAGACGGTGCTACTGCACTCCAGCCGGGGCGACAAGAGCAAAACTCCGTCTCAAAAAACAAAACAACTACAATAAACAAAGTAGAAGCCAGAATCCTCACCACAGACCTCAAGGGCCATAGCTCCTGCCCCCACTTACTCCCTGACCCGGCCTCAAGGGCCATAGCTCCTGCCCCCACTTACCTCCCTGACCCCTCTCCTACAGTATCCCCCTCCCTCATTCTGCTTTAGTCATCTGGCTTCCTTGTTGTTTGTGAAACATACCAAGCATACTTCTGCCTCAGGGCCTTTGCACTGCTGTTGCCACTGCCTGGAATGCCCTTCCCCTCGATGCCCTCATGACTGACTCCCTCACCTCCCTCGGTCTCTGCTTAGACCACTCTAGTTAACATGGCTACTTCCCCAACGTGCACTCGCCTTCTCCCTTCCCTGCTGTATTTTTCTCCCTAGCACTGATCACATCTAACAGTATTGCATATTTTACTCATTTGTTTTTTGTCTGTATCCTCCTGCTAGTTCTAATATGTCAATTTTTAGAACTTTCTTCTATTTTGTTCATAGCTATGCTGCCTATAGCAGGTACTTAATAAATATTTGTTGAAAGGAGAAATATGTTAACCCAGTCCTTGCCAATAAGAACCACAAGGGCTGACTTAGGAATGGGCACGAGACCCAATTTAGGCAACGGAGATGCAAGGGAGGCTGACTGGAGACTTCTAGGAAAGCCTGGAAGAGACGGTGTGTAGATGTGTAGCTGCAATGCCACAACCACTGCTGCCTTGTGGGGTGAGGGATTCGGGTCGGGGTCAGTGCTGGCGGCACCCCAGCAGGGTGGAACTGAAGGAGAGGGGACACCAGACTCGGCCAGTCCCCAGCTTACCACTTCTTTGTTGTTTATGCCAATCAGAGACTTTTTGCTTTTGTTTCTGTTTGTTTTCATTTTTAAGATTGTCTGGGAGGTGGTTGTAGCATTTTTTTTTTTTGAGACAGAGTCTTGCTCTGTCACCAAGATGGAGTGCAGTGGCGCAATCTCGGCTCACTGAACCTCCGCCTCCTGGGTTCAAGTGATTCTCCTGCCTCAGCCTCCCAAGTAGCTGGGACTACAGGCGCATGCAGCTAATGTGTGTGTGTGTGTGTTTGTGTTTTGTAGTTTTAGTAGAGACGGAATTTCACCAGGTTGGCCAGGATGGTCTCGATCTCTTGACCTCGTGATCCGCCCACCTCGGCCTCCCAAAGTGCTGGGATTACAGGCGTGAGCCAGCATGCCCGGCCAGTCATAGCCCTTTTAAACAAATTAAAACTCTCCAAGTATGACCTGACTTTTTCTCCGGACACAAAAAGGATTCCTTTCTGAGGGCAGCACTCCCTTTAGGGCTGCAGCTCTGGAAGCCAAAGCATCAAGGAGTGAGTCCCAGTTTTGCCATCAACTTGCAAGTCTGCTTCCCAAGGGAGGCCTCAGTTTCCCCGTTCTTGAAGGAGAAAAGCCTGAATGTCTCCTCCCAACTGGGAGAGTCTATGATGATCCCTGATGTTTTGGGATTCTGTTCCTTATTTCAGCTTCACACTGCTCACAGAGTAGGCAACAGGACCATGCTTGCCAAATGAACTATCTGACCAAGAAAACCAAATCAAAGTGGTCCCACCCTTCTCTCCAGCACACCATGACGGGATGTAGCTATAGCTCAGCGTAGGGTGGCAATGCAGGAGCAGTAAAGGGAGGTGTTGGAGGGGTCTCAACTGAAGAAGACACTGGATGGCCTGAGAGGGAGGTTGAAGGTGGCATCGCTTTTCATGTGAGTTCATTGCTCACTTAACAAGCACCTACCAGGTGCCCGCTGTGGTGGGCCAGCACCCTCAGCAGGTGCTGGAGCCATGGGCTCTGATGTTAGTGTTGAGTCCTTATGGAGTGCCAGCACTTTCTATGCATTGTCTCACTCCCTCTTCACAATATCCCCATGGGGTAGCTACCGATATAGTCTGTTTGGTACTAAGGAAATTGGGGCCCAGAGAGGGTAAGAAAAGTGCTCTGTCTACTGAGTGAGAAAGTGTCACAGCTGAGATTTGAACCCAGGTCATCAACTCCTGACTCCCGAGCCATGCTCTTAACTACTTCCCAATGGCTCCTGCTACAGGAATTTGACCCTGTCCATTCACTGGACATAGGCATGCCCAGTTTCTGGACATCGACTCTGGCCCTGTGCTGGCAACTGAGGGTACAGCCAAAAATTGGACCCTCCAGAGCCCATGGAGGGGCTCCAAGGTCTCAGCACAAGACCCAGCTGTCGAGATGCACGTGAGAAAACCCATAGCCTATTGGCCTGGTACCACACACAGAGGCCTGTTCCCACTTAGGTTCAGAGAGTTTGGCCCACTCATCCATCCATCCGTCCATCCATCCATCCATCCACTTACTTATTCATAGCTCACTCATTCACTTAACAAACATTCACTCAACCCCTGTGGCCCACTCTGTACTAGGCTCTGTGCTAAGACTTGGGGATAAACCTAACTAAGAGAGACCGGGTCATTGACTCACAACTGAGGGTATAAAGGAGAGTCAGGCAGTAAACACAGAAGAAGATGAGATGGTTCAGGGTGGGGTGAGTGCTGGGAGGTCAATAAAATCAGGCGGAGAAGTAGAGAGTGACTGAAGAGAGACCAGGAATGAGAGAGGCAATTTAGGTGGGGTGGTTAAAGGAGGTCCCTAAGGAGATGACTTACAATGTGGCCAGAATGAGGAGAAAGGGCCAGCCCAGGGGAGAAGCGAGCACAAAGCCTGCACGGTTCAGAAGAATTGGAGTGTGCTAGGAGGTGATAGAAGGCCTCTTTGGACTGGGAGCAAGTGGCCTCTGTGATGCTGGGGTGTGGTCAGGTCCAGACCTGCACACCCTGTATCTACAACTGATGCTCACTCCAGCAGCCAGTGCCTGGCTCCTTCCGCAGGGGCCTCTCTTGGAAACATTCCAGCTCATAGCCGTGACTGTGGTTGAGGCCCTTCCTTCTCCAGGGTGGGGCTGGCAGGTGTCACCAGTCTCTGCCGTCATGGGTCAAGGAGTGGGGCCTTCCTGAAAGGGCGTCAGCCGTGACTGACCTTAGCTTGGCCTCTACATTCTTCAGACCGTGGGTTTCTTCCCCCAGCCCCAGGGGTGGGGGCTTTCTGAAGCCTTCTGTGCTGCAGCAGAGAGAGGCTAAGAGACTGGCCTGAGGTCGCTCAGCAGGTCCGGGGGACAGATGGGTCTAGAATTCCTCCTTTTTTGTCTCCAGTTTCTTTCCATGATCCTCCATCCTAGGTGGTCTCTCTCTAGGCAGAATATAGCCTTCCTTATTCCTGAACGTTTAACCCAGCCTGGGCTTGAATAAAGCAATATGTGGGGAAAAGGGCACAGTTTCCTTGGACCTGTGCTTTTCTTATATCAGTGTTTAATGTTCCCTATAATCATCCATTTGTCCATTTATTTGTTTCCAGCAGTCATATATTCATTCAACTCAAGAATCACAAAACATCCACGCTGTGAATTACCAGGAAGAACAAGTAGAGGCCTTATCTTTCATGATCTCACAGCCTAGCCAAGGGCTCAGGGTACATCAAGGATTGCCGGTGCAGGGTGTGGGGGCAGGGCGGAGGGCAGTGGGAACAGTTACAATAGTTACCATGCAATGACTGGATTGCATCAAAAGCAAAAGCAAATTATGTTGGAGTACAGATGACAAAGTAACCAGCTGCTCGGGTAGTCAGGGAAGGCTTCACAGAGGAAGGGACATTTGAGCTGGGTCTTGGAGAATCAATAGGAGTTTGCTAAACAAATCATTCAGGATATTGATATTCTGGGTAGAGGGACCTGCATGGGCAAAAGCACAGCCAAATGCTGGAAAGGAAACAGGATGGAACCCGGCTAAAGAAGGTAACAGCTGGGCTGGGCGCGGTGGCTCACGCCTGTAATCCCAACACTTTGGGAGGCCGAGGCGGGCGGATCATGAGGTCAGGAGATCGAGACCACGGTGAAACCCCGTCTCTACTAAAAATACAAAAAATTAGCTGGGCGCAGTGGCGGGCGCCTGTAGTCCCAGCTACTCGGGAGGCTGAGGCAGGAGAATGGCGTGAACCCGGAAGGCGGAGCTTGCAGTGAGCGGAGATCGCACCACAGCACTCCCACCTGGGCGACAGAACGAGACTCCGTCTCAAAAAAAAAAAAAAAAAGAAGATAACAGCTATCATGTATTATTTGGAGTGATTAGTGTATCCAAGTGTTTTGCATCTACTTAATCATCATAACAAGCTTCTGAAGTGTCATTTGCGCCATTTTTACAGGTAGAGAATTTGAGGCCCAGAACAGGGAAGTCACTTGTCAAAGGTCACACAGCTAGTAAGAGGCAAAGCCAGGATTCAGGCCAGGTCTGCCTGACACTTGTATCCTTCACTCCTCCCTCTCAGGCTGAGATGTCAGGGTGAGGACAGTTATGTCAGGAAACCCCAAGAAGACCTAACTTGTTTCAGAATCTGCAGTGCAGTGGCCTGGCAGCCTAGCAGAAGACGCTGCAGAGTTCTCTTTCTGGATCCCTTCCTTGCCCTCCCTGCCGGGACTAAGTCTGTGTTCTGTCACCTGCCTCTCCATCCATCCATGTCCTGCAGGTCTTGTCTCAGCTGACCCCAAGTGAAAGAGGGTCACAGGAAGAACAGACATCACCTCATTTCCAAGGATGGCTCTGTGCACGGAGATGAGGTCTCGCCAGCAAATAAAGGGGCCTCTGCAGAGGCAGAAGAGCCAGGGGTGCTGACAGGCACATTCTCCAAAGCCAAGCGACAGTCTAATTACAGGCCGGCTCTGTAATGAGAAGCGCAGGCTGGTTGGGGCAATCCGGCACGGCTCATGGCTCACGGCTCTGAGGCAAAGAGGGGCAGTCAGCATCCAGGCCGGCAGGAGGGCCCTGGGGAGAGACCACCAGCTCAGCTGTCTCCAGACCACACACGTGCTGACTCTGGAGAGGGTGAAGGGGAGATGAGAGAGAACCAGGCTGAATACTGGTCGTGGACCAGGTGCTAAGCTGGGACTTTTACCTCCATCTCTCATGTAATCCCCCAACAGCCAGGAGAAACAGGTGTAATTTGCTGTTTCGTAGAGGAGAAAATGGAGGCTCCCAGAAGTGAAGCAAATTTCTCAAAGCTCATGCACCTGAGAATGGTGACGTGGGCTTCCGACTAAGGTGTGAGGGAAACTAAAAGCCTGTTTTCTTCCCGGGGGAAATAAAGGAAGAGGCGGTTCCATTCTGGAGCTGAGAGAGACCATGAGGAACAGGAAGAAACAGGCTTGGCTGTGGCCCAACCAGGTGCGCGCCCCCACCACCAAAAAAAATATGTGAGTGAGACAGGAACGTGAGGCATCATTTTGGATATTAAAGCACAGAGTGACATCAGAAACCTGAGTAACCTGGGAACATCAGGGGTACAAATTTGGGCTCCTGACTTTACCTTTCTTTCTTTGCGCACCTTTGCGTTTCTTTGGGGTATAAATCCCTAGGGAAGTGAACCGCCTCTAGGCCCCCATGCCAGGCTATGTCTCAGATCACCTCCCTCTGACAATCCTCGGAAAACTTCTCCCCCACACACCTGCCTCCCCAGAACATCCAGGTGGTTCTTTGGGAAGAGAGCCATGCTTTTTCAGCTGGGCCTCGGGTCCTTATTTGGAAGGGATTGCGGTGGGCAGGGGCTTGGATGCAGCTGTGTGGGCCGAGGAGCTATGACAAAAGTCCTTGAGCAACTGCTGGGGCCCTCATGGCACAGAAAAAGCTGCCACCACAGCAGGGTAAGCATTCTCAGCCCCTCTCAGCGTCACCTGCTTCTCTTCTGATTCACCTCGGGGCCTGCCCGGGTGTGTGGATGCAGCTGCCTCTTCCGCGCTCATGTCACGACCTCCACTCCAAGCTCTGGCTGGAATCTGGGTCTCCCCACCCTGTGGGACCCCTCGTATCATGTTTTGGCCGTGCTTGGGAACTCAGGAGGGGGTTTCCTGCTTGCAAAATGCCCACGCATAACAGGACAGCCCTGTGTCTGATACAGCTGAGCAAAGTCTGGGACACGACAGAACAGGTGTCACATCCTGGCTTTGCCACCAGAGCCTCAGTTTATGTAAATTGGGGAAGATCTCCACCCTCACACTTGTTCACAGCAGAGCTGTGGAGCCGTGTAAGACCTCAGGCCCTGCCGTGATGCTTCTTCCCTCCCAAGCCCGGCTCCGGCGCCTGCCAGCAGTGCCGCCTTGGCACCACCTTCTTGGCCCTCGCCAAGCCTCAGCTTCCTCATTTATGAAGTGGGCATAGTGGTCCTATCTATTTCACAGGATGCTGGTAAAGATCAAACGAGCTGATCCAAGTGTCCCCTGAAGTGCTACACCAGCCATTTAGCAACCTCGCCATGCGCCACCTGCATGCAGCCTGGAGTGGCAAAGGCCCTGAAGACGCTGAAGCTGTTGACCTTTTCCTCTTTTTCAGGAACATGGTCCCTGGGAGTCATTTTCTTTCATCATCCACAAATAAGAAAAGACGTTGTTACATTAGCTCCAAGATAGCTCTTTCCACAATGGGAAATTTCTGCTGACAGTCACTAAGGAAACACAGGCCCACCGGGTGGGGCTCTCGGCCAGCATCTTGAAGGCGGGTACAGGAAGCAACTCACTAGTGACTTTGAGTGTCACCTAGCAGGTCACCACTGCCTCAGGAGTGGCTGGCAAGGGCAGCGCAGGCCTCCACCTCCACGGAGGGGGCTCCATCCATTGTACCAGCAGGTTGGCTGCAGGATGGCACCCCTGGGAAAACAGGGTAGTCTTGAGGGCCAGGAGAAGGTTGGCATTAGAGGAGACTGGGATGGGCCCCAGATATTTTGTTCTCAGAGGCTCCGACTCCATCTGGTCAGCTCCATGGCCACTCTTGCCTCACTGTGGAGGCAGAAGCAGCTGGCATTGCCATGGTAACCAGGCAGCACCAACTTCCAACTCACCTCTGAATTTTCTATGACAACGAACATGTTTGCAAAGTGAGAGCCATGAGCAGAAAATTATGCCAGGGAGCTGTGGGGAGCTGATAAGGAAGGGTGGTCAAATTTCCTACCTCCTTGATTAACGAAGAATGCAGAAAAAAGGCACAGGACTACCCCAAATTCAGGCCTGAAAGAAACGTTAGCTACACTTCCCCGTGTTGGGTTAGAGAGTACAGTAACTACTGTTCCCTTTACACATAAATGCTATAAGCAACTGTGACCTCTCAGGCTCTGGTGCAGATGCTGGGACGAGGAGCTAAGGAGATGAAAAGACAGACGGGACCTGGTTATCAGTGAGATGAAAGTCCCTGGAACCCAGATCGGAGAGGGCTTCATGGGAAGGAGGGCTTCACAGATTTAAAAAATTCAGGCTGGGCGCAGTGGCTCACGCCTGTAATCCCAGCACTTTGGGAAGCCGAGGTGGGTGGATCACCTGAGGTCAGGAGTTTGAGACCAGCCTGGCCAACATGCTGAAACCCCAGTCTACGAAAAATACAAAAATTAGCTGGGTGTGGTGGTGCGTGCCTGTAATCCCAGCTACTCTGGAGGCAGAGGTTGCAGTAAGCCAAGATTGCACCACTGCACTCCAACCTGGGCAACAAGAGGGAAACTCCATCTCAAAAAAAAAAGAAAAGAAAAGAAAAGAAAATTCAGATTCCCAGAAGATGCAAAGGGCATTCCCTATGTGCCTGGCAACAGGAAGGTAATTCCACATCTATCCCACACCCATCTCATGATGGGCCTGGTCTCTCCTCACCACTGTAGAGTCAGCCACATAATTATTTTAACATCTCTAGTATCCACATTAATAAAAGTAGGCAGAAACAGGTACAATGAACTTTAATCATACATTTTATTTCATATAATGCATTCAAAATATTATTTCAACATGGAATCAATATAAAAGTGATTGCTGTGATTTTTTTCTTTTTTGAGACATGGTCTTACTCAGTCACCTAGGCTAGAGTGCAGTGGTGCGATCTCAGCTTACTGTAGCCTCTACATGAGGATCAGGTGATCCTCCCACCTCAGCCTCCTGAGTAGCTAAGACCATAGGTGCCTGCCACCACACCCAGTTAATTTTTGTATTTTTTGTAGAGACAGGGTTTCAACATATTGCCCAGGCTGGTCTCAAACTCCTGGGCTCAAGCGATCCAACAGCCTTAGCCTCCCAAAGTGCTGGGATTACAGGTGTGAGCCACCACGCCCGGCCTACTGTGATGTTTTATGTTCCTTTTCCTTTCTAAGTCTCAGAAATCTGCTGTGTCTTTTACCTTGATAGCACCTCTCAAAATGGACTTGCACATTTCAAGTGCTCCATGGCCACATGTGGCCAGTGGCTACCATACTAGATGTTGTGGTTCTGGATGCTGAAGGTGGAGGTGTGGCTACGTGATATACTTTGCCTTGGGTTGGAGAGCTTGTCCACTTCAGAGCTGAGAATCCAAGCCAGGACTGTGCCATGGGAAGGGGTCCAAGCAGCAGGTGTGGTCCTGGGAACAGGGAATCTGCTGCAACAGCTCTGCTCAACCTCTGCGGACATTTTGGGCCAGGTCATTCTTTGTTGTGGGCGGCTGTCCTGTGCATTGTAGAATGTTTACAGCATCCTCAGTCCCTGCGCACTAAAGGCCATTAGCAGTCCCTGAATTGTGACAGCCAAAAATGTCCCCAGACGTTGCCAATCTGCACTGCAGATTCTGGAGTTGCCAGGCCCCATAATTGCGTGAGCCGATTCCTTAAGGCAAATCTCTTTCGAATACATGCACCCCCTATCAGCTCTATTTCTCTGGAGAGCCCTGATTAATACAACAGATTTTCATTAGCTACTTTTTGAAGAAGTAGGAGAAAGATAAGTTAGGTTTTCTGTAAGTGCCAGGAAGAAACACAGTGTTTAAAGAAGGAAAGTCACAAGCGGAAACAGCATTTGGTAAGGAATCATCTCATGATCAGATACTGGAGATGCTGGAATGCCGGCCAGGGTGGGAGACAGCTTTAAGTAAGACCAGGTTGAGGCATGGAGTGGGCCGGGGCAGGTCCCAGCTGGACTGGGTGAGGTGACGGGCCTGTGGGGAGCTGAAGGTCTGAATGTTAGTGCAGTGGTAGCTAGGACCAGCTGGACTTGACTGCAGATGTGTGGGAGGGCAGGAGATGGAAGCAGAGTCAGTCAGCTCAGCAGCTAGGCTGGGCCCTGGGGAATATGAGCAGGAGCAGGTGACAGGAGAGATGAGAAGGTTCTGACAAACAATGATCAATTCTTAATGGGGACCCTGCTTGATTGTACTTAGTTGCTGGGCACCTGAGCAAGAATAGGCCGGGTGCACTGAGGAACGTGGCACCTGAAATAAAGCAGGCCGGTGGCGGGGGCGGAGGGTCCCGGAAGCTCTGAGGCAGATGAGCTCTCCGAGGAGAAGAGCAGAGAGGCCTGCGCTGGATGCCTGGGGCACCGCCCCTGGGAAGCAAAGGATAAGAAGCCAGTGAGGGAAAAGAAGAGGCTTGACCGGCAGTGCCAGGAAGGCCCCACCAAGCAGCAGAGGCTCTTCCTTGAGACCCTTCCTCTGCTCAGGAGCCTACGGGGTGCAGTAAACTGAGTCTGGGCTCCCGCGTACCCCACCATGTGACCATGTGACCTTGGTTGATCGCCTCCCTAAGCTGCAGCTTTTCATCTGCAACTTGTAGGTAGTAATTGCCACCCCGCAGTTACTGCAAAGATCGGATGAGGTTATAATTGCTAACCCTGAGGCACTTAATAGGTGCTTAATAAACCTCTTGGCCTGTTGGTAGCTGTCTGGTCATAGCAGGTGTCCCATCCTGACCTGTGTGCAAGGAAGAGCATGCTGGCCTCTCCTGCTCTAAAACACTATTGTCAGTCACTCCCTGGGGGCAGAGCGTATGCCCTAACTCTAACAGCCCTCTCGGGAGGGACTGGTGTTATCATCCCTACTTGACAGATGAGGAAACTGAGGCTCAGAGACTTACCCAAATGTCCACAGCTGGTAAGTGCTACAGCTGAGTTTCCAATCCAGGCTGCTGGACTTGACAGCCTGCGTGGCTCTGCTCAGCCACCCTATGCTGTTCTGCCACTAGACTCTGAGCTCCTTGAGGACAGGGATGGCCTCACTCAGAATCTCACCCTGCGCCAGACATAGCAGTCAGGACAAAAGCTCTGCAGAGAATTCTGGCAGTGCATTGACACAGAGCAGGACCAGGCTCCTCCTCTGGGCCTTCAATGCCTCTTCTTTTCATGGCAGAGGCTCTGGGGGTCAAACAGTCATTATGCCCAGAAAAACAATGATCAGGATGGTTTGATAGAGGGGAGGCAGAGAGCACTGCGGTGGATAGATCATAGGCTCTGGAGACAGATGCTGGGGTCTGAATGTTGAACCCATCACTTCCTAATTAGGGGGCTTGGAGCAAATTACCTTACCTCTGTGTGCCCAGTTAGCTCAGATATAGAACAGATCATGAAAATGCCAACAGCCAGGACTGTTGTGCAGGTTAAATGGGATCATATAAGTAAAGCCTGCTCCACAGTGAGTGCTGAATAAATGTGATTCATTTGGAGATCAAGTAGGGAAGACTAAAATGAAAGATAACACTTGCCACTTATCAGACATCTGAGATGTTTCCAGTAATTTCTCTGCATTCATTCCAATAACCCTCACCACCTGCCCGGGAGGCAGGGGTTATTATACCATGTGGCTGACAGATGGGGAAGTTAGGGTCAGAGATGGCATGAAGTGTCCGAGGTCACACAACTGAATAACAAAGCCAAGACCACGTTTTGTTTTTTGCCTGAGAATGCCACGCCCACTCCTGCCCTCAACAGCTCCTGGAATGCTAAGGAGGAACACAGACCTGCTGGCCAGGCTACATGGTTGGGAACTCACGATTGGAGGGAGAGGAGGAGGGTAGGGGAGTAGAAACTCTCAAGGGTTGGACCTGGGAGAAGGGTTTTTGAAGTGCTCTATGTGTGCCATTCCTATCCCGGTTTCACAGGTGAAGAATGTGAGGCTCGGCCACTTGGAGGGCCCTGCCCAAGGTCACAGAGCCAGTAGGCGCCCAGTGGGGATTCAAGTGAGATCTGACTCTGAACTGCCTGAACGTGAGGTCTCACCTCCGCCCAGGGCACCCCGGAGTAGGAGTGGCAGGTGGATGGGGAGTGGGCTGGGGAGGTTACTGTCTTCATCCACAAGCATCCAAGGAAGTGCCTAGAGCATTCAGAGGACAAGGATGCTGCTAAGTGGATTTCTGGATCCCACGTGGATTGTGATAAGCATTAGCTCCCTCCCAGGCGAGGACAGGGGCTCCGGACAGAGCCAGGATACACTAAGCCCATGGGCCTGTGGAGAGACCCCGCACGCTGATTGGAGCTGCACTCTTCCGTTTCAGTTCTAACCACACTGTTTTCTGCCTGGCATGCCAGTTCCTAGAAGAAGGAGCTCCATCTCTGTCTGTATCCCTGGCAATTCCTACACCGACATGTAGTATTTGAACTCACATCACGTCCTCTGCTCCACACACCCACCTTTTCACTCACTATCCCCACACCCTTTGTTTTTCCTCAAAGAACATGTCCCTACTTGACACCAGGTGTTTATTTACCCATTAGTTGGTTGTCTACGTCTATCCCCTATGCGAGAATGGGAGCTGCAGGCTGAGAGACAGCCTGTCTGTTTTATATGTGGAATTCACCTAGGAGAATTCCTGGCACATGGGAGGGGCTCCATAAATACCTGCCGAGTAAATGAATGAATAGTAGGTGCTCAGTATGGTTTTCCAAAATCAGTGATTGAGCAGACACTGTATGTTAGGCAGTTGCACATGTTACTGCATTTAATTCTCATGCTCAGCTTTGAAGGGAAGAACTATCTGTCTTTTACAGATCGGATGAGAGAAGAGAAGTGACTTCCCCATGGTCACATGTCTAGTTGGCAATGGAAGTGGGATTCAAGTCCAGTTCCACCTGACTTCAAAGCTTATTCCTGTTTGACTTCACCCTGCTGCCTCTAAGATAAAGGGGAGATCAGGAGAGCAGAATGGTTGCTTCCCCAGAGGAACATGTGGTCTCATTTTCTGCTTAGGGATAGCTCACAGGATTCATGAAGTGGTCACCAGAGGATAAGGACCAACCAGGTTAACGTGAAGAAAACACCCAGCTGCAGCTGTTTAATGAGCAACTCGAAGCTGTGGATAAGGTAACTGACCTCATTGGAAGGCCTAGGAACAGCCCTGCTGCTTTCAGCTCTTGGTTTTACAGGGGCTCGGAGAGGTGAGGTGACTTGCCCAAGGCCACACAGCTAGCTCCTAGAAGAGCTATGTGGAGATCTGATCTAGCTCTGCTTGGCTCCAAAGCCTGTTTTCTCCCAAGCCGTTTCATGGATGCATTGACAGGTCCCAGGGCCAAATTGCAAAGCCATCTCACAGGCGCCGGGTCTCATCCCACTACCACAGGATTCTGCTGTCAGATCCTTGGCAGCGAATGTCTTTCTTTTTTTCTTTCGACTTTTATTTTAGATTCAGGTTGTACATGTGCAAGTTTGTTACCTGGGAATATTGTGTGAAGCTGAGGTTGGGGGTACAAATGATCCTGTCACCCAGGTACTAAGCATAGTATACCCAACAGTTAGTTTTTCAGCCCTTGCTCCTCTCCGTCCCTCCCCACTGTAGTAGTCCCCAGTGCATAGTGTTCCCATCTTTATGACCATGAGTAGTCAATGTTTAGCTCCCACTTATAAGTGAGAACATGTGGTATTTGTTTTTCTGCTCCTGTGTTATTTTGCCTACAATAATGGCCTCCAGCTTCATCCACGTTGCTGCAGAGAACATAATTTTGTTCTTTTCTATGGCTGCATAGTATTCCATGGTATAGATGTAACATATTTTCTTTATCCAGTCCACTGTTTATGGCCACTTAGATTGATTTCTTGTCTTTGCTATTGTGAATAGCGCTGGGATGAACAGGGGAGTGCATGTGCCTTTTTGGTAGGTCTATTTGTTTTCCTTTGGCTATTTACCCACTAATGGAGTTGCTGGGTCAAATGGTAATTCTGTCTCAAGCTCTTTGAGAAATCTCCAAACTGCTTTCTACAGTGGCTGAACCAACTTATGTTCCTACCAGCAGCGTACAAGCATTCCATTTGCACCACAGCCTCATCAGTATCTGTGGTTTTTTGACATTTTAGTAATAGCCCTTCAGACTGGTGTGAAATGGTGACTCGCTGTAGTTTTGATTTGCATTTTTTTTTATGATTAATGATGTGCGGCATTTTTTCATAGTTTTTTTTTTTTTCGGCCACTTGTATGTCTTCTTATGGGAAATGTCTGTCCATGTCTTTTGCCCACTTTTTGATATTTGGTTTTTGCTTGTTGAATGGTTTAAGCCCATTGTCAAATGGCTAGTTTGCAAGTATTTCCCCCATTCTATAGGCTGTCTCTTCACTTTGTTGATACTTTCTTTTACTGTGCAGAAGCTCCTTAGGTTAATTAGGTTCCATTTGTCAATTGTTGTTTTTGTTGCAATAAATTATTAATTTATTATCATAAATTATTTCCCAAGGCTGATGTCCAGAATGGTGTTTTCCAGGTTTTTTTCTAGGATTCTTTTTTTTTTTTTTTTTTTTTTTTTGAGACGGTCTCACTCTGTCTTCCAGGCTGGAGTGAAGTGGTGCAATCTCAGCTCACTTCAACATCTACCTCCCAGGCTCATGATCCTTCCACTTCAGCCTCCTGAGTAGCTGGGACCACAGGCATGCACCATCACACTTGGCTAAGTTTTTGGTTTTTTTATAGAGGCAGGGTCTCCCTGTGTTGCCCAGGTTGGTCTCAAACTCCTGAACTCAAGTGATCCTCCTGCCTTGGCCTTCCAAAGTACTAGGATTACAGATGTGAGCCACTATGCCCAGTGTTTCTAGGGTTCTTATAGTTTGAGGTCTAACATTTAAATTTTTAATCTACTCTGAGTTAATTGTTGTATATGGTGAAAGGTAGGGATCCAGTTTAATTCTCCTGCATATGGCTAGCCAGCTATCCCAGCATCACTTATTGAATAGGAAGTCCTTTCCCCATTGCTTATTTTTGTCAGCTTTGTCAAAGATCAGATGACTGTAGGTGTGAGGCTTTATTTCTGGTCTATGTGCCTGTTTTTGTACCAGTACCATGCTGTTTTAGTTTCTGTAGCTTTATAGTATAGTTTGAGGTCAAATAATGTGATGTCCCTGGCTTTGTTCTTTTCACTTAGGATTGTTTTGGCTTTGGCTATTTGAGCTCTTTTTTGGTTTCACATGAATTTTAGAATAGATTTTTTCTAATTCTGTGAATAATATGTTGGTAGTTTGATAGGAATAACATTGAATCTGTAGATTGCTTTGGGCAGAATGGCCATTTCAATGACATTGATTCTTCCCATCTATGAACATGGAATATTTTTCCATTTGTCTGTGTTATCTGTGATTTCTTTCAGCAGTTTTGTAGTTCTCCTTGTAGAGATATTTTACCTCCTTGGTTAGCTGTATTCTCAGGTAGTGTGTGTGTGTGTGTCTGTATGTGTGTGTGTGTGTGTGTGTGTGTGTACTGTAAGTGAAATAAATGCTATTGCATTCTTGATTTGGCTCTGAGCTTGATCATTATTGGTGTATAGAAATGCTACTGATTTTTGTGCATAGATTTTATATTCTGAAACTTTACTGAACTCATTTAACAGTTCCAGGAGCCTTTTGCTGGAGTCTTTAGGGTTTTCTAGTTATAGAATCATATGGCCTGCAAAGAGAGATAGACTGACTTCCCCTTTTCCCATTTGGATTCCTATTATTTCTTTCTCCTGCCTGATTGCTCCTTGGCATCTAATTTCCACTTCAGTGTGGATCTTCTCAGCCTTCTTTGAGTTTTAATAAGTGTCTCTAGAAACTGAAACACCTTGTGGGTCTGATCAAATAAACCTCTGAAGAAAATTCCAACATTTGGGCCCAAAGATTGGGTGCAGTTGATAACCATGACCCTGTCTTCCCAGCATCACTTCCTTTTCCTGGAACTTACTCTGCCCCCACTCCAAACACTACCTCTGGCTGAAGACACCATGTCTCATATGATCCTGCTCCCTCATCACTATTGATTGGTCCAATACAAACTGAGCCAATCATGGTATTTCCTACCTCGAGGACAGTTTTGATTGGTCCAATTCAGACCAATCAGAGACTTCCTGTGATACTGGCATATAAGAAATGCACACATTTGTTCTTCCTCCTCAGTTTCTGGCACAGAGCTCCCAAAACCCTTGTAATTTTCCAAGTGATAGGGGTGACAGGAGCATCTTTTGTTATAATATTTAGTCTTAGTCCCTGGTTCCTGACACATGAGCTTCTAAGACCTTTGGAATCTCCAAAGCAGTAAGAGTATCTTTTTGTATGCTAATGAGCTGGGATCTCTAAGGAGCCTCAGGATGGGGCTGGTCACCAGAAAGACCAAGGCAGGACTGGAGGGTTGGAACTTTCAGCCCCACCTTCCAACCTCGGGGAAGGGGAGAGAGGCTGGAGACTGAGCTAATCACCATTGGTCAATAATTTAATCAAGCATGCCTACCTAATGAAACCTCCATAAAATCCCTGGATGATGGGGCTCAGAGAGCTTCCAGGTCAGTGAACACATGGGGACACTGGGTGGAAGGGGTGCACCTGGAGAGGGCATAAAGCTCTGTGCCCCTTCCCTCCTACCTTGTCCTACATATGCCTTCCTTCCAGCTGTTCCTGAGTTGTACCCTTTATAGTAACCCGGTAATAATAAGCAAAGTGCCTTCCTGAGTTCTGTGCGCTATTGTAGCAAATCATCAAACCTGGGGATGGAACCTCTGATGTATAGCCAGTTGGTCAGAATTATAGGAGGCCCAGGACTTGTGAATGGCATCAGAAGTGGGGTCAGTCTTGTGGCACTGAGCCCTTAACTTGTGGCATCTGATGCTAACTCCAGGTAGATACTGTCAGAATTGAGTTAAATTGTAGGACATCCAGTTGGTATGAGAATATTGGAAATGGGTTGTTGGTGTGGATAAAACTTACATGTCTGGTGTAAGAAGTATTCTGTAATTAGAAATAGGTTGTACTTTCCCTAGGAATTTTTGAGTGGGAACTGAGGGAGGGGGAATGTTTCTCCCTGGTGA
Source organism: Homo sapiens (assembly GCF_000001405.40). Classification (NCBI taxonomy): domain Eukaryota; kingdom Metazoa; phylum Chordata; class Mammalia; order Primates; family Hominidae; genus Homo; species Homo sapiens. The sequence goes on along the minus strand of NC_000005.10, from coordinate 173,724,050 downwards.
TAGAATGTGTAAGATGTTCAACTTAAAAACCAAGAGATAACTAATTATCAGAGAGAAATTTGAGAGTTGAGACAGTCTGCCACAGGACCTTTAAATCATCTCAAACAGGCATCACCTTCCTAACTTCCTTGACTTGGGAAACCAACCATCCTGGGGCCACTCAGTCCCTGTGGCATCTATATGGCTCATTATCCATGCCCCCAGAGCACAGAGGCAGTCCGGAGCCATGGCTGAGGTGCAAGATCTAGAATCAGGATGCTTGGGCAACAGTCCCAGCCCTGTTACCTATGGTGTGTGATGCTAGACAAATCATTTACCTTCTCTTTGACTCAGTTTCCTTATCTGAAAACAAGAAGGATTATAATGGCTTCTTTCTATAAACTTGTGAGCATTAAAAGAGAGAAGATACTAGAAGGTGCCCAGTAATAGTAGGTGCTATGATGATGATGATGATGATGATTATTATTATTATTATTATTATTATTATTTGAGACAGAGTCTCTCTCTCTTGCCCAGGCTAGAGTGCAGTGGCGCCATCTCGGCTCACTGCAAGCTCCGCCTCCCGGGTTCACACTATTCTCCTGCCTCAGCCTCCCAAGTAGCTGGGACTACAGGCGCCCGCCACCACACCTGGCTGATTTTTTGTATTTTTAGTAGAGACAAGGTTTCACCGTGTTAGCCAGGATGGTCTCGATCTCCTGCCTGCCTTGGCTTCCCAAAGTGCTAGGATTACAGGTGTGAGCCACCACGCCTGGCCCGTAGGTGCTATTATTAATTGCAAACATAGTAAATTTTCTTTGTCCCTGTGGACACACTCTTTGGTGCCACAGCCTGCTGTACTAGGGTATTTCTCCATGGAAATGTGGACCACCTAGATGCCAGCCTCACTTTGGCCCCACAATGTCCTCTGAAGGCTCTACCCGCAACCCCTTCCTAGTCCAAGCCTCCCCCAGCTGGGCCTAGCATGGCGAAACCCAGAATTCCTGGCTGAGCCCAGAATCCTCCTGTTATCTGAAATCCGCCCGCAGAGAAGCCCCTCCCAGCCAGGCTGCTCACACCTCTCTCCAAGATGCCTGGCACACGCATGCACCAGCACACACAGCCTCCTGTGCACATGCACACGCATGCAGGCAAACCCCACCCCCTCACAGGCACACTCCTCTTTATAGACACAAATTAATATGTTCAACAATTATATTCATACCCTTGAATTTAGACCTCATACTTCCACTCATATGCACCATACTCTCCTTCATTGAGCACATGGATACAGGATTATCCATAAATGCAAGTGTCACAGCCACGCACTCACGCATGCCCACGCACATGTGCTCGTGTGCGTGTGTGCACACATACACACACACACCTGCACATGATTCTGATGTGGGACAGAAGTTGACTTTCCTTGGGAAGGACTGGTAGCCCAGACTGTGCAGTCAGGAGGGCAGGAGGAAGTTAGCCAATGGGCAGTGGGCTGGGTAGCGGAGGATACCCTGGCGGGAACTGAAAGGTACTTCCGTGGTGGACAGAGGTGGTTCTGTTTCTTAGTTACTCTGAGAGTACCTTTTGCTGAGTGCTCCCTCCTGGCCAGCCCTGTGCTCAGGGGCTTTAGTCAAAAGACCTTCTTGGGGAGGACTTCCCCAGCATCCCAACACGAGCTTGCAAACCCCCCACGTTACCCACACAGAATCACATGAATGTCCCCTCGCCCTCAGCTTGCCTTTCCCTCCCAGCACTTATCAGCCCTAAAACACCGATGCTGTTACCTTAAAAAGGTTGTTTCCATTGTTCATTCCTTCCCTCTAGAATATACTGCTTCCTAAAAGCAGGGCTTTTTTTTTTCTCTGATATGTTCCCTGCTTAATTTCCAATACTACAATGCCTGGTTCATAGCAGGCAATCAAGAAACAAGTGGTTTTAGGAATATCTTGTTTCATACTCTGTACAGCACCCTGAGGTAGGTGCAGTTCAGAGCCTAGTCTTACAGAGAGCAGAGGCTCAGAGAGGGTAAATGACATACCCACAGGCACACAGCTCCCAAGTCACCACCAGGTTCTGACGCAGGCAGGTTAGCTCCAGAACCTGGGCTATCAGGGCCATGGTCTACCTCACCAGCGTATGAGAACAGGGAAGTTCACTACCCTTATCTGGACTCGGTTGCTCATCGGCAAAATTCAGTTCGACGCTATATTCTTTCATGTTTCATCCAGCCGGGGGATGGTGTGATTTCACGCTTCACGGGAGTAAAGGACTTGATGCTTGCCAAAGCATTTCCAAATAGCTTACCTCATTTCATTCCTACAACCCAGGCTTTCCCAAAGGTTCCTTTTGGCAAGGAGCCTTCCTGAGCCTCAGGAAGGTGAATACCTGGCCTGAGGTCCCATCCTCGGGAGGGGTGGGGCCACCCTTGAGCAACTGAGTGTCCCCAGGGCCCTGGGTTGCCAGAATGGCATAGACTTCTTCCAGCCCCCTCTGTCCAGGGACAAGTTTGGTTTGCTTCCCCAGAGAATTATCAATGCTTGCTACCTTCTCTTCTCTCTCCTGTCTTTCATTCAACTTATTAATAATATCAATGAGTATCAATATCAATGAATATCAATATCACCTACTAGATGCCAGGCACATCACTGGCCACTAGGGCTGCAGCTCATCTCTGTCTCCATAAGCTTGCATTCCAGGGGAGGTGCAAACACAGCCTGATGTGGTGAGTGGGCTGATGGCAGAAGTTCGGGAAACATTAGGGGTGCATGGGTATGGCCCCCAAGGGTCCAGGAAGGCTTCTTTCCCCAAGGAGGAGGTGATGCCTGAACTGAGACTAGCAGATTTGTAGGAATAAATTAAGCGACAGTTGGGGAGGGTGTCCCTGGCCGAGGCCCAGAGGTCAGCAAGCCAGGCCATCGGGAAAACTCACCCCACCCACCTATCCACTCTGGGACTCAACCCTGCACAGTCAGTGCCTCTGGAAGCCACCGACTGTTGTCGGAAGGGAGCTCCTTCCAGTACCATCGAAGGGCTGGCTGCTGCTGGAGCTTCTCTGGGCCCTTCCAGCTTCCCTGCTGCCTGGCCTACCTCCTCCATCTCCAGGGAAGCAGGATTCATTCTAGGCCTGATTTATTAGCCTCATCCTGGAGTCATCCCAGATGCTGTCGCTGGTCTCATTTACTGACCTGCCTGAGGGTGGAGGAAGGAAATTCATTAGGCCTGCAGAGCCCATGGCCAGGCCCATCTGTCTGGGCATCTGCCTCCCCTCCCCTCCCCTCCCCTCTGTTCTGCTCTCTTCTTCCTTTCTCTCCCCTCCCCTCTTATTCTCCCCCCGCCCCACAAAGGAAGGAAGCTCTGTGCCTGAGTCTTCGCTCGGGATTACCAAGGCAGTGACACTACAGAGCCAGGTCCCCAGGGGAGGATCCTGACCAAGGAGGAAGGGAGGCACAGAGGTCTGGAGAAACTCCTGTGCAGCCTCCAGCACTGCACCCTGAGGCTCCCCCAGCCTCCTGCCAGATCCAGGAAACACACATTCTCCATCTGGGGATTTGGAAAGCTCTCTCCCGGGTACAGCAGACCTGCCTGTTTTTATGCAAAAGGTGTCTTCCTGGGCAAGTTGTAAGAAAATAAGATCTCCTGAAATAGATTGCTACCTTTAAAACAGAAGGCAAGAGGCAGCCTCGGAGGCATTTTCATTCCCGACACAGGGCCAGCAAGGCGATGTGAGGGAACAGAGGGCTCAATGCTTTTTATTTTCATATGTTTTAAGGATATAAAAATATATATAAACTTATAATTAGCATATCTAACCCTTGATCACACAAGATAAAATTGCTTTGAATAAAGCTAAAATAGGTACTTACGTTTCTAGAAGCAGATCAATTTAAAGAAAAGCGTAAGGAGAGTTGCAGAAGAGAGTTACAGAGGAGAGTTACAGAAGATACACAGTGGTTGACAAAGACACTAGAGTTTAGGACACATTACTCTGAAAGAGTAGGTCAGCGAACGCATTGCCAAGGTTAAACTTCTTGTGAGATGAAGCAAACCTTGATTTCAGCAGCGCATCTCACGGAGGGAAGCTGCAACCCCGGGTACCTTGCCAAGCCGGCACCTGCTCCCCTCAGCCTGCAGAACAGAAGCCATCCAAAACAGATCGCATGTGTGCAGTGACCCCGGAGGTTTAAACAAACATGGCCTCAGGCCTCAGTAAATGTTTAGCCTTAGTGACTGGCTGGCAGGGGGGTGAGGCCTGAGGCCCTCTGTCCCTGACAGCTGGCACTGTGGGGGCAGGCTGGGGCGGTGAGGGTGGGGAGTGAGGGCCTGGGTCAAGCTCCTCGCCCTGTGCTCATCTTTTCTGACCTAAGGAGAGGCTGACATTCTTGGAGGCTGAAAGAACACATGGAGAGCAGTGTTTTTCCAGCTTCTGTGTTGGTAAGAGCCTGGAGTCTCTCTCTCTGTCTCTCTCTCTCTCTCTCTCTCTCTCTCTATCACACACACACACACACACACACACACACACACACAGAGCAATCACTGCACCCAGCCACCTCTATATACATGTACACAAAGCCACACAGTTTACACAGTCACAGGTATTTAAGTACACACTATTCACACACAAATACATATATAGACACACATGTACAGTCCGTCCAAAATATATGTACATAAAAGCACACTATTACACCTTCATATGTGCACACACACACACACCCAGACTCACTTCATACACACATAGATACAACAGCCACAGCTCCCCATCACCTACACACACACACACACACCTGGACACCCAGCTCTAATATAATCAGATAGAGATATGCATGCAGACAAATTTGCCTGTATAGTCAAACACATAGGCAAATAGAGAACGAGACACCACATGAACAAAGGCAAACCTACACACAAAGACACAGAGCACACTTACGCATATATCTATAGACCCACCATGGCACATATGGGTAAGTGCACACAGGCAAACTCACACACACGAGCATGCACAGGCAGAGAACACAAATGTACACTCCCAGGTGTCATAAAGAACAGCCCAGCTTCGGCTTGGGAACGTCACATCAGACAATAGGAACGGCTGCACCGCGCGTTTCCTCGGCTGCCAGCTTCCCAGCCACAGAGGATGCCTCACCTGCTATGTCAGCTCCCCTCTGCCCCACCTCACAAGAAGCTCAGAAGCTGAGGAGTCACAGAGAGACCTCCCTACTGTGTCAGAGGTAGGTAGGCACGACCAAGATCACATCCAGGCCGTTCCCACCCACCAACTCTTTGTCATGAGGTTTGTATCAGATGCCCTGTCTGCTGCTACAGCACAGAGCCAGCTGGCCTACAAAGACCATTCGGTGTAGTGAAGTCAAGCAGACCTGAGGTCAGGTGCCGCCTCTGCCCTCCACAGCTGTGGACCGTGAGCAAGTCACTTCACCTCTCCGAGTCTCAGTATCCTCACCTGTAAAGTGGGTGTAATAATAACACCTAGCTCAAAGAAGAGTGTGAAGGTTAAATTAGTCCTGCATGTGCTGACCACTTAGCACAGCTCCCGTCGTGCCGGAAGCACCCTATAAACCAGGCATTTGTGAGAAACACGGCACTATGGACATTTTGAGCTGGATAATTTTTCGTTGTGGGAAATTAGCAGCTTCCCTGGCCATTACCTGCTAGATGTCATTAGCACCCCCTTCCGAGTTGTGACAATCAAAAGTGTCTCCAGACATTGCCAAGTGTCCCCTGGGGAGGGGGGCGTGGCACAAGAGCTGCCCCGCTGAGGGTCACTGCTATGCATGTTGACTTTTATTATTGCTGTTGGCATCATCATTGCTAATACACTGGCTATGAGATGCTCAGAACAAAAAGGGAACCGGAAGCTGGAATGAGGATAAGCTCTGGGTGGCTCCCGTAGTCATTTCCTGCCTCTTTCCTCCTCCCTCCCGCTTTCGCCACCTTTGCTGCTGAAGCCACCTTGCAGGGCCAGGCCTGGCCTTGTGAGCAGCTGGAGGGAAGAGAGTTGAGGCACCCGCGCACGTTACTGTGGGAATGGAACTGAAATGGCTTCCCATGGGTGGGTAGTCTGGCCAGGCGCAATTCTGCACCTGGAAACTGGGCCTCCTGGGAAGTTAGGATGGACCCCACTTCTGGGCAATCTTGGGTGGGGCTGCGGGGGAAGGGGGCTGGGGAAATCAGGAGCAAAGAAAGCTCAGGACAGCAAAAGGGCAGAATACGTGACATGTTGAAATAACCTAGCCTCATCTATTAAAATACAAAATGCATGTATCTTTTGACAAAGGGATCCCTTACGTGGGAATCTGTCCTATAGAACAACAATCATTTATACGATTTGTAAGTACAAGGTGTTACTGCAGTACTGTTCATAGTGGCAAAAATCTAAAAGCCACCTTTGCTTGTCTGTCAGCTGGGGAATAATTGAATAAATTGTGGGTCACCCACACAACAGAATATTTTGCACCTGTTAAAAAAAGTTTTCTACATATGCAGTTATCTGGATTAATGTCCAGCACATAATTGTTAAATGAGAAAAACAAGATACAGAATACTGTAGGATCCCACTTTTTTGGTAAAAATCAACTAAGAAGCCCTATTTTTTGTATGTGTCTGAATATGAGGACAACTAATATTAGTTGCTGGAAAGAAAGGTAGAATGAGATGAATATGGAGAGATTACTTTTCATATATGTGTGTGTATAAATGCATAGACCTATGTGATTATCATATGTTTTATGCATTGTTATGAGTGCAAGCTACTTCACTAATTTCTGCAGAGGAATTTAATAAGGAGTTGTTATTTTTTTTTCTTTGAAAGAGAGTCTTGCTGTCACCCAGGCTAGAGTGCAGTGGTGCAATCTAGGCTCACTGCAACCTCCGCCTCCCGGGTTCAAGAGATTCTCATGCCTCAGCCTCCTGAGTAGCTGGGATTACAGGCACACACCACCACATCCGGCTTATTTTCTGTATTTTTCATAGAGACAGAGTTTCACCATATTGGCCAGGCTGGTCTCGAACTCCTGATCTCAGGTGATCCACCAGCCTCAGCCTCCCAAAGTGCTAGGATCACAGGTGTGAGCAACCGCGCCTGGCCAAGGACTGTTTTTAAATGAAAAGGAAAGAACTCATTCCTGAACCCATCTCTCACAGCGAGGTTTTAAAGCATGGTGTGGACTCCTTCACTCGTAAATAGGTTCAGCAATTCTATCTTGAGAATCTGCTATGTGGTGGGCACAGCTCTGAGCACAGTTAACCCAACAGGTGAAAAGATGCATCCCTACCCCAAAGCACTCACCTTCTGGTGGAAACACAGAGAACAGAGGAACACATCCATGTATAAGGCATTGGGAGGTCATGTTTACAAGAAAAACAGAGCAGGGTGAGGTACAGCCAGGAGTGGTGGCCTGTCTTCTGGACAGGGTGGTCAGAGAAGATCTTGGGCACAGACCTGAACAGACTGAGGGATGGAGGAGCCTGGGGAAGGAAAATCCAGGGAAGGGTGACCCTCCAGAGGGCCTCTGAGGGTGAATGTGCAGAGGCAGAACGTGCCTGAAACGCTGAGCAACCAGGAGGTCCGTGCAGGAGCTTGTGTTATTTTGGTGCAGGAGCTGGTGTTATTTCGGTGCAGGAGCTGGTGTTATTTCAGCATAGGAAGGACTTTGAATGTCATTCTAGGGGATTTGTCTTAGAAAAACAGGTTTCATCATTCCTGGACTTGTTCAAGACTGCGGTCAGCCCAGGCTATATCCTGGAGGGTCTGAGCAGAGGTTCAGCAGAGGTCCTGGTGGGCTCCAGGCAGGAACTGAAGGTGCTGAGCAAGACCTTGGTCATTCGTGCGAATGAAAGCCACAGTGGGGTACCCCAGAGGTTTGAGCAAACATGGTTTAAACCTCTGCAGAAATTAACGAAGTCACGTACACTCATAACAATGCATAAAACATATGATAATTACATAGACTTATGCACTTATCCACACACATATATGAAAAGTAATCTTTCCGTATTCGTCTCATTCCACCTTTCTTCCCAGTTGGATGTGGTAGAACAGACACTGCTGGTGGGAGAATCCTTGTGGAGCGAGCCCTTTGGCAACAGTTGGTGATTCCTAGTCAAGCTGAACATGCGCACACACTGGGATCTACCACTGCACTCCTAGGTGTGTCCCCTCCAGGAACTGTAGCATTCCAGTGCCAGGAGACCCACACAGCCTGCGCACAGCAAGATCATTCAAGATAGCAAAACCAGGAACAGCCCAAATGTCTACAGAGAGTAGAATGTGTGAGAAAACTGGGCTACCTTCCTCCGGGGCAGTACGATGCAAGCAGTGGCAATGAATAAGTGGCTGCTGCAGGCACGGGCTTGGGTGAATCCCAGATCCTCACGTGAATATAGGAAGCAAGTCACAGAGCACAGAGAGTATGATTCCATTTGCACAAAGTCCAAAACCAGACAAAATAGCTAGACTTTGTTTAGAAATCCATAAATAGGTCATAAAAGTATACAGAGAAACAAGGGAGTAATTGACACAAAATTTTTTAAAAAGTGTTGTAGACTGTAATTTTTTAAGTGAAAATGGTTGATATTTCATTGTATGACTCATTTAAACAGAAGCCAAAATGGATGAATGTCTTTTACTTTGTCGTTGTTAAGTAGGTGATGAAGGTGAAATTGTCAGTGGATGACATTAATCCTTCTCTCTCCACCGTTTTCCATAGGATTGTAGGTTTAAAGCAAAAGAGTGTTCCGTGGGATTTTCCATGGGATTGTAAGTTTAAAGCAAGAAAGTCAATACTGATGATGCCTTGAAATAAGTTATACAATTATACCCATTTCAGAGATGAGCAGAATGGGGCTCAAAGAGGTGACAGCACTTACTCAAGGTTACCCGGGATTCAGATCCACATTGGTAGGACTCCAAAGCCAGAAAGAACTTGACATATTTGAGGAACTGAAAAGAGGGCAGGGGTGGCGGGAGCACAGTGTGTGAGGGATAGCAGAAGGATTTGTAGGTCATGGAGGGAAGCTTGCAACGTTATTAATGGTGCCCTAGGGAGTCACCAAAGGGTTTTTAAGCAGAGGAGAGACAGGGCCAGATCTGCATTGTATAAAAACTTCTCTAGCTGCTGTGTCACAAAGATACTGGAAAGGGGCAAGGTGAAGGAGGAGACCAGCAGAGCAGCCACGGCCGGGACAGTGCAGAGGAGGGAAGATGACACAGCTGTGAGACATTTTGGGGTGAGTCACAGAATTTGGCAATGGACTGAATTTGAGACTTGAGGTAAAAGAAGAGGTCAAGAATGACGCCAGATTTTTGACTTCAACAGCTGAGTAGAAAGAGGCGACATTTGAAATAACTGAAGGAACGGCAGTCTGTGGGGACACAGGCCTGGGTGCTCAGAGTGGCACACTTTAATGCAAATGGCCTTCTGCTTTCTGCTCCAGTCCCCGCACTTAAGGAAGGAACAGCCACTGAGCTGTATGAACAGCCACCCCTGCCCTCCAACAGAGGCCCTGTTCTTGACATGCTCGTGCACCTCACTTTTCTCCTGGGGTGAGTTCTTTCCTCTGCTCTTCTGCTGACTGACACCTAGTCGGCCAGTCCAGGCCTGTCTGAAGCCTTGGGTGAGACCCCTGGTGCATCTCATGTTGTTGATTCCTCTGGCCTTTTGCTAAGTCCTCTACTCCTCTGCCTTTTATAAGGTCGAAGGGAACTCTAAAAAATCTATACTGGCCCATCAGCTGCAAAAATTAACTGTTTGGATCTCTTAGAATTTGGGTGGTACATGAAGAGCAATAGAAAACACTCCCCTTTCCTGGAGCATTACCTGAATTATTTAATAAGTTGCTTTCACTGGAGTCAATATAGTACCTAAGTCAAAGGCCTTTGAAGTCAGACAGGTGTGAGTTGGAATCCAGCCTCTGCAACATCAATAGCTGTGCGATCCTGGGCAAGGGACTTAGAGTGAGTAACACAGGGTCTGGCAGATAGGAGGACCTCAATCAACAGAAGGTGGTAGTGATCTGGGAAAATTGTAAAAGAAGAGACTTTTGGCTGGAAGAGCCAAGATCTTGCCGCCATTATATAGGTGGAGGAACGGAGGCCTGGAAACATTACAGGGTTTGCTCAAGGACCCACATTAGAGGTGGAACTCTACCAGGAGTTAACGCCACAAATGACTCCCAGCCCTGTTCTCTCTCCAGACCCCCTGGGGAAAAGCCGCAGACATGAGTGAAGGCAGCAGGACCTGTGTGACGTGGGTTTTCAGTTGATTGCAAGGTTGCTGGGGAGCAGAGGGACCCACTGCAGTCCCACAGGCTGGATGGTTTTGTTTTATTACACAGGGTAAAATCTGAACTAGCTGCTACTATTTACATATCAGGAGGTTTCCTGAAAAAATCAAAATTTCTGAATTTTTTTGAAAAATCAGAAAACATGGCCACCCAGCCCTGTATTCCTACAGGGTGGCAGTAGTGGGAGCTGACCTGCTGCTGTGCCCTTGTGGATCTGTGCTCTCCAGTTTGCCACAGTCCCTATCCCTCTCTATTGTCTCCTGGACACTATAGCCTGGTGTCACCTGCAGCTGGCTATCATGCTTGAGCTATTGTGTTTTGAATATGTGGTCCACTTTCCTCATTTGTGTGACCTGCTCTGTCCACAAAGACATGCACTTGCGATTCTGGCCTTAGAGTGTCTCCTTAAAAAAATGTTTTAGAACATAAAGATATATACATTCTCCAATCCATTGCTGCCCTATTAGCTATTGTTGTGGAACCCTGAGTCATTTCTCTCAAAATTCTCCTGGCAAATATGTTCCCTCTGAAATCTTCCTCCCCACATCCATTTGGAAATAGAAACTCCTGCCCACGGCTGTAGTGGTCCCTTTCTCTGCATCCTCCACTATTCCTCTTCTTTTGGATCTTGCCAAGGGTTATGGTCTGCAGTTTTCCATGCCTTTTCCTTTCCCCACCCTACCCCCCTCGCCTGCTCGCAGGGCCACTCCTTCTCTCCACATCGTGGAAACCTGGCCCTATGCTCTGCCTCGCTGCAGCTCTGCATGGCTGGCCCTCCTTTCTGCATCCGGTGGGCAAGAGGAACCAAAAACAGACATTTACAGGGAGCGGGGGATGGGGACAGGTCAGGTTTCTTGAGTTTCTTGGAGCAGGAATGTCAGTCACCAACCCTGTACCCTTACGATTCGCTCTGGACAGTGGCATACTAAATCTGTACTTGCCTCCCTTTCACTTTCAGAGATGAATAAACAAGCATGTCCTGCCTAAGATGTTTGGGGCCTCTCCTCTTTGACTTTCTATTCTACTGCCTCTGTTTAGACCTGTGCCAACTTGCAAACTTGCCATGGCCTCCCATCCAGCCTCCCTGCTTCCAACTCGCCCTCTCCTGTCCCTCTTCCACCCTGCCTCAAGCTTGATCAGGTCTCCCATCTGCGTGAATCCCATCAAGAGCTCCCTATTACCTTCAGAGGGAAGCCCAGGCCCTTGGCCAACCAGGCAGGGCTCACCTAACTTCCCAGCCTCATTGCTCATTTCTCCCCACCAGCACTGGCACTCAGTCTCGAAAGCCAGGAAGCTCTCACCCGGTTTTTCTCCTTGCCCTCATTTTTTTTCTCTATCAGAAAAACTTCTCTCATCAGGATGGAGTTGGGGAGGGGGCTACTCCCACTGATCCTTCAGGAATCAGTTTAAACACCACCTCCTCCCCACCCTTTGTCTGACTGCTTGTCTCCACCAAAGCGTTTAGATTGTTTTGTTTCTCCTCTGCTCACACCTCTGCTGTGGCCTGCCTGGTTGCACAGTTTACAGATCTGTCTCCCCCAGACTCTGAGGCCTCAGGCAGAGACCCTCTGGCTCATCTCTGTGTCCTCAGAACATGGCCCAGGATCTGGCATGACGACAGCCTAATACAAGCTTGAGGAATTGAGTGATGCAGTACTGAATTTCAGCAAAGACATAGAGAGGTTGTTCATAAAAGGCTGTCCTTGGGTTTTTTGAAATATGTTTCCTGCTTCATAGAAGCAAGGACCATTCTTCAAGAAGATGACCATGGGCCTCTCTCCACCCTTGTCAACCACAAGGCCCTTTCTATTCCTTTCACAGGAATAGGTCCTTCTGTCACGGGGCACAGGACCCTTGACCGCAAAATGACGTGAGTTACCACTGACTATTTTCTGGGTCTTGATCTTGTGACTCCAAATGGATGGTAAGCTCCTTAAGGGAAAGTCTATGATATTCATCCAACCACCCATCCATCCTTTCATCCACCCAACCATCCATCCATCTGACCATCATCCATCCATCCATCCATCCATCTATCCATCTTCTATCCATCTGTCTACTCACCCATCCACCCATCCATTCAATTATTCATCCATCCCTCTTCCATCCATTCACCCATCTTCCATCCATCTGTCCACCCATCCATTCCACCATTTATCCATCCAACCACCATCTATTCATCCAACCACTCGTCTATTCATCCCTCTGACCATCCAACCATCCATCGATTTGTTCAATTATTTTATCAAGCATCTACACTGCACCACACACCCTAATGGGTGTTGGGGAGAAAATGGAGAGTAAAATCAGATGGGACCTCTGACCTCAGTGCGGCTGACCATCAGTCCGGTAGAGGAGACACGTAAACTGACAATTATAAATAAACACAATGTGTCAACTCTGACAAGTGCTGTGAGGGAGAAATCAGCAGTACTGAGAAAGCCTTTATGGTCCTGGTGTGAGAGGTGGGATGAGCCCAACACAGCAACAACAGCAAGACCATGGGGGAGTGTGGTGCAGATGGGCAGGTGTACAGAGCATGCAGGCCATGTCTGCCAGCCCTCTCTTTGTGCATTAGCAACAGTAAAACGGGGCTTGTGTTTGGGCAGATTATACCACTGGTCTTGCATCCCAAATGTCTCTTTGTTCACTCGTTTATACAAACATGCTCAATAATATTTATGCATTTTTACTGTGACATCATTTTCTTATATAATAAAAGTGCCTATTTATATACCGTATATGTATATATATAATACACAGATGCACACACACAAGCACACATGCACAGAGCTTCTTGACAGTCAGTCCCTCATAAGGTAGTCCACTGAAGTGCAGTCATCACCATCCTCAGACCTCATGATTATATAACTAGAGCACCTTATATTTTTATATTTTATTATGTATTTAATAATCACATAACTCTTTAGTGAATGCCAATTAATTAGGAGAATGACATGCCTTCTCTCTGCTCCTCATAATATCCCCCTTAGATAGGTTTTATCTCCCCACTTACAAGATGTGGAGACTGGGCCGGGCACGGTGACTCACGCCTGTAATCCCAGCACTTTGGGAGGATGAGGCGGGTGGATCACATGAGATCAGGAGTTTGAGACCATCCTGGCCAACATGACAAAACCGTCTCCTCTAAAAATACCAAAATTAGCTGGGACTGGTGGCACGTTCCTTTAATCCCAGCTACTCGGGAGGTTGAGGCAGGAGAATTGCTTGAACCCAGGAGGCAGAGGTTGTAGTGAGCCAAGATCGTGCCACTGCACTCCAGCCTTGGTGACAGAGCAAGACTCTGTCTCAAAAAACAAACAAACACACAAAAACAAAAAAACAGAAAAAAACAGACTTGGAGACTGAGGCTCTGAGATGTGAAGTCACTTGCAGACAGGTCAGACAGCCAGGTCAGGTCAGACAGCCAGAAGCTGGGGAAGGCAGCGCTGGAGCTAGGTCTGTGTGACACCTCCTCCATCTATCCTGCCCCCTCTCTAGCATTTTAGGACCCAAAGGGACCTAAGAGAGTGCTCAGACAGCTGGCTGCGTTAGGAGCTACCTGTGGCTGCTGAAGAAGAGTTTGCGTCAATTTAAAGAAAGAGCCATTCAAGGAATGAGGACCATGACCTTGGCTGCACTGACCAGCTGGGCTCTGGAGACTCAGTGAGGCTGCCCAGCCACCAACAGGCCCTGCACAATAGATCCACGGACCCAGCAGTCAGAGGTGACCCTAGGGGTCACTGGCCCGTGGCTAAGGAGGAGGAGCACAGACCTGCGACCCCCTTTTCCCATGGACCACCCAGGGAGGCTGAGCGGGGACTCTGAGCTCAGATGGACAACCTCAGAGCCACTGGGAATTTGCCTGAGGCCACTGGGGCCAGGGTTAAATCCATATGAAGCAGCGCGGGCTGTGCACCTGCCATTTTCTAGGCTCTGTCACATGCATCTTTCTGCCAAATCTCATGGTGATCCTTCAAGAATAGTACTATTAATCTCCCCATTGACAGAGGGAGAAAGGGAGGCTCAGAGACGTTAAGTGTCTCACCAAAGCTCACACAGCTTCCAAGCAATAGAACTTTACTCAGTACTCAGTACAGGTTAACATTTATTCATTCACTCGATAACCATTTGCAGCACAGCTACCATATGCCAGGCAGTGTTCTAGGCACTTAGAATACATAGATGAGCAAAACAGGCAAAACCTTTCCCTCAGGGCGTTACCATTTGAGTGCCACCATGCCACGGCTGGTACAGTTGCTATTGAGACAAACAAAATAAGACCCAGTTTTTGCCTTTGGGGAGTAGGTAGTCTAGTGGAGGAGGCACATACACAGAAAATTCCAAAGTACTGTGGAAATCTCAGGGTACTTTGATAGGGATTACCAGAGGAGCTGTGAGAATAAAGGCTGGATATCAGGGAAGGCTTCCTGGAAGAGGTGTTGCCTGAAATGAGCCTGGAAGGATCACTTAGGGACAGAAAAGTCATTCCGTGTAGAATTCATGGTGAGTGACAGAGCCTAAACCCAGTCTCTTTTGCATGCTGAGCACTGAGACCCAGACGCTGGTGCTCAGACCTGATGACTTATTTTCCCAGGTACAGCTTGAGCAAAGACACAGAAGCAGAAGGCAGGTTTTTGGTTCCATGAACTCTACATCTGGCTACATACAAATGGTGAAGAGGAACAGGGAGAAACATGGTTGAAAAGAACAGGCTTGGACTTCAGGAAGCAGTAAAATGAGCGAATGCCATTTATGGTTACAAAGATAACTCAGCTGGGGGCCAAACAGAGACTGAAATGGAGTGGGTGAGGATGGAGGCCGGGAGGAGATGGCTGCAGAGGTCCCAGCAATGACAGTGGTTGTGGGAAGGGGCAACCCCAAGTCTTGTGCTCCCAACTGCAAATCCAGTGCTTTTTCTAAAAAAATATTTAAATAATTTATTTATTTTTGAGATGGAGTCTCGCTCTGTCACCCAGGCTGGAGTGCAGTGACACAATGTCGGCTCGTGCAACCTCTGCCCCCCGGGTTCAAGCGATTCTCCTGCCTCAGCCTCCCAAGTAGCTGGGATTACAGACGCACGCCTCCACGCCTGGCTAATTTTTTATATTTTTGGTAGAGATGGGGTTTCACCATGTTGCCCAGGCTGGTCTCGAACTCCTGACTTCAAGTGATCCACCCACCTCGGCCTCCCAAAGTACTAGGATGACAGGCGTGAGCCACTGTGCCCAGCCTTATTTTTTTTTTTAATTTATATTTTCAGAGGCAAACGATCCTTGCTCATTAAAAAAAGGAAATAGAAATTCAAAACAAAAATGCCTGTATCTGATGGGAAAGATGAGCCCAATGTTCTTTTTTAAAAAACCTTTATTATGAAATATTTCAACTGAACATATGCAGTTTATATTGTTATAAAGCATAACAAGCAATCAAACAGCTGTGAACCCACCACTCCATGTCAGAACTAGAACTTCCCAAAGCAGTCGGAGCTGAGGTGAGATCCACTCTGATGCCCTTCCCCAACTCCACGCCACCCCCCAAGACCTGACCACCTGATTACTCTGGGATTTCATTTTTGTCTCGTTCCCTTGCTTTGCTTTATGTCTTTACCAAATGTGAATGTGTGCCTAAACAATACAGTGCTCGATTTGCTTGTGTTTAAGCTTTATTACAAATATAACTTTGATCCTTCTGCTACTTGCAATTCTAAATTTGATATTACGAGTCTCAGCCTCATCGGCGTTGATGCGTGTGACCGACATTGATTCACTCTCACCAGTACGTGGTGTGTTCCGTTGCATGCATGCACCCCTGCTGGGGTATCCATTCTCCTGTTGGTGGACCTTTGGGTGGTATTAGTTGCTGGTCATCTCCATGGTGCTGTCCTCTTGCAGGTCTCCAGGACACATGTGCATGAGTTCCTCTAGGAAACCACGGTGTACAACTGCTGGGTTGCAGGCCCAGGGTTCTTTCCACTTCTCTATCCTCCCAAGTAGGGTCCAGCTGGCCTTAGTGCTGCCATGCTGAGAGCTCTGGGAGGGGCAACCCAGGGCAGACAGGCCCAGGCCAGCCACCCTGCCCCAGGCATTTCCCAGGACTCATCAGGCACCCAGCGGCCCCTCAGCAGTGAGCAATACCAGAAATCTGCCAGCTGGCTACTAACTGGGTCACAAGAGAGTACTGCTGTCTCACTCAGGGTGCGTTCCATTTCCTTCAGCACTTGCGCCAAGTAAGGCTGTGTTCACAGGCCACAAGACCCAAGGGAGATGGAAATCAGCTCACAGATGCTGAGCTGACTGCACACCAGGCAGTGTGCAAAGCACCTTACACATATAACTCACTTAATCCTCATCCCTGACTGCACGAGGTGGGCACTATTATTAACCCCACTTTACAGATAAGAAACTGAGGCGCAGGAAGTTGAAAATTTTGCCCAGACCAACACGTACAACTTCAAATCCAGACAGCCTGGCCGCTCTGCTCCTACTACTCTGCTACCCCATCTCTCAAGAGGGGAAAAGGACTAGCTCCTTGCCCAATCCTGAGGTTGTCAGCATTCTTTTACTGGCAAGGAAAACAAATGGAACTTCAATGAATATATGTAGAAAGAAAGACTTATTAGCTGACAAAAATCAATAGAGAAAAGACAGGTTAGAAGCAGATCTCAGGGCCCACTGGGTCCAGGGAGGCGAAAGCGCCCCTCCTTCTCCGTCTTCCTCCTCCACGTCTCTCTTTGTGCTGTTTTCATTCTTTCCTATTGCAAAAGGGCCTCCTCCCCTGGGCAGGTAGGTGGCTGCCTGCAACTCTCACCTCACCTTCTCACAGATCTGCCTATTTCTATTTTAAAATACAAACAAACCAAAAGCCAGAGAAGGTTCCTGACAGGCCCAGGAAAGGATGTGATTAGCTTAGTCTGGGCCACCTGCCCATTTTTTATGGACTAAATGTTTGTGTGTCTCCAAATTGGTATGTGGAAGCCCTACCCCCAGTGTGACAGTATTAGGAAGTGGGGCCTCTGAAAGGTCATTAGGTTTCAATGAGGTCATGAGGGTGGGGGGATCCATGATGGAATTAGTGCCGTTATAAGAAAAGGAAGAGACACCAGAGTTTTCTCTCCACCATGTGAGGTTACAGCAAGAAGGCAGCTGTCTGCAAGCCTGAAGAGAGCCCTTACCAGGAGCCAAATCTGCCAGCACCCTGATCTTGGACTTCCAGAACTGTGAGAAATAAATTCCTGTTCCTGAAGCCACTCAGTCCGTGGGATTCTATTAGCAGTCGGGACTGACTTGGACACTGTTCCTGGAGCAACGCTAGTGGCCTGGGGAAGCTGGGCCCTGGGACTGGTGCAGGGAGGGCCACAGTCCCAGCCTATAGCAGCTGAAGCTGCATTTGTCCCCAGGAAGAGGACATCACAGACACAACCCCAGAGGCAGTGGGAGGGGGCATGATTGATTGGGAGCAAGGCAACAGTCTAACAGGGCCCATCTGTGCCCAGGAGTGGGAGAAGCTCCTGGCCATGAAGAGAGCCCTCACCAGAGGCCAAACCTACTAGGACCTTGATCTTGGACTTCCAGCCTCCTCCCTGGAAACACGTGACAGCACATATGGGTGGTCTCCCTTCTTGAGCGAGGCCTGAGTCTTCACCCAGGATCCAACTAGACTGAAAAGAACTGTCTCCCTAACAGCACTCCATCAGCATTCAGAGAAAAGAGATTTCCACCTGGTGTTTTTAACCAACACAACCTCCTTCTACACCCTAACCCATAGAGGGCCCTGGGACCAGTATAAGAAGTGTGGGTGTTAAGCTGGGACTGCTAGAAGGAGCAGCAGCCCCATGGGAGCAGGGCAGGAGGGTCCCCTCTTGACCTGCTGACTGCAAACACTGCAGCCGGAGAGACACTCACTCAGGCCACGGTGGGGAGGCCCAGGGGAGGCACGTGTCCTCATTCTGCTAAGGCGATAGGGCTCGGGCACAGGACAGGCGATTTGACATCAGAAAATCCTGCAGGGGCTGGCCTGGCCTCTAGATGCACGTCCTCCCCTTCAGACCCACCCCACACTCACCCAGCCCTGGGCTCCGGCCACTCCATGGAGCCCGTGGCAAAGGCCTGATGTGTCCTCAGTGAATCCAGGTCAGAGAGCGGTCGAGCAGCAACTTGGGGAGCCAAGTGGATGAAAATCTGGACAAGAGAACAAAGCCAACCTGTTGGCCAAGGAAACTCAATCCGATTATACCCCAGAGCCCCCCGTGGCTGGGAGCAGCCGTGTGACAGAGAAGAAAGGGTGCTTTCATGGGCCCGGCCCTGCCTGCTGGCAAATGGGCCCCACGAGTGCCCTGCCCCTTCTCCAGCGGCCCCACGGGATTGTCTGGGTGTGGGGAAGGAACCCCTCCATTGAGTCTCAGAGGAGACAGGATGGGGGAGACCGGCATCAGGATAAGCCTTGGCCAATGAATACCTTCAAAGTTAAGGCTCTGGAGATTTAAAAAAAAAAAAAAAAAAAAAAAGCCTGTGCGCGTTTGTCCTGGAAATTGGCTCATGGACAGATTAAATTTAGGAGTAACTGGGGCAGATATGCAGGGAAGCATGTTTCCTTAATGAGCCTGTCTTTATTTAACTGCTTAATCATTTACTGGGCCAAAAAATCTGGAGGTGACTCCGAAAGTCACGACGGTTAAGACAGTGACGGATTGAGCCCTTGTCAGGCCATTTCAGGGCCTGGCTCTGGTGACATCAATTCCCTGCTCCTGTCCTTGTCACCCCTGATGGGGCAAGGAGGGGCTACACTCACCGCCAGGATAACCCCAGCGTGGGTTATCAGCCATTTGGTTCCAGAACAGTTTTGCTTTGCCATTTCATTGTCCTCAAAGGGAGGCTCCTGGGATGGGCAATGTTGATTTGGGTGAGGCTTCCTCTTCTTGCCCTGACACCTCCTTCCTCCAGCCTCCTTCATTGCCTCTACTTCACTTCTCATTCACTCATTCATTCATTCATTCATTTGTTCAACTGTTTACACTAACATATGCCATGCACTGTGAGAAAGCCCAGGAGACACAGTGTGGCAAAGCCCGACGTAGCGGTTGCCCTCGTGAAGCTGCTTACGGTCCCGTGGGGAAGGCCGATTTTAATCAAGTAATTCCAAATTCGATCTTTACAACTGCAATAAATGCACTGAAGAAAAAGTGAAGAAAACTGGGCCCAGGGTAGAAGGAGGGGGGTGATGCGTAGCCGGAGCAAGGGGCAATTTTAAGGCAGAAAAACAATTCTGTATGGTACCGTAATGATGGGTGTGGAGACAACGCATTTGCCAAAACCCGTAGAACTGTCTAACACAGAGAAGGAAGCCTAAAGTAAACTATGAACTGGAGCTAATAATAGTGTATCAATATGGGTTCACCCATTGTAACAAATGTACCACACCAATGCAAGAGGTTAGCAATGGGGCAGACAACTGGGATAGTGGGCGGAGGGGATATACTGAAAGTTTCTGTATTTTCTGCAAACCTAAAACTGCTCTAAAAAATAAGGTCTACTTTTTTAAAAAGTGAAGAGAGCTATGAGATGATATTAAGGAACTTATCTACACTTGCGGGTCTGCAGAGGTGCTACTCGAAACCAGACTTGGATTGACCTTCATCTGGCCATGGCTGCAGGGTCTGCCTGCAGGTCTCCTTTCCTCTGCAGGGTGTGGGGACCCACTGTTTCGTGAGTGCCTGTCACCTGCAGCTCATCACCGGGCACTGCCCACCTGTTCCATTTGTGATGTGGGGGTGATCTTCTGGGGGTATACTAGAACTAAGATAAGGAAGGCGAGGGGAAGCAAAAGGGTATAGCTCGGAACAACAGAGCCAGCATCAAAACATAATTTCATATTTTTGGAAGACAAAAAAAACCCTTTCATTTCATAATACAAATTGTGGGAAAGTTGGACAAAGTGTTCTTGGCTGGTAAATGTGCATGAAATACTTATCAGTGGGGCGGTATAGAAAGGTGGAGTCTTCCACAAGGAAGGCAGAGATGTCTGTGTTTAGCAAAAGGGACATGGGCTAGAAAAGTTTGGAAACACTGCACCATCTCACGTGAACTCACTGCCACATGGTGAGCAAGATAACAGAGTCTTCGCTTTCCAGAAGGGTCAACCAAGGCTCAAAAAGTTTATGTCACATGCTCATGTCACACAACTAATACATTGCAGGGGCAGAATTGGAACTCCAACTAGACACACAAATGTAATATCCATCACTGCTGACAGGGTCGTGTAGAGGGCTCTAGTGGACATTAGGGGCATTCTTTGGGGGACTTAAATTCATGGACAGAGTGTCAACTGGGGATTGGGTTCTGGGCTCGTCACCCTCTGCCTTGATAGCATGTGTGGGACAATGGCAGGGAGTCCCCCGTGGCAGACAGTCCTTCAGGAGAGAGAGGAACCTGTGATCTTGATGCAGTCTAGACGCTGGGGGCACCAGCCTAGGAAGTAGAGTAAAAGCCTCATTCGTCTGGACATCACTAACGCTGTGGGACACTGTTACCCTGAGCTGGGCTGAGCTGAAGTCCAGGCTGCTCCTAGGTGCTAAGAAAGGGCTATAGAGCAAGTGATAGAATAAGATGGGTGAGAGAACACCTAACCAATTTCAGCTAACTCTGCAAGTGTTTTGGATATTTGCATCTAAAAGAAAACTAGGTGTGATCAGACACAGCGGCTCCCGCCTGTAATCCCAGCACTTTGGGAGGCTGAGGTTGGAGGATGGCTTGAGGCCAGGAGTTCAGTGGGCATGATCACACCACTGCACTCTAGTCTTAGTGACAGAGCAAGCCCCTGTCTCAAAAGTCAATCAATCAATCAGTGTAGGAGCAAATAAAATCATGTAGTGGATGATTTCAAATGCATGTTCCCCTCTTTCTCCAAAAAGCAGATCCAAGGGGACTTCCACTAGGCTATGTGTCATGAGCAGTGTTAGGACATGAAAACAATAAGCATGACAACACAGTGGGACTTGGTGCAGTCCCATTGGGATCTTTGCCATGGTGGACATGTCCCCATCTGCACTGTCCAATAGAGTAGCCACTCTCCAGATGTGGCTACCGAATACCTGTGATGTGGCTACTGTGCAGAAGGAACTGTGCTTAATTTAACTTAATTATCTGCTGAAAGTAAATAGCCACAGGTCTAAACTGGCTACTGCTTCAGACAACACAGACTTAGATGGCTCCCTGAGGTGGTGTGACTTCTCTCCCTGTTTAATTCAAATTCTTCCTCTGAAGGCTGCAGCCTAGCAGCAGCTCACCTCCATGGGATGGCCCACCGTCCCAGAGGCTTGCATGCCTCCTGGATTGGCACAAAAGCCTGGGAGGGAGGCCCATGAGAATACCTGTGGCCCAGAGAAGAAAGGGACTTGCCCCAGGTCTCGCAGCTCTGAGGGGGCAGAATGGGACTCAGAGGTGAGGCCCCTGAGGCCCGTGTTTTCACCTATGCCCTTGTGCTCCAAGCTACCTGGCAGAAGAGGCATTTATTTCTCCAGGTCAGCAAGCAAGACTGGCTGGCTTAGGATGGCCCTTCTGGCTACTGAGAGCTATAAGAAATAAACATTTGCTACCAACAAACAAATATAAATACATACATATGTATATGCACGCGTGTGCGTGTGCGTGTGTGTGCGTGTGTGTGTGTGTATCAAGCACCAGGCCCTGGGGCCACCACACTGCAGAGAATAGTCAGGCTCCCTCCTGCCCCGTCTGGAGCTTCCAGCCCAGTGAGCACACCACAGGCACCCAGCTGCCTGAGCTGTGAGGATGGGGCTTTGGAGACAAGGGGACAAGCCAGGAGTCCTTGAGTCCCTAGTATCTGATTCCCAAAAGGCACTCTGCACTTAAAAAAAAAATGAGAAAAGAAGGAAGAAAATAAATGAGTTTCAACTGACAAATAGGCTTGGGAATCACTGAAAACAATATTTCTCCTCCAGGAGTCTGACAAATGCTCCTTAGCATCTTAAAGAAAGGGACAGGGAGGAGAGAGGCAGTCGGAGGAGTGGACAGAGGCCTGGATTTAGCCTGTGTCACTCCAAGTCCTTGCTCTGTCCCACTTACCAGCTGGGTGACTTTTGGGAGGAGCCTCTCCAAGAGTAAGTCTGTGCATCTGTGAAACAGGAATGACGTGAGTACTACGTCTTTTATACGCCAGGGTGTAGGTCTGCGCCCGGTCTTGGGTGATGCTCAGTGAATTACCAAGTCTCTTTTTCTTTCACCTGGTTGGGAAGTGGAGGGCAAGGAGGGGAGGGGAATAAAGGGAGGTTGAACAATGATTATCTCTCTGGCCAGCCTGGGCAGACCTTGACCATTAGGTAAGGAACGGGGACCTCTAATTAGCAGTCACCTGCCTCCTTGCAGAGCATGCAGTATCCTGGACAGCGGAACTGAGCAAAGCCCATGCACTCGGCCCCAAACCTCCCAGCTCTTCACCTGCCCAGGGTTCTATCCCAGCTTGGTGTCCTTGCCTGCAAGCACAGGGTAGCTTCACAGCGAGACCTGGCCTGCCCTGCAAGTCCACACAACAGGAGCCCACCATGGCCCAAGCCATGCCGGCCACACCAAGTCCTGCAGGAGAATGTGAGCGACCTCCCGGGACCATGAGGCAAGCCGTTAGGAACGAGCATTGACACACCCTCCAGTTTTCTGGCAGAGGCAAAATTAAAATGTAACACCACCTCCCCGAGGCCACCTCTTTGGATGGTAAATCAGGAAACCTGGGCTGAGTTCTAGTTTTACAAACTTTCTGGCTGTGGACACAGTCACCTCCTTTCACATCCTATGTCCTAGGTAAAAGACACTAGGAAAGCAAATTCACCTATCCAAGCTTCCATTTCCTCATCAGAAAAATGAAAGTGAAAGGCCGGGCGCGGTGGCTCACGCCTGTAATCCCAACACTTCGGGAGGCCGAGGCGGGCGGATCACGAGGTCAGGAGATCGAGACCATCCTGGCTAACACGGTGAAACCCCGTCTCTACTAAAAATACAAAAAAATTAGCCAGGCGTGGTGGCAGGTGCCTGTAGTCCCAGCTACTCGGGAGGCTGAAGCAGGAGAATGGCGTGAACCTGGGAGGCAGAGCTTGCAGTGAGCCAGGATCGCGCCACTGCACTCCAGCATGGGCGACAGAGCGAGACTCTGTCAAAAAAAAAAAAAAAAGATGAAAGTGAGGATACCTACCTCTCCTATTTGGGCAGTACTGGACTTACAGTAAGGATCGGCTAGGCTGGTGGTCTTCAAAGTGTGATCCCGGGACCAGCAGCACCAGCATCACTTGGGAACTTGTTAGAAATGCAAATTCCTGGGTCCCACCTCAGACCTGCTGAATCAGTAACTCTGGGGGTGGGACCCAGCAATTTATGCCTTAATGAGACCACCAGGGATTTCTGACACTTGCTGAAGCTTGCCAAGCACTGCATTAAGTGGTAGCTGTCTGGGGGTTGTTGATATTCTCAAAAACCCTGCAAGCTGAGTCTGACTATAGCAAGGCTTGTGGTCAGACAAACAAGGGAGAAGTCCTGTTATCTCCACTTTTCGCCAGTGGCCTCAGGCAAGCTGGTTGGTCTCTCTGAGGCTCAGCTTTCTCATCCTCCAAATGGGAGTAATACTTGACTGACAGATTGCCCTAAAGCACCTCAGCTTATGTAAAGCCCTGATCTGGGCGCCTGGAACATTAGAACTGCTTGCTAACTAGAAGTTACTATTATTGCTGTTGTGGTTATTGTTTTCTTCTTAAACCATCAGGTGCCAGAGGTTTTTGTTTCTTTTTTTTTTTTTTTTTTTTTTTGAGACAAGGTCTTGCTCTGTCACCCAGGCTGGAGTGCAGTGGAGCAATCTCGGCTCACTGCAAGCTCCGCCTTCCAGGTTCACGCCATTCTCCTGCCTCAGCCTCCCGAGTAGCTGGGACTACAGGCACCCGCCACTACGCCCCGCTAATTTTGTTTGTATTTTTAGTAGAGACGTGGTTTCACCGTGTTAGCCAGGATGGTCTCGACTCCTGACTTCGTGATCCGCCTGCCTCGGCCTCCCAAAGTACTGGGATTACAGGCATGAGCGACAGCGCCCAGCGCCAGAGATTTTTGTTTCTAAAAATGGTCAAGTTTCTCTGGCATAAATCTCCGCTCATACTGCCATCATACCCCAAAGAAAGTCCCCAAAAGGACTGGCAAGTAAATTGCCAAAGGGCCCTCTGCTACCCATCATATGGTGGGCTTTCCAAGTTTGAATAAGGCAGAGGATTTCAATTACCCAGGATTACAAAGGAGGGCCTCGGATGCACCATATGGCCCAGGCCTGGCCGCCCATCGTCCTGCATGATCGGAGACTCTCGTGTGAGATATTAACATAATATCCCTTCCAAAAGCGATTACAGAGTTGCAGGCAGCAGAATGTCATTTGGTGGCCGTGGCCCGCTCTCATCAGCAGCGATGACTAAACAAACTAATCAAATCAGCACAAATTTGCACACAAGCCCAGCCGCTGGGCCTGGATATCATTTCGGTGAAGGCATAATTCTGCCTAGGATGACTTGACTAATGGGCTCCCGGTGGGCAGCCAGGCCAGCCTGCAGGGCGAGGGCGGCAGCACCCACAGGCAGCCACAGCCAGGGGCCCGGAAGGTACAGAGGCTGTGGGAGCAAACAGCAAACAGAGGGGGAGGAGAGGCAGGGAAGACACCTGTGCATTCATCACTCCAGTCTCAGTATGGGTGTATGAGCACGCGCGCACGCGCGTGTGTGTGTGTGTGTGTGTGTGTGTGTGTGTGTGTGTGGCCGCCCCATGCACCTCCCCTAGCTTCCTGAGAACACTGGCTCCAGAGCTGCTTTGTTTCAAGCCTCAGTTCTGTATTTTACTGAGTGTCCTTGAGCAAGATACTAAACATCTCTGAGCTCAGTGTCCTCATTCATAAAAATGGGGATAGTGTTTGATCTTAATTATTGAGGCTGCTATGAGGATTCAATAAAATAATATAAATAAAGTCCATCACGCAGTGTCTAATGCAAGGAGTATTCAGTGAATGGCAATTGTTACAACTATTATTACTGTTCAACAGTCTTCACCATGGACCTTCCACGGGTCAGGCCCAGGTCCTGGGAATGTCAAATTAAGGAAGGCCCTGTACTTGCCTCAAGGTGTGCACAATAAAATGGGGTGATGGACCCATAACCAGATAGTCACGCTATCCTGTGGGAAGTGCTGTGGGAGTCGCAGGGGGCTGAGAGCAAAGCGGGGGTGCCTTCACCCTGGGGCCCCAGGAAATGGTACTAGAGAAAGTGAGGCTACAGGTGAGTTCTGGACACTGAGTGGAATTTCCATAGCAGCCTGGCCAGGAAGTGGGAGTCCCGTGAGAGGGCAGACAGGTGCCTGCTGTGAGGGATGGAAACTGGGGGCGTTTACCTTCCTGCTTACACGCCAGCAGGCCATCTGCCGAAAGACTGAGGGCTTCTCAAGTATGAGGCAAGATCAGAACTTGCAGCAATGTCTGAAGAGGCTGGGATAAAGAGGACACATTTCCAGGTGTGTAAATGACAGAGGGTGCAGAGGGAGGCATTGCAGGTCCTCAGGAAGAAAAAGGTAGTAGGGGAGGTGTCCGCTGGCAGCCTGGAGGACTGGCTTCCTGCACGTTTCGGGGCAAACCCCGCCCTGTCTCTACACTCCATTTGCAGAGTGGAGGGCCAGCAGGCTCAATGCCTCCCACCTGCACTGACTTTCCTTCTATTCCACAACATTGCCACAGCCTAGGAAGCCTGCAGCATTCATGACTTAATACTTGTCTCCCAAACAGCAACCTCTTAAAACCTAAATCACTAACCTAAAGGAGGTCTTTATAATGTTACTGTCATTAATGAGCTGGGACCATTTGCCACTGATAGAAGGTAACAGTAGAAGTAAAATGAAAACTGAATGAGGAAGGTTACAGGCTTTAGTTAGAGGCTGGTCCTTCCTAAACACTTGGAGGGTGGGTGAAAGGAGACTGGCAAGTGTTAGGGGACGTGTTAAAGAAACGCCAGCACCCAGGTGAGACCCTTCTCCCTGCGTGATCACAGGCTTGAAGGAGAACTGAAGAGGGACTGCAATCCTCACTGCTTAACATGTTATTTAGAACCAGGCTTATGCACCATCTCCCTGTCCTCGCAGACCCCAAGTAATCACCCCCATCTATTGCCCCCCCTACACACACACTTTGGGAAATGCTGGTCCCAATAATCTGGATAAGCTATAAGCCCTTCGATGCTGTGAATTCAACACTTCGGAATAGGTAGGAGTGACTGGATGTGAACCACCAGGTCACTGCACCTGTCCTCCTCTCTGAGCCCCTCCCTAGTCCTACCCAATGAATGCAGACCTGGTGCCACTCCTAGGAGGTGCTGAGCCCAGCCATGGGGCCCTGGTATGGTTCCATAGATGGCAGTGCTCAGTGTGGTCTCCTCAGATTCTTGCCTGGAGGCATCTCAGGAAGGCCATCCCGCGACCCTCTCATGGTCCTACATCAGGGATATCTGTTTCCATGGCCTCCCTTCACCCACCAGCCCAGCTCAACCCCTACCTGCAACTCTAGCCCTGTGACTTCCTTCACCCCTCACTCCCAAAATGGAGGCGAAGCTCACCAAAGGCCAAGGCTGCCCTGACTACCCAGCTCCAACTGGTTGCCTCATCCGACTCCCCAGCTGCCTCCCTTTTCTCCAAAGACCTGGCTTCAAATTCTACCTCTGCTACTTGCCTGCTGGGATCTTGGACCACTTGCTTCACCTCTCTGAAACTCAGTCTCCTCATCTGCATCTTTGTCTCATCAGCTACAATGTAACTGATCTCATGAGTTTTTATTTTTTGAGAATCAAGTGAAATGATATAGGCAAACTCACTGAAATGCTGCTCAAGGGACTGAACAAATGAATGAGTGAATAATTGAATGAATGAATGAACCTAGGAGGCTTCTAATAGATGAAGAACTGGATGCAAAGTCTAGAGACCAGGGTTCAAGCCCCAGTCCAGAACTTTTCCTTCCTGAGCTTTAGTTTCCCTAACTGCCAGCAAAAAGATTAAATTTAGATGACCACAGAGATTGTTTCCAACTTTAAATGCTAAACTATGATTCAGGGTGTGAGACCAGCAAGCATACTTTTGCGAGCCCTTGCACAAAACCCAAAGCACAGGCTACACCTATAATTTCTCCAAAGCTGGGAGGCATAGGCAGGAAGGTGGCTGGCTGAAGAGTCAAGGCCAGATGAAAAAGCAGTCTCCCTTTTGCAGCAGAGTTGGCAAATGTTTAATAGCACAGGTAAAAATCACAGCCCTGCCATTTCCTAGCTGTGCAATTATCTGAAGAAAGTAATGTGAGTTGCGGGCCTCAGTTTTCCTCATCAGGATAATGGGCATAATTTTACCGTCCTCCCTGGCATGTTATGAGGATGGAAAGACAGTGTTGACTCTTACCACTTGCTCATTCTTGCTTCCTACATGTAGCAAACTCTCAACAAATGGTAATATGCTTACTTTTAACATTTTAAATGACCGTTATCCTGTTATAAGCAACAACCTTCACATTGAATACAACGGTCTAAAACTAAAGGCAGGAAGGGCCCTTTAGTGATGGCAAAGGAGTTTGGAGTTGCTCTGTTCTTCCACATCCTCCCCCCCACCACACACCTGGTCACCTGACGCAGCCAAACCTGCATAGGCCCAGAGGGATGGCAGAGGCGACCCTGCTGAGAGAGGAGCCCGGTCTTAGGGATGGACAGTGGCCCCATCCAGCTCCTGCCCCTTCTCAGTCCAGCTGAGCACACTCTGCCCTGGGGCCCTGGAGGCTGGTGTGGAGACCCCCAGCCCTCACCCTTCACACACTCACATCCCTGACACCTCTCAGGCCCACGTCACAACCTCAATAGACAGAAATTGAACATGCGCAGGCAGATGTGTGTGTTGGTGAGCACACAGCGGGCTGAGAGGTTACCAATATCAGAGGGAAGATGAGACCCTGAGTCTGAATCCTGCTGCCACCAACTCTGCAACCAGTGCAAATGACTCCACCCCTCCGGGCCTCAGTTTCCTCCTCTGTAAATGAGGAATTGTTGTAAGAATGAAGTTAAAAACCATTCAGGGAGCCCAATTAGCACAGAGTCCAGGTCACAGTTCACACTCCATCGATCCCGTCTTTTTAAAAACATTTTTAAGGGATCGCAGGTATATTTCCCTTCCCTACCTCACAGGTGGAAACCTGGGATTAGTAAAGTAGAAATCAGGAAGGAAACGTCAGCTCTTAACAGCTCCCTGGCTTTCTGAGCGAGGAAGCAGTACAACAACTTGTGAAATGGGGTTAAAGCAGGGCCCTTTCACCCTGACTGCAAATTTGAGTCGCCTGGGAAGGTTTGGAAAACCCAGTGCGGGGGCCACATCCCTGGCCAGCTACTTCAGACCCCCTGGGGTGGCAGTGGTGGAGGATTATGTTAGCCTCCCCAGGGACTTTCAGTGTGGAGCCAGGCTTGAGAACCAAAGGTTTAGATCCAAAGGATGAGCTTGGGTTCAGACCAGGCCAGCCCAGGTTGAATCCTGGCTCTATTCCTTATCAGTGTGGTCCTGTACGAGCCACTCAATGCACTCGAGTCTTGGTGCTTTAATTTGTGCAAAAAAAATGGGAATGATATAGAGATTCAGTGAGACATCCGGTGAAAGCGTGAGGCCAGGCATATATTAAGCACTCAATAAATGAGAGCCTCCTACCCTATGGGGCCTTCCAACCAATTTATATGTACAACAGATAGGACATTTAGTGAAGGCAAATGCAGCCGCAAACCATTACAAGACCATTACATTTACCTATGTATTTATTTATTTTTATTTGCTTGTTGATGTTTGTTAAACCCTACTTTGTTGTATTAATAGAAAAAAATGTAAGACTGCCAGGTATGTCTGCATTACAAATATCTATCCTGAAGTTATTCAAAATAGCACCTTTCGCTAGCAGATGTGACTGCCTCTGGTTTGGTTCCCCATTATTGAAAGGGACATCTAGCCGGGCACAGTGGCTCATGCCTGAATCCCAGGACTTTGGGAGTCCAAGGCGGGCAGATCACCAGAGGTTGGGAGTTCGAGACCAGCCTGACCAATATGGAGAAACCACGTCTCTACTAAATATACTAAATTAGTGGGATGTGGTGGCGCACGCCTGTAATCCCAGCTACTTGGGAGGCTGAGGCAAGAGAATTGCTTGAACCCAGGAGGCAGAGGTTGCGGTAAGCCAAGATTGTGCCTTTGCACTCCAGACTAGTCAACAAGAGCAAAACTCCATCTCAAAAAAAAAAAAAAAAAGAAAGAAAGAAAGAAAGGGACATCTCTTTGAGCTATGCAGTGGAGCTGGGTGCTAATGAAGTCAGGCGGGCCTGATCCCCGGTGACAGCTGCTCCTTCCCATGTTCTCAGATGGGCCCTCATGCCCACCAGCCATTTGCTTGGTATTGGGAGGAGCTGCTTTGGGACCCTGCAAACCTGTCCTGGTTACAGAGACAATCACAGCTCACAGGCCACCAGTGCCTGGTGCAGGGTGGCTGGCAGAATGTTCCAGAAAGGACAGTGCATGGAGGAGGACTCAGGAGAGCCAGGTTCCAGGCTTGACACTGGTGAAGCTCACTGGCTATGTGGCTCAAGCAGCTCCTTCTGCCTCTCTGAACCTCAGTGTCCCCTCCTCTCTAAAATGGGGATGGCCAAGACTGCCTGCCTACTCCACCCAGTCCTCATGCGGTTTCAGGGTGAAAAGGGTGGAGGGCACTGGATTTGTTTGCTGTGGCTGCTGTGACAAACTACCACAAACTGGGTAGCTTCAAACAACCATTTCTTATCGAAGCATTCCAGAGACCAGAAGTCCAAAGTCAAAGTGTGGGCGGGGCTGCACTCCCTTTGCAGGCTCCGGGGGAAAATCCTTCCTTCCTCCTCCAGCTTCTGGTGCTTGTTAGCATCCCTTGGCTTGTGGCTGCATCTCTCCAATCCCTGTCTCCAGTCATTATCTCTGCTTCTCCTGTCAGGCTTCTCCTCTCTGCGTGTATTGTAAGGACACTTGTCATTGGATTTAGGGACCACACAGATAATCCAAGATGACTGCATCTCAAGATCCTTAACTTAATTACGTCTGCAAAGACCCCTTTTCCAAATGAGGTCACATCCATGAGTTCCTGAGATCTGGATGTGGGCATATCTTTTTTTCCAGTGGCAGGGAGCAGCGTCAACACTCAGCCCGCTGCAAGCAGCTCATAAGTCATTTTAGTGAACATGAACTGCATCCTGTTGCTAGGGGCAGTAGATTTGAGAGTGCATGCCAGCCTGATGGGTTGGTGATGGTGTCCTGGAGAGTAAGAGCACATGATAAAGGAGCAGCTGGTATCTGCCAGGCAGTGCACTGAGTACTTTGACAATTTATCTCATTTTATCTTCACAGCAAGATACATTTATCTTCCCCTTCCTCAGATGGGGAAACTACCTGAGGCTCAGAAGCACGAAGTGACTTGGCCGAGGTCACTCTCACAGTAAGAAGTGGAGCTGGCATTTGAACCCAGGCAGGCTGTGATTTCACAGGCCATGCTCATAAACACTGCTATCCACTGCCTCCCACAGATACAAGCGGGCCTGAGGTTGGCAGGGAAAGAGGCCACAACTAAGGACCACATGTGGCAGGAGGCCTCGTAGGTCATATCCGTGCGTAGTTACAACAATAATGGTAACTAATGTTAATAATCACAATAATAATCACAGCTAATGATGATGACACTAACATTACATGTGGTGTTGTGATCATGGGATCTTCCTACAGCCAGACACCGTGCTGTGTGCTTTTAGTGTATTATCTCATTTAATCTCACTAGCACTGCGAGGAGGAACCTACTGTTATCCCCATTTACAGGCTGGCCCAAAAATCCATGGACTGTAATATGACAACTCACAAAAACAAAGAACTCACAGGGAGAAGAGAACAGGGTGGAGAAGCCACAAAGCTGGGGCAAATTACTAAAAAGAAATGTGTTTCAGAATGTCCTGGTTTTCAGCTTGGCCCTTGCCCCCTCACTGAGTAAGACTGCAGTACCTTGCTGTCTGCATCTCATTTCCAGAGAGGGCTCAAGGAAGCCCCAAGTCCAGTCTGCCCAGAACCGAGCATGTCATCTCCCCCGCCAAGACGCTCCAACCGCCGCAATCCTTGTCCATCAGGCATCCAGGCCAGAAACTCTGGCTGCCCCCACCTCCCCAATGGTCCCCATCAAGTAGGTAACATCCTGCTGATTTTAACTCCTGTGCAGCCCTCAAATGCACAACTGCCTCCCATTCCTGCACAGTGCCCCAGTTCAGGCCTTCACCACCTTGTTCCTGGGCCACTGCCCAAGTCTCCCCCGACTGCTGTCTGGACTTCTAATACTTTTCCAACTCCCCACTCATTAAATCCATCCCCCTCTCATTAGCTGGTGTGAATTGAGGAAAACTGAGTTCCAGCCATGTCATCCTCATACTCATGACCCTTCCAGGCCTGCAGGACCTAGTTCAAACTCCTTAACTGCATGTACAGTACATGCCATTATCACCTGCCACTTCCTCCCTTTTCATCCTTATCTTCCACCCCTCCTTCAATCATGACTCAGCTCCCCAGCACTGACCTGGTTGTAGCTCCCCATCTACAATGTGCTGTTTGCACCTCAGGGCCTTTGCACAGGCAGGTCTCCCTGAGGAAATGCCATTCCCACCTTCCTGGTCTCTCTGTCCCATTTTCCAGCTTGCATACTCTTTGAGGGCAGGGACTGTGTCTGTCTTGTTCACAGTTTTATCCATAGTCTCAGGATAAAGCCTGGGTCATACATAGGAGGGGATTTTTTTTGTTTTTCTTTTCCTTTTTTTTTTTTTTTTTTTTTGGTTTTTTGTTTTTTTGAGACACAGGCTTAGGCTGTCACCCAGGCTGGAGTAAAGTGGGGTGATCTCGGCTCACTGCAACCTCCGCCTCCCGGGTTCAAGCGATTCTCCTGCCTCAGCTTCCCGAGTAGTTGGGACTACAGGCGTGCACCACCAAGCCCAGCTCATTTTTGTATTTTTAGTAGAGACAAGTTTCACCATGTTGGCCAGGCTGGCCTGGAACTCCTGACCTCAAGTGATCCACCTGCCTCGGCCTCCCAAAGTGCCGGGATTACAGGCAGGGGCCACAGCGCCTGGCCTTTGGGTTTTTTTTTTTAATGTTTTAATTAATTGCCAATATTTCAATGTTGGGTGATTTCATAAAAATTCAAATTCAGGCTTCTCTTGAAGATATTGGGATCTGGCAACCCTGAGCCTGGTCCCTGAATGACAAGAATGGGCTGGGTTGGAGTAGCTGCTGCCGCTTCCACCAGGTCACTGGCTGTCCAGTCCTCACTGGCCCACCCAGCCCACTTCGTTCATCTTTGTCACCTGCCTGGCCCTTCTGGTGTTTGAATTTTCAGGTGTCGGGCACATCGAATTTAGCTATGAAATCCTTCACTTATGCACATACTTATTTGGTCTCCGATATGTGGCATGCCACATATCGGAGGCCAAATAAGCTGACACTTACATCAGATTAAACCTGCTTTTCTTAGCAAAGAGAGAAACAAGATCAGTCACAAAGAGTCATTTATGCCCACGAGATTTTAAAAAGCACAAGCTGTCCAAAGTCAGCGCAGGCATCCTCATAATGAGGACAGAGGGACGGGTCCTCCAAAGCAGCGCTTCTCCAACTTTAATGTGTGCAGGAGTCACCTGCGGCGTCTGCTAAACTGCAGGTTCACATGCAGTGGGTCTGGGACAGGGTGTGAGACCATGTTTCTAACCATCTCCCAGGTGAGGACAATACTGCTGGTCCCTGGACACACTTTCAGTAGCAAGGCTCTGTGACATCCCTGCAACAAACTAGAGGGTCCTAACCCCCGGATACCTCGGCCATCTCCTGGAGGCAGTGCCACCACCCCTCCTGCCTGGACAGAATGTGTTGTAGGTCATTCAGGTATTCTTGGAATCCACCTCTGGTGTCACCACTGGTGCTGAAGGTAGGAAGCCCTGTGCTTGGAATTCCCAGCTGCTTCACTGTGGTCCAGGACAGGGAAGCATGGGAAGCAAGGGACACACAGCAAGTGGAGTGGGGTGACGGTGGGGGTGAGGGTGGGGGTGATGAGTAGGGTGGGATGAGGTTGGGTGGGGCGAGAGTGGTGTGAGGATGGGTGGGGTGGCAGGGCCCAGCAATTTATGCCTCTACAGGTGCCCTTCCCATTCCCCACTCCCTACCACCCTTGAGTCCCAAAGTGGGTTGTCTCACGGGGTCTGAGATGCTCCCAGAGGGACCAGAAGACCTGGGATCGAATCAACCTTAGTCACAAACCCCAAATTGCAAGTGTGTCGTTTTGAGCAGCCTTCACAGGCAAGCTCATGTTCCCGGCCTGCATATTATTTTTCCAGGCGGCGGGAGGGAAACCCTTTGCCCTCCCACATCACGGATCTCAGAGGAAGCAGAAAGAAATTGACACAGGCAGAATGGGTCTCAGGGGCTTCTCACCCTGAGCCTGTAAACAGGAAGTGCAGCTATACTCTCAGGAACACCCTGGTGTTTGCCGGTTTGTTTTGCAGCCTTTGGGCCCATTCAGATAAACAGAGGAGAGGATTGCCAGAAACTCACTGAGCCCTTCATGGCACTCCCTATCTCGGCAAGGTTTGGTGATACCAAGGCTGCTGGCCAAAGATTTGCATGGGGGGAGGGACGGGGCCCGTGCTATTGGCTGCAGGGAGGGTCCCACCTTCCCCAAAGTCCCCTTCTGCCATGCCCTGAAAGAAATATTTCTCGGGGCCATCAAGGGTGGAGAAGCCAACCTGTCCCTGGTGGCTGCAGCTGGCATAAAGCCGGCTGCAGCAGCGGGCAGGAGGAAACAGGAGATGGGGTGCCAGGCCCATATCAGGCTGCCTGCTCTTGGCTTTCATTATTGTCCTATGTTTTCAAAGTACCAGCTCCGGAGGGGGCAGGAGAGGGTAGAGTTTTGAGACTTGTTCGGCCTAGGTATACATAAACAGCAGCAGACAAAATGTCCTTTATCAGCTATTTCCCAGGAAACAGGGAGAAAATTCTTCTCAGCTCCAGATGATTAAAGAAGAGACTCACCCTTCTGGGAGACAGCCCTCTCTTTTTCCCTCTCCCCTTTGCGGAACACTAAGGCACTGTTCCGGATACCCACCAGGAGGGTCCCTGTTGGAGAGGAGGCAGCCACAGGGCTGGAGGAGGAGGTCAGCTGCTAAGGGGACCAGTTCACTGCCAGCCGGGGCACAGAAATTCTTTCCCAGGAAAGGGGATGTTACGTAGCCTGCTGGGTAAACTGGAAATTATTAACCAGGGGATGAGTAGAATCAAAAGGTTTTGAAAACTGGTTATTGGCTCTACTGGGAGTTGCAAGCATGCTAGGGAAAAAAATATCACAAACCTATTTGGAATTTTTTTTCCCCCTGAACCAGGAAGAGGCGTTTGTAATAATTCTGTCAAGTGAAGCTCTCCAGTGTTCTTTCCTGCTGGTATGTCAACGGTGGTTTTGTTATTTCTTCACACAGATGGCCAAGGAAACAATGTATTTTTCTTTTCTTTCTTCCTGGTTTTTCCCCCCGCAAAAGAATTTGAGTCTTTCTAAGCTGGCCATTTCTTATTTTTTTCCTATTTCTGATTTAGATAAAATGGTGACTTCAAAGGGCCTTTGAGACCACTTACATCACAGTAGAGTTTGAGGTTCCCTCTCATCATAAAAATAAAATAGGTGCCACCTCCCACCATGGTCAGTGAGTGTCTGGATCTGCGTGGGTGCCTCACAGCAGGGCTTCTCCAAGGCATGATGTGTGTGCAGACCACTTAGGGATCATTAGAAGAGCCTGACTCAGCAGTTCAGGGCCCTCGGTGTCGGCATTTCTGACCACTCCCATGGGGTGCCCATGCTGCTGGTTTCTGGACCACTCATTGAGAAGGAGGGCTTCTTCCCCCAATCTCATCTAATCAACCCTCATCTCTAGTTGGCAGGATTGAATTTATTTAAAGAAGCTGAGGGATTTCCCCTTTGAAAGAGAGGCAGACAGGCCTTAAGCAATCTTTTTTTTAATTTTTATTTTTTATGAGATGGAGTTTTGCTCTTACTGCCCAGGCTGGAGTGCAATGGTGCAATCTCGGCTCACTGCAACCTCTGCATCCCGGGTTCAAGAGATTGTCCTGCCTCAGCCTCCAGAGTAGCTGGGATTGCAGGCATGTGCCACCACGCCTGGCTAATTTTTGTATTTTTAGTGGAGACAGGGTTTCACCATGTTGGCCAGGCTGGTCTCAAATTCCTGACCTCAAGTGATCCACCCACCTCGGCCTCCCAAAGTGCTGGGATTACAGGTGTGAGCCACCGTGCCTGGCCGGCCTAAGCAACATTGAATCTGCCTTTGGAACAGGCGGTGCTGACATGGCACAGTGAGCAGATGTAAGTAAGATACCTGTGGGTACAACACGCCCGGGCTCGAGACATCCTCCCTGAGCTGCGAAAGAGGGGCATATAGACTTTGGGTTTTGGAGGCAGAAAGGTAAAAGTTCAAATCCCAGCTCTCCTACTTACTAGCTGGATGGCCCTGGGTAAGTCATGTCACCTCTGTGAGCCTTAGTAAATGGGGCTGTAAAATGGGGGTAAACTCTACCCCCGAGGGTTATGGTAAAGAGCAAATGAGAAAACACACATAGAGCACCTTGCATCTGCCCAGCGCCTCATATCTGCACAATAAATGGTAACTTTTCATTTACCCAGCAAAGTCAATGAATACCTACTAATTTCCTGGTCTGTTCTCCACACTAGACATATAAAGGGAAAAAACAGATATGGTGGTCAGAATAATGCGCCCCAAAGATGTCCATGTCTTAATCCCTGGAATTAGTGAATATGTAATCTTACATGGCAAAAGGGATTGTGAGATGCGATTAAGGCTAAGGACCTTGGAATAGGGAGATTATTCTGGATTATGCAAGTGGGTCCAATGTAATCATGTGGGGATGAAGGCAAAGAAACTTTCCCGGCTATGGTCAGAGAGAGATGCAATGGCTTGGAGGACGGAGCAAAAAGCCACGAGCCAAGAAATGTAGGCAGCCTCTAGAAGCTGAAAAAAGAAAAAAAAAAAAAGATTCTTCCCTAGAAGCTTCCAGAAAGGAATGCAACTTACACCTGTGTTGCACTTCCAACCTACACAACTATAAGATAATATATCTGTATTGTTTTGGCTGGGGGCGCGGTGGCGCATGCCTGTAATCCCAGCACTTTGGGAGGCTGAGGCAGGTGGATCACCTTAGGTCGGGAGTTTGAGACCAGACTGACCAACATAGAGAAACCCCGTCTCTACTAAAAATACAATTAGCCAGGCATGATGGGGCATGCCTGTAATCCCAGCTACTCAAGAGGCTGAGGTAGGAGAATCGCTTGAACCCAGGAGGTAGAGAGCTTGCAGTGAGCTGAGATTTCGCCATTGCACTCCAGCCTGAGCAACAGGAGTGAAACTCCACTTCAAAAAAAAAAATTATGTGTGTATATATATATATATATGTATGTATTGTTTCAAGCCACAAAATTTGCATTACTTTGTTACAGCAGCAACAGAAAACATCCAACTGACACGATTTCTGCTCTCACAAAACTCACACATCTGATGTGGATAGATGAACTAATTGGGTAAATGAATAAGTGAGCAAGGAAAGATGGAGTTACACACCATGAACACATGCAGTGATGTGACGGGAAATGAGTTTTGGGGACTGGGTGCCCAAAAGTCCTCTCTGAGGAGCTGGTGTTTCTGCCAAACCTCAGTAACAAGCAAGACCAAGGCAGGAAAAAAACAGACCCATGCAGAGGGCTCGGCAAGTACAGGGTCAGTAGTAGGAACAAGCTGGGTGTATTTTCCCATGGAACAGTGGCCAGTGACGGGGGAGTGGCATGTGAAGTTGGAAAGGCCTGTAATGGGCCAGACCAGGAAGGAGCTGGATTCTAAGTGTGATTTCTATTCTTCTGGTGTATCACCGAGCACATGCTGTATGTCAGAGAGAGTCACCGAGACCTAGCAGAGCAGCAGAGACGTGGCATATTGGCTTGCCTGAGTGCTTTGCCATAACAAAGCGCCCTAGACTGGGTGGCTTAAACAACAGAAATGTATTGGGGTTTTTATCCCAATACATTTTATTCCAAATGTAATATCAAGGTATCCGCAGTGTTGGTTTCTCCTGAGGCTTCGCTTTGGCTTGTAGATAGATGGCTGTCTTCTTCCGGTGTCTTTATGTGCTCTTCCTTCTGTGCGTGTCTGTGTCCCATCTCCTCTTCTTATAAAGACATCACTCACGACTGGGTGTCGTGGCTCACGCCTATAATCACAACATGTTGAGAGGCCAAGGTGGGATAATTGCTTGAGCCCAGCAGTTCAAGACCAGCATGGGCAACATAGAGAGACCTCATCCCTATAAAAAATAAAAAATAAAAAGTAGCCGGGTGTGGTGGCATGCACCTGTAGTCCCAGCTACTCCAGAGGCTGAGGTGGGAGGATTACTTGAGCCTGGGAAGTGGAGGCTGCAGTCAGCCATGATTACCGCCACTGCACTCCAGCCTGGGTGACAGAGTGCGACCCTGTCTCAAAAAAAAAAAAAAAAGACATCAGTTATATTGCTCATTAGGGCTCACCCATATGACCCCATTTTACCTTAATCACCTCGATAAAGTCCCTGTCTCCAAACACAGTCCCATTCTGAGACACTAGGGGTTGGGTCTTGAACATGTGAATCTGGGGGAGATACAATTCAGCCCTTAACGTCTGGAAGTGTTGGTTCCTAATGATGGTGGGGATTGCACGGCCAAGACCCGTCTTTAGAAAACTGTGTTTGAAGGAGTCCCCCTTCACGAACCACTTGACTGGGGTGGAGGAGGCCTCCCAGAGGGCAGAGATTTGGATGTTCTTTTGAGAAGATGGTGCTTGGTTAAGCACAGAACCGAGCAACAAGAAGCCTGGGGGTGTGCCAGTCTGGGGCAGAATGTAATTGTTCTACAGAGGGAGGGAGAGAGGAGACACCAAGGTTGCGTGATGCCATGCCCAGGACTGCTCAGTGGAAAGGAGAAATGAGAATCAGCAGCATGGCTAACGGTAAGGTTTTTTTTTTTTTTTTTTTTTTGAGACGGAGTCTCGCTCTGTTGTCCAGGCTGGAGTGCAGTGGTGCGAACTCAGCTCACTGCAAGCTCCGCCTCCCGGGTTCACGCCATTCTCCTGGTTCAACCTCCTGAGTAGCTGGGACTACAGGCGCCCACCACCGTGCCCGGCTAATTTTTTGTTTTTAGTAGAGACGGGGTTTCACCATGTTAGCCAGGATGGTCTCGATCTCCTGACCTCGTGATCCGCCTGCCTCGGCCTCCCAAAGTGTTGGGATTACAGGCGTGAGCCACCACGCCCGGCTGGCTAACGGTAATCTTTAAGCAACTTACTGTGCTATAAGAGCTTCTCTTCTTGCTTCCCCATGAGACCATCAGTAAATTCCACATTCTGTGAGCAAACTATTTGGAAAAGCTCAAAGGAGAAGATGGGGAGATCCCGATGTACAGTTTACATTTACAATGCTGTACACAATATAGAATATGGACATATCGTGTCCAGAGTTGGCTCCTGCCGGTGGGTTGGTGGTCTCACTGACTTCAAGAATGAAGCCACGGACCTTCGCGATGAGTGTTACAGCTCTTAAAGGTGGCACAGACCCAAACAGTGAGCAGCAGCAAGATTTATTGTGAAAAGCGAAAGAACAAGGATTCCACAATGTGGAAGGTGACCCGAACAGATTGCCACTGCTGGCTGGGGGGTGGCCAGCTTTTATTCTGCTATTTGTCCCCTCCCTTGTTCTGTTTCTGTCCTATCAGAATGCCTTTTTTTCAATCCTCCCTGCAATTGGCTACTTTTAGGATCCTGCTGATCAGTGCATTTTACAAAGAACTGATTGGTGCATTTTACAATCCTCTTGCTAGCTACAGAGCGCTGATTGGTGCGTTTTTACAGAGTGCTGATTGGTGCATTTTACAATCCCCTTGCTAGCTACAGAGCGCTGATTGTTGCATTTTACAATCCTAGCTTCAGAGTGTTGATTGGTGCATTTTACAATCCTCTTGTAAGACACAAAAGTTCTCCAAGTCCCCACTCGACCCAGAAAGTCTAGCTGGCTTCACCTCTCAATATTATGTAGGACCTCCTAACATTTGTATAGTGTATGACAGTGGGTTTCAAACTTTTAATAACAGAACATTTGGTCCATATTAAATTTTATGCCAACCTAAGTAGAGCAGCTGCCCGTCTTCCCCCATCAAGACTTTTCTGAATTTACTGAGGCTTCAAAGGCACAGTTTCAAAAGACTGGAGCACTGAATACTTCTATAATTTTCTAAGCAGTAAAGGGACCCTGGATGAGAGTGGGATGGGACCTCTCCAGAATCGCTCCTGATACCACTTCAAACACTGTGTCCAATCCCCAAACTGTCCCCACTAGAAGAGCAGGGGACACATGCACTTTGAAAACGATCAATATATTGTGGTTTTAAATAAAAACCCGGCTGGACGCAGTGGCTCATGCCTGTAATCCCAGCACTTTGGGAGGCCGAGGCGGGCGGATCGCCTGAGGTCAGGAGTTTGAGACCAGCCAGGCCAACATGGCAAAACTCCGTCTCTACTAAAAATACAAAAATTAGCTGGGCATTGTGCATGCCTGCAGTCCCAGCAACTCGGGAGGCTGAAGCAGGAGAATCGCTTGAACCTGGGAGGCAGAGGTTGCAGTGAGCCAAGACTGTGCCAATGCACTCCAGTCTGGGTGACAGAGTGAGACTCCATCTCAAAAAAAAAAAAAAAAGGAAAAGAAAAAGAAAAGTATATAGTGATTAAATAAAAATCCTGTCACAAAGAGGATTGGGGAATGTCCATTGTCCTCAAGCTTGAGTGAGGTTGAGACATGGTATGTCCCTATGGCAGGGAGCCTGAATCCTGCCTGGCTCTAGCATCTGCTGTCATCTTGAAGTTCAATTGAATAAGAATACTGCAACTTCTGGGCTATTTTTCCAAAAGTTGGAAAATGTTGGCATTACTGAATCCACCCTGGCTAAAGTTAAGAAAAACTGTGTCCCAGCTTGCTGGGCCCAGTCACCTGGGCTCTCTGGCTAATGGTGCCAAATCCACGGTGTAATCTAGCCCTTTGTGAGAATTTAGAGTGACTGTCTCACAAAGTGCTTTTCACGGTTCATCTGCTTAGCGAGGATCTAGCTATTAGCTATTCACCCCTTGCTAGAAATATAGAATATGACATTCAGTATAAAATCCATGACAAAGAAGAAAGGCCCATGTCCCTTGCTAGAACAAAATGATTTAATCCACCAAAATTTCTTTCAGGGAATGCACTTGAGGAGTTAGAACAAATATTTGGGGAGCAAGTGGGTAGGGCTATGGATGGCGAGGGCTGCTACTATACAACCTAAGAATACACTGTCTCCTGAAGTTATGCAACTCGTGGGTACTGGGAGACCCCGATGGCATACATTGATAACAAGTGTGGCTCCTATGTTGCCTTCTGGCAAGGTCAGCCCTGTTTCCTAGAGGGCCCAGTTTTGGAGAAGCCCCAGTAATTTACTTAAATAAAAACCCACCTGGGCACAGTGGCTCATGCCTGTAATCCCAGCACTTTGGGAGGCTGAGGTGGGCAGATCGCCTGAGGTCAGGAGTTTGAGACCAGCCTGGCCAACATGGCGAAACTCCATCTCTACTAAAAATACAAAAATTAGCTGGTCGTGGTGGTGCATGCCTGCAGTCTCAGTAACTCGGGAGGTACTGGGAGACCAATTATTGTACTGATCATTATCAGTACAATATCAAATCAGTATCCGTACCTTGTAGGGAGCAGTATTTCTTTGCACAACTCAAGGGAAGAAGGGCAGATAGAAGAACACTACTTGGTGGTTGCATGAGATTCTTTAAGATTTTGATGTGAACTGTAGGATCAGACCCCACCCTGTGATCACAGAGATCTTCTGAAAAATCTACAGGTCTACAGGAATGCATCTTTTTTTGTTTTTGTTTGTTTGTTTTTTGGTTTGTTTTTTGGTGAGTAGCAACAAGGAGGCTGAGTTCCAAGTCCAGACCGAACCTGCATCAGGGAGGAGGGACATCTGGTTTACATCAGTGATGACTCTTTTTCATTCATTTATTGAGCACCTACTGTATACAGGCAGTGATGGAGGAACAGGGAGCATACCTATTCTAAATAGATAAGTCCACATTGTTGTGTGTGATAAAATACACATAACTTAAAAGTTACCATCTTAACTACTTTTAAGTGTACAGTTCAGTGGCATTAAATACATTCATATTGTTGTGCAGCCATCCCCGTTGTTCATCTCCAGAACTTTCTCATCTTGCAAAACTGAAACTCTACCCATTAAACAAAAACTCCCCCTTGCTCTCCACCCTCGCAACCACCATTCTGTTTCCTGTCTCCTTGAATTTGACTGCTCTAGGAACCTCATTTAAGTGGAATCATACAATCTTTGTCCTTTTGTGTCTGGCTGATTTCACTTAACATAATGTCCTCAAGGTTCATCCATGTTGGAGGAACACAGATCTGAACATGGATCTGAACATGGATGATCAGAATTTCCTTGCTTTTAAAGGCTGAATAAAATTCCCTTGAATGGATAGACCCCATTTCATTTATCCATTCATCTGTCTATGGATACTTGGTTTGTTTCTACCTGTTGGTTGTTGTGAATAATGCTGCCGTGATCATGGATGTATACAGATTATCTCTTCAAGACCCTGCTTTCAATTCTTTTGTCTATAAACTCGAAGTGCAATTGCTGAATCACATGGTAATTCTGTTTAAATTGTTGAAGAATGGCAAGATTATTTTCCACAGTGGCTGTACCATTTTACATTCCCACCAATAGTGCACGTGGGTTCCAATCTCTCCACATCCTTTTTATATTTATTTATGTATTCATTTATTTATTTATTATTTTTGAGACAGAGTTTCGCTCTGTCACCCAGGCTGGAGTGCAGTGGCATGATCTCAGCTCACTGCAAGCTCCACCTCCCAGGTTCACACCATGCTCCTGCCTCAGCCTCCTGAGTAGCTGGGACTACAGGCACCCGCCACCACGCCTGGCTAATTTTCTTTTTTTTTTTTTTTTTTTTTTTTTTTTTGTATTTTTAGTAGAGACAGGGTTTCACCATGTTAGCCAGGATGGTCTCCATCTCCTGACCTCGTGATCTGCCCGTCTCAGCCTCCCAAAATGCTGGGATTACAGACATGAGCCACCACGCCTGGCTCTCCACATCCTTTTTAATGCTTTTTAAACAATAGTAGCCATCCTAATGGACAGAGTTTTGATTTGCCTTGCTCTAATGATTAATGATGTTAAGCATCTTTTCCTGTGCTTATTGGCCATTTGTGTATCTTTTCTGGAGAATTGTCTATTCAAGGCCTTTGCCCATTTGTAATTGGGTTGTTTGAGGGTTTTTGTTGTTGTTGAGTTGACAAGTTTGAATTTTTGAGTCCTTGTAAGACCTACTTAATTTTTCTGGCCTTTGACTACCAAGATCCTAAGACAAGCCCCATTGACAAAATAAATAATCGATGACAATGACTTCCACACGTCACAAAATGCGTAGTATTTCTAAATCTTCCAGACTTATCATGCTTAGACCCTGTTCGGAACAACTTTCCGCTTCTGAGAAGAAACTGGGAATATCTAAGGCCCAAGCATACGGCTTATATTCCTCTCATCTAAACAGTTCTCATCTGGGTAGCTTTCATTTAGCCTTCATTTTGCAGAGGGTGGAAATACCCTTCA
Source organism: Homo sapiens (assembly GCF_000001405.40). Classification (NCBI taxonomy): domain Eukaryota; kingdom Metazoa; phylum Chordata; class Mammalia; order Primates; family Hominidae; genus Homo; species Homo sapiens. Next base: position 173,680,880 of record NC_000005.10, on the reverse strand, counting down.
CCCAGTTCCAAAACTGCAGCTGCTGATGTGTGAAAAAACCCCCAGAGTCACATGTCCCACAGGCAGCTGCCCTTTGACTTGAGTGTTTCTATGCAGAAACACTTTTCCTTGAAAACAAGGGAGATTGCATGATAAGTATTGAGAAAAATTTCTCTCTCCTGGTACCCCAAAGCAAAATTGAATTGGTGCAGGATTTAGGTTGTTTATTCTTAAGAATATGTTTTTTCTCACTCTAATACTTGCAAATTGGAGTCTACAGGGCAGTTATACAATAGTATACCTAAATGTGTGGTTTTTTAGCTCCAAGACATTGGTATGGTCCTTTGCACAAGGCCTGCACACTGTCTTCTGACCTGTATGCACAGCATATTGTAGAATGCATGTTGTGTTGTGTACTGTGCATTGCATTAAACAGCTGATCATCAGGGCCACAGTGTGCCAGTCATGTTGCTAAGCATTTCACATGTATTGTAAATAGTAACCAGGAAGAATCAAGAGCAGGAATCCCAACTCTGACCACTACTAGCCTTGAGATACTACCAAGCTACTGAAGTCTCAGTTTCTTTATCTGAAAAATGAAAATAATATTGAGAGGTGAAGCCAGCTGGACTTCTGGGTTGGGTGGGGACTTGAAGAACTTTTCTGTCTTACAAGAGGTTTGTAAAATGTGCCAATCAGTGCTCTGTAAAAACGCACCAATCAGGGCTCTGTGGCTAGCTAGAGGTTTGTAAAATGAGCCAATCAGCACTCTGTAAAAATGCACCAATCGGCGCTCTGTGGCTAGCTAGAGGTTTGTAAAATGGGCCAATCAGCACACTGTAAGATGGACCAATCAGTGCTCTGTAAAATGGACCAATCAGCACTCTGTAAAATGGACCAATCAGCAGGACATGGGCGGGGACAAATAAGAGAATAAATGCTGGCCACCGCAGCAGTGGCAACCCGTTGGGGTCCCTTTCCACTCTGTGAAAACTTTGTTCTTTCACTCTTCATAGTAAATTTGCTGCTGCTCACTCTTTCGGTCTTCACCACTCTTAAGAGCTGTAACACTCACCACGAGGGTCCGCGGCTTCATTCTTGTAAGTCAGTGAGACCATGAACCCACTGGAAGGAACAAACTTTGGACACAATATTATCATGTTTCATCTATTCTAAGATGCGTAATTTTTCACATTTTAGCAGATCTGGAACCACAGCATGTCACACAATCAACAGTTTTAGATTTAATAAAAAATAGTATAAACTGTTCAAGATGTTGTTATGAAAATTAAAGGAGATCCCACGTATAAAATGCGGAGCACTGGCTCTGAGGCATGGTAGTCCTGAAATGCGTATTAGCAGATACAACTTAATCTGTGTCTTCCCACTCCAGACACCCCCATAGCCGTCGAATGGACATCTCAACCTGCCCCAAGCAGGACCCTGATTTCTGTGCCCCACTCCTACCCTTGCCCAGTTTTTTCCTTCCTCGTGTACAGCTCTACCTTACACCAGCTGCTCCAGGCCAAATATCTAGGAGTCCTCTCTGAGTCCTCTTTCCTCGTTCTGAGATAAAATTCATCCCAAACCCTGTCAGCACCGTCTTCAAAATCTATCCAGAACCTGACCGTTTCTCACCACCCCCTCGACTGCCAGAGTCACCATCACCTGTTACCTTTTCATGACATCAGTCTCTTCACTCAGCTCCTGTGAATGCCGCTTCCCTCCTGGCTGTGCCCCTCCCTTCTCAGATACTCCATCCACACAGCAGGCAGAAGGATTCTTTAAAACCCAAGTCCCTCACCTCCTCAGAGCCCTCTCATAGCCTCTATCCCACTGACAACACCATCCTCGTCTCCCCACCTGCAGAGTGCTGCATGACCTGGTGTCATGAATTGAATTGTGTCCCACCAAAGTCATATGTTGAGGCCTTACTCCCAAGATGACTGTATTTGGAGATGGGGTCTTTAAGTAGATAATTAAGGTTAAGTGAGGTCATGAGGTGGGTCCCTAATCTGATGGGATTGGTGTTCTTTTAAGAAGAGGTGGCTGGACGTGGTGACTCACACCTGTAATTCCAGCACTTTGGGAGGCCAAGGCAGGAGGATCACTTGAGGCCTGGATTTCAAGACCAGCCTGGGAAAGATAGCAAGACCTGGTCTTTACAAAAAAAAAAAAATTAAATTATAAATTAAAAAGAAGAAGAAATAGCAAAGCACTCTCCTCCTGCTTATACAGAGGAAAAGCCGTATGGGAACACAGCTAGAAGGTGGCTGTCTGTAAGCTGAGGAGAGAGACCTCACCAGAAACCAACCCCACCAGCACCTTGATCTTGGATTTCAAGTCTGCAGAGCTGTGAGAAAACAAGTATCTGTTGTTAAAGCCATGCAGTCTGCAGTAGTCTGTTATGGCAGCCTGTACTGACCAATACATGGCCCCTCCTGACCTCACCTGCCCTTCCCAAGACTCTTTTCCTCTGGCAACGTGTTCCTCTGAACACACACTTACACACTGGTCTCATTGCTGTTTCCTGAAGCTGCTAAGCTCATTCCTGCCTTACAGCATTTGTGATTGCTGTTCCCTCTGCCTGGAATGTTCTTCTGTCTTGTTTTTGCTGAGCTCACTTCCTCACCACCTTCAGGTTTCTACCTGGTGTCACCTAAGAAGGCATCTCAATTCATCCTAAGTAAGACTTTCCTTTCTGGATCACCTTGCACCCCCAATCTTGTTTTATTTTTCTCCACAACACTGATGTAATAATATGTACTCATTTGTTTATTGTCTCTCTCTCTGTGACCAGAATAAAACCTCCTCCCAGAATAAAAGCTCCAAGATGATCAGTCTCAGATCTCTCCTTGAGAAGATCAGAGACTGATCATCTTGCTCCCTGCTGTATCTCAGCACCCAAACGATGCCTGGCACATAATAGGATTGCAACATATATATGTTGAATGACTAAGTGAATGAATTAGTATGTATCATGCTTGCTTTGTAGACATATGAGTATATGTATGTATGTATACATATATGTAACATGTGTATGTATTTACACACATATATTCATCTATATATTTGTATCTATATCAACACCTGCACCTGCCTATAAAGCAGGACATGTTCATTTGTAAAGAGGATACAGACCAAGATTTTATTTCTGATTCTATATGGATGGAGGAATTCTAGTGGCAAAATGATGTTGTGTTTGAAAACCAAAAGCCCAAGGTCACACAGCTTCCGGTCCATCAGAGGCCAATTTCCTTATCACACTAGATTGGCTCTTGAAAATCTCACTATAAATTATGAGGAAGAAAGAAATTCAAACCAAAGAATAGTAGAGCTAAAGGGTTATTTGAGATTCTCTAGTTCAGTCAACAAAAAGTGTGCTAATCCTCTCCCATCTCACACCCTTGGCAGACATCACTAATGGATTATGGCACTTTCCACCATTGAACTTCTGAGTCGTCTTTAGCATAATGCCTCAGGCTGACTTAGCTGCTCAAATGAAGTGATTTGTCATCCCAAATCTAACCCACCCCAATCAGTTTTTGGATTGACAGTCTGAGGCCCAGAGAGGAGCATTCATTTGTCCCAAATTGCACAGCATGCCAGAACCAAGACCTGGGTCACCCAAAGCTGACCTGGCTTGTGTTCCTATGGTGCAACATTAAGCTGGAAGGGAACTTAGAGGTCATGTTCAATATAAAATCACATAGAAGGTTATTATTTCTAAATGATCTTTCATTACTTCTGATTACTTCTAAAAATTTTAATCACTTGCTGCCAAAAGTTAACTTACCAGTAAAATGAGCTACAGGAATCAGACCAATTCTGGCTACCAGCAAGATGCTAAATAGAACCAATTGTAGTCAAGAGACCAAGAAGAAATTCCTGCCTTTTGAGATCAAGGAAAGCAAAAGACAGTTCAGCAAAAATAGAGAGTGAGAACCTTGAATGGTGAAAAGTGAGGACGGATCAACACGTTTTTCAAACCCGTGCAGGCTGCAGAAGACACTATTGCCTTCCTCCCAAGAGCCATCCTCCACTTTTATCTCTGCTAACAGAAACCTAGTCATATTCTGATCTCCACTCCTCAGGCAAGGTAACTATTCCTAGCTCAAGACTAAATCCCAGTTGTCCAAGCCGAACATGCAATCTCATTCCCCCTGACAACGATGAATACAAAACTGCATGTGATCTGATTTTGACCACAGTCCTGCTAAAGGACTCTGGGAAAAACTGCTCACTCTTAAAATGAGAAACACAAAAATGCCAGTCTCTTTTTGCCTTTGAACATTAGTACATTTGAGTGTGATGACTGGGCTATGGCAACCATCCTGGCACCATGAGGAGAACAACTTGAGGCAGGACTGACAGGCCCAGGACCCCAGAAAGGAAGGACAGTAGAAGAAACCTGGATGCTTGGAAATGTGGAGAACCCCAGGAGACACCCTGCCTTGGGTCATAGATCTTTCTTCTTCTTTAAACCATTTGGCATTGGGGTTTCTCTTACCTGCTACCTAAAGCATACCAACTGGTACATGAGATACCTCCCATTGCTTCCTAGAGACTGAAACAGGCTTAGTCAAAGCTCCAGGCCTTTCCCAACTCCCAGACATTGCACCCTCACTTTCCCAGTTGTCTAAGGACAGAACAGACCCTTATATCTGAGGGCACCTGGGGAAGCTCCACCATGACCCACATGTATTCCAGGTGCCTGAAATACCACCCTTAGTGAGGTATTGTTCTGTTTAGATATGCAAATCGTCCTGGGGGTAGATTAAGTCCCCTAAGTGAGAAAGAACTAATTGCATCTCTTTCTTCTTCCAAGAAACTTTGGCAGACTGTTATTACAGGAGAAACAGATGCCGAGATGGGAGTTAATGCACAGGGGTTTCATGAAGGCAAATGCCTGTGAGAGAAAATGGGTGGAAGGGAGGGTAGAGAGAGCAGTCAGGCCATGTGATGCAAGACCCTGAGTGGAGGACAGAGGGAAGGAAGATTGGGTAGAAGCATTCTAGGCAGTTGTGCCAACTTGATAGGCTTGGCAGTGCCTTCCTTGAGCCAAGGTCTAGTAACAGCAGAGTTCCGTGTCTGCCAGTGATAGCTCCCCTTCAATTCCTGCCAGGCAGTCCTGGGTAGGAGGAGCCTCTGGGAGGTGTGGCCTCTGCACAGACACAGCTGGAAAAAATGGGCTCCTGGGACAGAGGGGAAGGAGACTTGGGGTGGGAGATACCTCCGCAGGGGGTCATGTCTGTGTGATGGTCACGCTCTGCTCCATCCAGGCACTCACTCAGTAAACCTCTTTCAGTGAAGCCAGCTTAGACCAGCAATTCTTCACATGGTGGTCATGTCAATGGCTGTCGTTGCTGACGAATGGAAACTAGAGAATGGGCTAGGTCACTTGAGAACATTAATGTGTCAGGCCAGGTTGGCACAGGAGAAAGCTGAGCTCATGAGGCAGAGGCTCCAGGAGCCACATGTGCCTGGGGATTAGTGCTACTCTGGACTTTACAGGCCATGCCGTTTGGGGCAGTTTGAGGCCATTTTCTCTGGTTCTCACTGGCCAGGAAGAACCCCACCCAATCTCTGAGTTACTCATTGTAAGCCTGGTTGCTGCATCAGAGATTCAAAACACTGGGCCTTAGGTGAGAGTGCAGTTGCCTTCTCACATATTAGTGCAGGTGCAGGTCTGGGACGGGGACCCAGGCTCTTGCCCTCTTGTTGCTCTGCCTTCCCCAGAGTGCTGCGAAAGAATACCGTCCACAGAAAATTATTGATGAGATGATGCCTTGGCAGCCCATGTATGTGCCAGGCACTGTTCTCAATACTTTATAAGTATCAAGCCTTTAACCCTCAAAATCTCTCAGAGTAGATAATATCCTAATTTTACAGAAATTGAAGCCAAAGAAGTCGAGTTGCCAGCTCCACAATCTATGCTGGCGACAACCACGCCTGCTAGCCAGAAGGAAGGGGGGCGGGGGTGTGCAGACAAATGGAACCCTCCTTCCCTTTAAGGACTGAGACAGATACCATGAGTCAGGTGGCCATGCTTGGTTTCCAGGGTGGCTGAGAGATGTAGTCTTTAGCTGGGCAGGCATGTGCAAAGTGCCCAGCTAAATTACTACTCTGCCTGGAATGGCTCTTCCAATCATTTACACCATCATTCATGATTTACCAGGCCATGATTTAGGCTAACATTATCCAAGATTCAGTTCACCTGCACTGGGAAGATACTCCCAACTCCACCCTTGGCTGGGTTAAATGCCCCACTTAGGGCTTCCATTAGCCCCTGGGATGCCTTCTATGTCACTCTTATTATATGTTATTAGAAGATCCTCTCTGGTCCCAATAGGCCTACAGACATGGTTTGTTTGGCCCACACAGTGTTTAAAGAAAAAAAAAATAGAAATAAAAACCACACGCGCACACACACACACACACACACACACACACACAAGCAATTCCAAACATATGGCTTCCCCTTAAAAATCATAAGGCACAATACAGGACAGTCAACTGAGACTGAATAGCTCCCCAGTCCCTGTACAGAGGACACATGCACTTCGTTCTCACAGTCCCCACCGCTCCCTAATGTCCCACACCCTCCCTAATTCATTCATTCATGTTGCCTGCCTGACCCTGGTAGGTAGTAGCCATTGCAACTCCATTGGACCATGGGTTTTTGGGGGGCAAAGTGTGCTTCAGCTGGATGTGCCTTGCACTTGGCACACAGCAGGTGCTCAGAAATGTTTATGGAGTGTGTGAATAGGTTTGCTGAAACTTTCAGGATTAAATTGCATTGCAGCACAGACATACATTCCACCCACACCCTTCCCAACCGTCACCCCAAAGAAATCTATATTTAATTGGGTTTGCAAAATCAGAGCCTCCAAGCAACTTCACACTAGAGATCCTTTCTAAACGGCAGAAATGCGACAGCTTCGCCCTGTGTGCTTGAGCCTATTCATAGCTCGGGTGTGTTTCCTGGGCAGCTGCATTGTTCTTAGTGGGAGAGCAGCAGAGGCAACCTTCTAAGTCCGACTCCCCCTCTGCCTCTCCCAACCCTCCCTCATGCCCTTCCACACTTCTCTTTCTCTGTCCAGCTTGCCTGCCCGCTGTCTATTCTGTTGGATGGTTATTTATTTATCGTCAGCACTAATCAGAGGGTGGGGAGGGGAAATAGGAGCTCTTGCCGATGCGAAAGTGCTTCGCCAGGGTCCCCAGGGAGAATCCTGTGCGGTGTGCAGCGCCAGAGGTCACTGTCACCTTGGCCTTGAGGTGGCCTGTTTACCAAAGTGAAATGAAGATATCAGTCAGATGTCAGGTAAATGCTAATGGCCAGCTCCTGGGCAGAGAGCTGGCACAGGATTGGCCGGGCTGGGTGAACCCTTCCTTTCCAATTCTGCAGCACAAAGGCCCCAGTGACTTAGCAACTCCGATAAGAGGTCAATGGGCAAATGTCAGTCCTTGATTGAATGCACCTCTTGGCCTGGTTTCAGGAGCCCCAGGGCTGCCTCTCTGCATTTCCCTCGGCTCTCCCCACTCCTATGCAACTGGAGGAAGGTGAAGCATTTGTTGGAAAGCCCTCCCATCCACCCTTTCCCTATCTCTGGCAGGAAAGAAAGCCTATCCCTTCATGTCCCAAGGTCCGAAAGCACAATGAAAACCGGCATCATTATCCTTCAGCCGTGAATGGGAAAAGCAGGATGTTGACTATGGGTCGTCACCTAGGAGGACGGATGAGACTGGATTCAGTCGCAGAAAAGGACAGGAAACAGTCGCTGCCTTGTTTATCACTGTGTGATAGATAGCATCCCGGGGCCACCTCTCCACGCAGGGCCTCATTAGGAAGTCAGCACCTGAAACAGGAACCTCCGCATCACATGGTCCAAGATGAAACAGGGCCTGTTAGCTCGGTCTCCCAGGACTGTGGATCCTTTTTGCATTCCTTCTATTGTTTTTCCAATGTGGGGGCTTGGCACTGGGCACAGTGAGGGTCTCACACCTCTGCTGGTTCTCACCAACAGGAAGCATCTCCCACATTGACATCTTCAAGCAGCCCCTCCCCAAGCCCCTCGAAGTCACTTAGTCTTCATTCTCATCTAGTCTTTTCTGCAAACTCTCCTGCTCCTCAGTCAACGCTCTTTTATTCTTCTTTAGACTTTTTCTCTGCATCCTCCTGCCCCTGCCAGCATAACAATTGAAAGAACTGTCAAATCTTCTCAAATAAATTTTTCTGCATTTTTTTGCTTCTTCTCATATTTAACCTTGTTGATATTTTAATTTTTTTCAGCTTGTAAAAGATTAGAAATCAGAAAGAATTTAAGAAGTTTGTATAGTATACAACACCACGTGCAATAAAATGGGCACAACTTGTCTCCCTTTTATACTATGTAGCTACTGATCACTTTGGACTGCTACGAAATACATAGGACATCAATATGTAACATATTAGCTGTATGTTGATTTCTATAGACAGCGAGGCACCTGACCTTTGGTCTGGAATGCATCTTAAAAATCGGACGTGGATTGTATTACTTTGTCTTGCTGCACAGTTGTTCACCACAAACTGTCACAGGTGCCCCTCACAGCCTTTTTGGTACTCCAGTGGGGGCCTGCTCTGATTAGACGCTGTGCTCAAGGCCATTCTCACTGACTTGCTATTGCAGGGCTGCGAATGCTCGAGAAATCAGACTCTTACACACAGGTGAGTTTCTGGGATCTGGTTAGTAAACCATACCTTCAAGTAAACCACCATAGCCTCCACCATATTCAGAATAAGCAAAACCCTAGAAATGTTGACTTGAAGAAGGATGTCCTGTCCCTTTGGTGACAAGTTGCCTTGTCACAGGAAGATAAAAATGGCTTCATTTGCCCATTTGCCACAGTAGCTCTGATGATCAACCCTGCTTCCTGTCTTGTGCTCCCTTCAATGGATTCTCCATGCACAAAGCAGAGTGATCCTCTTAAAATACAAATCAGGTCAGCTGTCTCTCCCCTGCTTCCAAAAATTCTGCAAAATATTTAGCATCTCAGTCAAACTCCTTCCTACGATAGTGCCTATCACTCTGACTTCATCTCATGGCATCTTCTCCCCCTCGCTCATCACGCTGGAACCACTTTGGCTTCCTCACTGTTCCAAAGACATGCCAAGCTGGCTTTCTGCTCAGTGGGGTTGTAGTTGCTGTTCTCTCTGTGTGGGATGCTCTTCCCTCAGATTTCTGCATGGCTGGCTCTTTCTCATCAGGTCTCACCTCAAATGTCACCTCCTCCGAGAAGCCCTCTGATCTCTCACATCACTCAGTCTCATTTTCATCACATCCCTTATCATTACCCAATATCTTTCTGTTCATTTCATCATGTACTTCCCCTACCACCCGCCGCTGTGAGAAGATAAGCTCCGTGAGAGCAGCAGCATGGTCTGGGGTCCCATAAACGGGCTCCTCCAAGTCCGGATCCATCTCCAGGCGGCTTCCAGTCCAGAGTTCTAGGCACAGCACCAGCCAGCTTCTTGAACGAGTGTTGGCATTTCTTTCTCAGTGGCTTTGAAATCAGACGTCAGCCCCCAACCTCGTGACTCAGCCGGCAGCATGTGAGAAGGCTGGCTTGGGGACACAAAGTCCTTCGATCTTTAGAGAGATAGCAGCCCTCCTGGGAACGGGGCCACAGATGAAGGCTGAGCATGAAGCCTGGGCACTGGCCTGCCACTGGAAGCTGACCCTCTGCTGGACCATGCCAACTCTTGACATTTCCCAAACTAGGCAATGGCCCAGGCTTTTGAAAGCCAGTATCGCCTAGCTATGGAATCGCCATGCAGATAGTGCTCAGGGAATGAAATTAAATTTCCCTTTTCAGAACAAAGACAAACACACTCCTCTCACCCATCCTACGAGAGCTGGGCCGGGAGCGCCTGCCTCCGTGCCAGGATTCAAAGCCCACGGGCTCTCCTGCTTGCTTCAGCAGTTCCTGGCAAGTGCAACGGAGTTCTCCCGCTTTAAAATCTAATTGCCTGCCCACGCCCGTGAATCCCATCTCCAAAGGCAAGAAAAAAAAAAATTTTAAAAAAAAGTTGGTGGGGGTGGGAGGGGCCGGGGTTCTCACACATTCAGCCCAGATGAGCCCATTTAAGCTTTTGACATTATGCCTTTTGGGGAGGCCGATTCAAAATAAAACCAGCCCGAGAAGCTCCTGTTTTAAACAGAAAGATCCATAAATGCAGCTTCTGTCAGTAATGAGAAAAATGGAAATCACAAGCAAAACCAGAAAACTCATTCCCCCAGAATCTTAATGATCTCCAGAATAATTGTGCTGGTCTCTCAAATCAAGGAGTGGACGGTGACAGCCCTGGGTTTTCACATGAGGGTCAGATGGGTTCATGTTTTTTTAATTGGGCTCATTTCTAAGCAATGTGCTTGTCATGATGCCTTAATCCCTTCCCTGTGCCCAGCAAAAATGCTTTCTCTCTCCTTGTCTCCCTCAAACAAATGCAGCTTCTCAACAGGGAAATGAGCTTCCCTGTCTTGCAAACAGATTTCTTATCATATGACTGATCCACTGTGGGTGAACTTGCATTTCTCTTGCATAAGAAAGCAATTTCCTGAAGAGAGAAAGGGGGGAAAATCAAACCGCTTACCTCTCCTTGTTTTCCATATTAGCATCCTTAGCTGAAGCTCCTGAAGATAATGGGAAAGAAACGACTTTATTTCAGAGGATGAATATCAATCTTTCAGATAGCAGTGGGATGTTTAGGGCTCTCTAAGAGGCAGCCAGGTTTTCCTGCATTTGTTTTATTTGGCAGGACTCACAAGAAGGAACAAATTCTTTGACAATTTCAAAGTTTCTCCAGACAAACTGCTACCTTCTGATAAAATCTAGCAGGCTAAAGTTCAACAATGACAAACAAATTAGAAAATTCTGCCATTATAGCGGAATATAAATTGGCAGGTTCATTTAGGAGGCTTAAAACAAAGAATGAGATCTTAAAAGTAATAAAAAATAATAATGAGCTTTGGGATTAAAAAAAAAGAAAGAAAAGGGTAATTTCTCAAGTGTGCGCAGAGGTGTGAAAAGTGACAGCAGCCATCAGTTAAATAAAGAAGCACCAGTGATTTGGCAGACAGTAACCATAGCACACAGTCTCAGGGGGGGCCTCAGACCTGTCTTGGCCATTTCACTTCTCTTGTAGGTTCTGGCTTTCAGCTTCGTTGCACCAAGAGAGGGTGGTGAGCCCAGCACAGGCCCAGCATGAGGATCAGCCCTGAGAGTGGGCTGGGGGTGGGGTCAGAAAAAGAGGAAAGAAGGAGGGAAGGAGAAGGGAAGGAAGAAACTACTGTTTTACCTGCGTTGGTTGATTCAATTTGAGAAATGCTTGTTGTACACCCACTATGTGCCAGCTGAGGCCAGAGGCCAGGAGAAAATGGTGAGCAAAGCAGGAACCCAGCTCAGCCCTTTTGGAGCTCCTGGAGAGGATGACTTTAACCACATGCTATGGTTTGAGTGTGTCCCTTCTGAAACTCATGTTGAAATCTGATCCCCAATATGGCAGTGTTGGGAGAGGGGCCCTAGTGGGAGGTATCTGGGTCATGGGACACCACTGTCATGAATAGATTAATGCCGTCTCTCAGGAGGGAATTCTGACTCTTGTGGGAATGAATTAGTTCCCAAAAAAGAGGGTTTTTTTTAAGTGAGCGCAGACTCTCATGCATGTCTTTTTGCACATGCCTTCTTACCTTTCTGCTTCTCCACCACCTTGTGACCCAGCATGAGGCCCTCACTGGAAGTGGAGTATATACCAGTGCCATGCTCTTGGACTTCCCAGCCACCAGAATCATTAGCCAAGTAAACTTGTTTTCTTTATAAATTATCCAGCCTCCGATATTTTGTTATAGCGACACTAAACAGACAAAGGCACTAGACAAACACACAAATAAATGTAAGGTGGTCATCTTGCTGAGTGCTACCAGGGAGTGCATGAGCACGTGGCTCTGTGCACAGGAATAACCAGGAGAAAAGACCAGGTGTGGTGGCCAAGACAGCATCCCTAGAGCACAGGGAGGTTGGAGCCAAACGTTCATTATGTTTGAGTGCTTTTCTATGCCAGGTCCTGGCTAAGTATTTTATAATCATTATCTTATTCACTTCTTGCATTAGCCCAATGGGACAAATGCTCTTATAACCCCATTACAGATGAGTACCTTAGGCTCAAAGAGGTAATATTGCTTGCCTGAAGTCACAGAGCTGTGGAGGACTCAGACTCAAAGGCAGGCAGCCCTGTCTCAGAGCCCAGGGCCCTGACCACCACAGCAGACGCTGCCCTCCCAGGAAGGGTGGGCATGGCAAGACCAGCCTTCCATCTCCAAACCTTCCTGCCCTTGCCTCCTCCTCTCTCAGGCAAACACACACATGCACACACTCACACTTATATGTGCTCTTACACACTCTTTCAAAAACTCTCACACTCTCTCCCACTCACAATACTCTCAATCACTTACAGTTTCACACTCACACACTCTCAAGCTCACACACTCTTTCTCACACACACTTCCTACCCTCCTGTTCCCAGAAGCCAAGGTGACTGCCCCTGAGGCTGCCGTAAGCCTTACCATCTCCTTCCCTCCCAGTGGCAATGCTCCTTCCAGCCTAGTGTGGTTCAGATTGCAAGCAAAGCGAGGTGTGGGCTCCCACCAGCAATACACAGAGGAATACTCCTCTGTGTAGCCCAGAGGAGGGGGAAACTGACCCAGACCTTGGAGCATGAACAGGTCCTTGTCCAGAAAGCTGAGAATGGCTTTCCAGGCAGAGAATGCTGCCCATGGAAAAGTGTCTGGGAGATGCGGATGCCATCTGTGCTGGCTCAGATGCACCCCTGCCCACCACAGCACCCCCTCAATAGCTGCTTCCCCTGCAGCATTCCCCACTTCAGCAGAGGCACCACCAGCCACCCCATGGCACACAAACCATGGACATGGGCAGCCCCCTGGCAGCTGCTTACTTACTAACCAGACTGTCACCAACTCCTCCTAAACACAGTCTGAGTCTGCCCACGTCTCTGCCACCCCGTCGTTCCAGCACCCACCCTCTCCCCCTAGATGACTGTCAGCCTCTTAACACTTCCCCGACTCACCATTGTACACCCACCACCCTCCAACATGCTGTCACACAGCAGTCAGGGTGGCCTTCCGTTCTGCTAATCGGACTGCAGGGCCCCCTATCTAAAACTAGTCCCTAAGGCTAAGTTCCAACAGCTGCCCTCACAACCCCCTTCTCCCCTGGACTAGGTCAGATGCCCTGGTTTACTCTCCATGACGTACGGTTCTTTTCCTCTGTAATGCTTGGCAATGTTCTCACCTAAACACTTAAATGTCTGTGATTATTTGGTTTGAGACTTGGAGCTGCAGGAGGGCAGACACTGCCTCCACCCTTTCCTAAGTTCCCTGTACATAGCAGGCCTGCAAGAAGACTTTGTGAGTGTGTGGATGGATGCTGACGCCCTTGGAGGTATGGGGGAGATGGGGCCTGGAGCAGGTGGAAGGGGAAGAGACAGATTCCTGGGGAGTCTCCATCGCTGTGCTAAGGCATGGGAAGAAAGGGGGGACATGAGGGATAGCATTGGCAGTCTCCCTGGGACTGGTATGGTGGCTTGCCCTTCCTGGACACAGCCAGCTGGGTTTAAACTCACTGCAAGGCCCCTCTCTCTCTCCAGCAGGTTTGAGTTGCTGGTGAAATAAGTGGGTCAAGGGAAGTTACGATGTTTGGGAGATGCTGGCATCTGCTACCAAGAGCCTACCACCTACAGCCAGGCAGTACCTCTGTGCTGCCCATGTGCTGAGCTGCCCAAGGATGCTCAAGGCTCAGGCGAGCCCTGGACACTGGCAAGGAGGCCAGCACTTTCCTGGGTCTCTGGAAGGCCCAGGGAGACAGCTAGGGAAGATGCCTCAGAGGGTGGCACTCCTTCCAGGCGTAGGATAGATGGTAAAAAGCACTATACAACACCCACAGCATTTCTGCAGCCACCACAGAAGTGCAATATTGGTTTCTAACATTTAAAAATCAGAACACCACAGCAAAGTCTAAATTTCTGGCTTCTCTTGAAAAACTAGAAGATTCCAGCCAGGTGTGGTGGCTCACACCTATAATCCCAGCACTTTGGGAGGCTGAGGTGGGCGGATCACTTAAGCTCAGGAGTTGGAGACTAGCCTGGGCAGCATGGTGAAACCCTGTCTCTACAAAAAAATACAAAAATTAGCTAAGTGTGGGAGCTCATGCCTGTGGTCCCAACTACTTAGGAGGCTGAGGCAGGTGGATCATGGTTGCAGTGAGCCGTGATGGTGCCACTGTACTCCAGCCCAGGCAACAGAGCAAGACTTGTCTCAAAAAAAGAAAATAAAAGAGTTTTAGAAATGTTTTCCAGTTCTGTGAAGAATGAAGGTGGTATTTTGACGGGAATTGCATTGAATTTGTAGATTGCTTTTGGCAGTATGGTTGTTTTCACAATATTGATCCTACCCATCCATGAGCATGGGATGTCATCTGTGATTTTTTTCAGCAGTGTTTTGTAGATTTTTTTCTAGAGGTCTTTCACCTCCTTGGTTAGGTATATTTCTAAGTGTTTTATTTATTTATTTATTTATTTATTTATTTATTTATTGCAGCTATTGTAAAAGGAGTTGTGTTCTTGATTTAATTTTCAGAGTAACCACTGTTGGTGCACAGGAGAGCCACTGATTTGTGTACTTTAATTTTGTGTCCTAAAACTTTGCTGAATTATTTTATCAGTTCTAGGAGCTTTCTGGAGGAGTCTTGAGGGTTTTCTAGCTATACAGTCATATCATCAGCACACAGTGACAGTTTGACTTTGTCTTTACCAGTTTGGATGCCCTTTATTTCTTTCTCTTGTCTGATTGCTTTGGCTGGGACTTCCACTACTATGTTGAATAGAAGTGGTGAGAGTGGACATCCTTGTCTTGTTCCAGTTCTCAGATGGAATGCTTTCAGCTTTCCCCCATTCAGTATTATGTTGGCTATGGGTTAGATGGTTTTTATTACATTAAGGTATGTCCCTTGTATACAGATTTTGGTGAGAGTTTTAATCATAAAGGGATGCTGGATTTATCCAGAATCTACAATGAACTCAAATAAATTAGCAAGGTATCGGCTGGGTCGAGGAAACCGAGGCTCAGAAGGGCCTAACACTTGGCCATGTTGGTCTGTGCTGTGTTGATGTGGACAGGTTGGAGCTGTGTTGTTCAGAATCCCATTCCCCAGTACAGCTCTGGGTCTGAGCTGGCCAAAAGAGGCATGAGAATCCAGAGGTGGGGGAGCAGCAGCCTTCACTCTCAGGCCAGCCTCATTGGATGTGGTGGCAGCAGGTTGCAGAGACGCCAGTGGGTTTCCATGGGCCTTTGCCTCCTTCTGCCCTGTGTCCAGCCCAGATGCTCAGTGGCAGAAGCTTCCTGGATTCTCCTCCTTCAACTTCCCCACGTGGCTTCCAGATCGACTGGCCCTTGTCCCCTCGGACCATCCACTCTGTAATCCAGACCTTCCTTCTCCCACACTGTGAAAGGTCAAATTCCAATAACAAGTCCCTTATTCCACTCATTCTAGTGGCCTCTTCCCTCATTGAACCCTCACTTATACCTTGCTTAAGGCACAGCTATTAACAGACAGAACCTAAGTTTTCTTTACCGCAGTTTCCACCCAGTCTGTCGGACTGGTAAGCCTATACTCTTCCCATGGCGTTCTCTAAGAGTCGATGAACCCAGAGTGACTGGGCAGCCAGGTGCTTAGTGCTGTGGCAGAGTGCAGATGACACTGAATTAAGAGAAGCCAACCATGCCCTCAGGGAGCTTTTGTCTGTTTAGAGACAGAAGATGAACAGACACCACACTTTGAAAACATACATATGTCAGGGTCTCTCCTAGCAGAGACAATGCCAATTAAGACGGTTTAATTCCGTAATGCCGATACCTGGCATTCAATGATTATTTATTAACCTTTGCCAGAACCTTTGTTACTTATACAAAGTTTTGGCCCTTCCCTCTTACCATGGCAGTGCCTTTAAGAACTTCTGTCCCCAAGGCCCACGGCAGTGGCCTCTGAGGGCAACCGTGACTTAATTTAAATCTGGAGTTTTAAACAACGTTAAGTGATGCCCCACAGGAGTGGCCTAATGTCTGTGATGCTCTGGCTTTTTGCTGAACCAGGTTCCTCTGGTCAATGGGCCCATTTGGAGCTCACTCCATTTCCCACCAGGCCTGTTTCTGGGGTCATCTTGTTATGAGGATGGGACAGGTAGCATGAGGTTCAGCCTTCCAAATGTAGGGCTAGTCACTACTTGCAATTGGGGAGAGCCTCCACTTCCTTGGGGAACCCTGACTCCACAGCTCCTAGCTACAATTTGCCTCCCCAAAGGGTGACCAAATGAACGCCTTGCCAGGAGGCAACATCCATTCTGTGATTTCAGCAAGCATCTTTCTCTGGAGCTTACAGAACTGGCCCTTTAAGGCCAATGGGCTGCCTCCCGGGCGGGGTGGATGTAGGGGGCAGGGAAGAGGAAGAGACTTCTCTGCTGCCTGGGAGAGGGAGCGGAAGCCGTTGTGATACCATGGCAACGCTGAACACTCCAAAATGGATTTGTCTAATTTGCAGGTTAATAATCAGGGAAACAGAAGGGCAACTTTCTGTGAGCTGCTCATGGATCCCTGAAGGCTGCTGCAGAAGAGAAATGGGCTAGGTGGGTTGAGGCCTGGCAAAACGGTCCCACCCACTGGGAGATGCAGAAACTGAAGCTCGGTGAGAGGACTGGACCAGCCCAAAGTCACCCAGTATGTCAGCAGTAGCTCCAGTCAGCAGGTCAATGGTTCATTTGTTCATTCAGCAAAAAATATTTACTAAGCACCTACTATGTACCAGGCACTATTCTACCAGCTAGGGGTAAAGAGTGAAGGGTTAACTGGTGTTACAGCAAACTTACAACCTGAACATTAATTTCAGGAATTACTGCAAACATCCATGAAGCCTTTACTCAGCACCAAGCTCAGTGCCAGCAAATGCAGTGCACCTTCCACTAGATACCCCATGAGACCCCTGCAGCAGACACTGTTCTTATTCCCGTCGCATTCGCGGAAAAACCGAGGCCCAAGGAGGATCAGGTGCTTGCCAAGGTCGCACACTGAGTCCCTCCGAATCAAGGGGCCATAAGGTGCCCTCATTCTGCCACATCTCTGCCCCCACACTGGGCTGGAGTGACTGAACTTGGGGCAGAGAGAACCTGGGAAAGTAAACCCCATGGTGCTGGATCCCTGAGGGCTCTGAGACAGGTGAAGTTGGCAAAGAGTGCTGGAAACACAGGACCCCAGGGCAACAGGCCCCACTGCCGCAGAGCCCACTCAGGTCATTCATATAGTGGGATGCAGGCGGGCTCTGTAGTCAGAAGGATCTAGGTAAAAAGTGAGTGACGTGACCCCTGAGCCTCAGTTTTCCTGTCTGTACAATGGGGATGATATGGTGGTGTGAGATTCAGAGGATCAGTGCCCATGAAGGTGCCCGGTTCAATGCTGGCTGAGTTGAGAGTTAGCAGTCACTAACCGGAAGCTTGAAGACATCATGTGTAAAAGGGCACAGAGGCCTGGCAGGACCCATTCCACAGGTACTCTCTGTTCTGACTTGCTGATGTGTCACATTATACACCCCCTTCCTTCTCCTGAAAAAGCAGGGGCGGCCAACGGTTGCAAGGAGTCAAATACAGCCCTGGCTTGGTTTCCACTGGCCAGGGGCTAGGATTTATGAAATGTACACAATGAAATGTACACAATGACCACAGCACTTATTCCCATCACTGTTACCTTTCCAGACTGAATCACTGATTGGTGACACTTCACTTCTGGTGGCCCCTACAGTTTACCCACTACTAACACATATGTTTGTTCACTAATCCCAGGACCTGAGCTTTAGAGTTGAAAGATCCTAGGGCGAGGGAGGGTGGCAATGAATCGTCTCACCTAGTAGTTACCAAGCCTGGATGCGCACCGGATTCACCCGGGAGCTTTTTAGACACGAACGTGAGAACAGTTTTCTTTTGCATGCACACTGTAGAACTTTCCAGCTGTACCAAATAGCATTCAGTAAGTAGTCCCCCAGTGTCTTCCCCAGAAGCAGCCACTGTTTCTTTCTTACTGTCAAGGGGACAATCCATGTATGTGTAGGGGAATGCATTCAGTGCAAGCACGGACAGCCACTGTACACGCCTTCTGTTGCCTGTTCTCATTTATCAGTGCATCTTAGTTGTATATATCAATATATCAGAACATGAAGATCCAACTGGTTTCTTCTTAATGCTGCACAGTATTCCTTTGCTCAGCATTGGTCTCTCACTGATGGACGTGGATGGACTTTCCAATCCTATGCTGATACGGTTTGGCTGTGTCCGAACCCAAATCTCATCTTGAATTGTAGCTCCCATAATTCCACCATGTTGTAGCAGGGACCTGGTGGGAGATAATTGAATCATGAGGGCAATTTCCCCCATACTATTCTCATGGTAGTGAATAAGTCTCACGAGATCTGATGGTTTTTTAAGGGGAAACCCCTTTCACTTGTCTCTCTCTCTCATTCTGTCTCTTGACTGCTGCCATTAAGACGTGCCTTTCGCCTTCCTCCATGATTGTGAGGCTTCCCCAGCCATATGGAACTGTGAGTTCATTAAACCTCTTTTTCTTTATAATTTACCCATTTTCAGGTATGTCTTTATCAGCAGCATGAGAATGGACTAATACATACACTAAGTCAAACAAGACAGCAGTAAGTTTCCTGGTACATACATTCCTTTACGCACAAAACTTAGCGTAATTTTATGTGTGTGCTAAAGGATATTGTATTAGGGAGGCTTAAGGTGACAGATTCCTGGGCCCTCTCAAATACATTCTGATTCCATTGGCCTGGGGTGATGCCCAGGAATCTGAATTTTGAAAAGCACCCACATAATTTGGATGGGCCCCCATGCCTGGAATCTCCTGGCTCATCTAGTGAAAGAGAAGTGCATGTCCTACAAAGCTGAGTGGACTGTGCCAGGCTCCCGACTCCTAGGTCCAGCCCAGTCCATGGCAGCACCTGGAGAAGGCTCTGTGTGGCCACCACCAGTGCCCCTACATGTGTGCCTGGCTCCTGCCAAGGAACCATGATCATTAGCCAAGTGACCCTGGAGCCTGGCTAATCATGTCCCTTCCCACTTCATGTAATTTTATTGTTTTTAATAACACACAAGGCTGGGCGCGGTGGCTCACGCCTGTAATCCCAGCACTTTGGGAGGCTGAGGCGGGCACATCACGAGGTCAGGAGATCGAGACCATCCTGGCTAACATGGTGAAACCCCGTCTCTACTAAAAACAAAAAATTAGCTAGGCGTGGTGGCAGGTGCCTGTAGTCCCAGCTACTCAGGAGGCTGAGGCTGGAGAATGGCATGAACCCGGGAGGCGGAGCTTGCAGTGAGCCGAGATTGTGCCACTGCACTCCAGCCTGGGCGACGTACGAGACTCCGTGTCAAAAAAAAAAAAAAAAAAAAAAAAACTAAATAACACACAAGAGGTCAGTAAGAGTGGCCGCCCCTGGGGAGAAGAACTGGGCACGTGGGAATCGGGGTAAGGAAGAAGACTTTTCCATGCTGAACATGGGTGTTATTACCTTAAAAAAAAAAAAAACTGCTGCATAAAAAATATAAATAACAATGGAATCACTGGGTCTAGCTTGTTCTCTAACCACATGATCTTGAGCAAGTCGCACACACTCTCTGAGCCTCAGTTGGGGGCAGCTACGACATTGGGGGGTCCCATCAAGTGCTGAATGAGTGAATGGAGGTGAGACCCTGGGCAGAGCCCTCAAAAGCCATGCCAGCTGCAGCCCTAGGCAGAGAGAAGCTGGCAAGGCTTTTCTCATTGTGCAAAAGGGCAGAACACAGAGAAACAAAGGCCAACTTGAGGATGGCCATAAAGTCAGGACAATAGGGACGAGGCCTCTCTGAGGGCCTCTGTAGCTGCTGTAAGCCTGCCTCTGTCTCCCTGGGGAGGTCTCTGCCTTGGGGCCTGGACCTGGTGAGTAAAGTCATTCCGTGGGATGTTTTCTGCTCTCTCACTGTGGCCTGGGATGGCACCCTCAGATCCCTTGGGGGCAGAGAATGACACCCCTCCAGACTGTCTCAGAGGCCTGGCAGGCAGAGCCAGCCCAAGCTCCAGGTGGGACTGGAACCGGGTGCATCTGCCCGTGGCCGACCAGGCCTGGGAAAAGAGAAGCCGCCTGCCTCTCAACACAGACTTTCTCCGACCGCCCTCCCCTGGGAAGCAGCGATGACAAAAGCAAAGAGAAGAGGAGCAAAAGCCCACTGGGAGGCGGAAGATGGGCCAGGAGTCCCCAGTGAATTATCTTAACTATGGAAAAAAATTGGAACATTTTGCAACCATTTATGGAGTTTATAGTGAAACAAAAATTGCTTTTGTTCTACGAGAACAAAGACAGATGGGTTCGTTTTCCCTGTTGGGGCCCTAAACTGGGATGGTTCTCTTGAAAGAAAGTAAAAAAGTGAGGTTCTTTGGGTCAGATTTGGCATGTAGATGTCTTCCCCAACCCCCTTCCTCTCAATTCAGACTAACTGGGGACTTAGAATACTTGGTGCTTTTGAAATATTGAAGGATCTGGTAGCCTTAGGCCAACCTACAGCCCTGGCAGCCCTGGGCAGGGCCTTGGTAGTGGTTGGCTTTCTAGAAGGGGCAGCTCTCTCCTGTTTGCCACAGTCCCCCGCCTCCCCAATTGCATCGCATGCAGACTGTGTCTCTCATGCTCACATTACTGTTCTAGCTCAGAAAGATTCAATACATACCCAGTATCTGAAATACATTTTGGTGATTTTGCTAAAGCAATAATAGGTCTGCCTTTCTATTGCTCCTTTCTACCATTTGCTGTTGGCAAACAAGTGTCCCAAGTGCATCCTGGCTAGAAGTCTGAAGCTGTACTGTTTCAAAACTATGATCTGAAGAAAGCTACTTCCCGTTTCTGAGTCTCTATTTCCATAGAATTGATAAGAAAATGATATTTTTAAAATTATTATTTAAGTTCATAATTATGATGTTTTGTGGTTTTGTCAATTGACTGGGTTTGCACCACATGGTGCCAGTGGAGGCCTTGGGAAAGTTGGAAAGTCCAAATGTCCTGGGTCACTTGGCTGGCGGTTGGCTCTGGCTGCCAGCTGGGAGCTCAGCTGGAGCTGTCACGTGGGAGCCTGGCTTCTCCTCCTTGCCTCTCCACGTGGCTGCTTGTGCTTCCTCATAACATGGCACTGAGGGATGTTCCAAGAGCGAAAGACAGAAGCTGCATCTCTCCCAAGGCCCAGCCTCAGAAGTTACCCAATTCTACGTCCATCATAGTCTATTGCTCATAACGGGTGTGAGGGCCTGCCCCAAGGATTCCAGAGGAGGACAAATGGACTCTACCTCTTGATATGCCATGGCAGAGGAGTCTCCTCACAAAAGAGCATGTGAGGTCGGGGATATTTTTGCAACCACTTTGGAAACACGATGTTGCACAAATGGACTTCCACAGTGCCTAATGCACATGAGACCCTCGACTGTTAGTTTCATTCATTCCTTCCACACACAAGTCAGATTTGGCATGTAGATGTCTTCCCCACCCACCTTCCTCCCAAAACTGGGGACTTAGAATACTTGGTGCTTTTGAAATATTGAAGGATCTGGTAGCCTTGGGCCAATCTACATCCCTGTCAGCCCTAGGCAGGGCCTTGGAAGGGGCTGCCTTGTACACCTGTTGCATGCCAGGTCTTACACTAGGCTCTAGGAAGATGGAATTGGTTTTAACCATCATGGAACTCACAGTTCTGGGTGGGAAACTGGCAAGTAAAGCAGGAATTACAACACAACATGGTAATTGTTTTGCAAAAGGAATGCCCTGGAACTAGCACCTGGACCCACGCTGGGCCAGCAAGAATTAGCTTGGGAGATCCACTGGCCCTATTGGGAAATAAAAGTTCTTTCTCACAGGGGTGTTAGGCTGGCAGCAGGATGCCTGGAGCTGCTGAAGGCAGGCTTGCCATCATGTGGGATCTACCAGAGCCCATCTTGCCATGGCTGGGGAGGGCTTGCCTGCAGATGAAACCAACGCAGAGGAATGCAGAGCCACAAGATGGAGGTGAGACTCCTGAGAACACCTTTGGGGCCTCTGAATCCAACTGTTCCTGGACTTTGCCTTTGGACTTTTTGGTTCTATGTGTCAAGCAGGTTTGTTTTTTCCTGGAGTAATTTAGGTTAAGGTTTCCCTTGCTTCTTACCAAAAGGAATCATGACCCCCAGCTCTTAAGGAACTCATAATCTAGTAGAGGGGACTCACGTGCAAGCAAACAATAATGCTTCAATGTTGTAAGGACTGTAAGGAAGAAATGTGCGTGCAGTTTTATGAAGAAAGCATTTGGGTTAATTTTCTTGGATGCAGGAAAAGAAGTTCTAGAATGTTTCCCCCACATACCTATCACAGAGCTGGTCACACCAACAGATGCTCTGTGTGTATGAGTGGAAGAAAAGGCAGAGTCTTATGACAAAACTAGTAGAGACCAGGCGATCCCATGTGAAATCATATCCCCTTCCTAACTTTCTAAATTCAGGGGTTTAGAATTGGCTGCCCTGGTGTCCATGTGACAGTAACAGAATCTCCTTAGCAGAAGCAGAGTCTTTTAATAGACCTCCAGAGGTTAATGGGCCTGACATATCTTTGACATTTATTGGATTTTACGAGCTAGTGGATCTGACTCAGAAAGCCGATCAGATGTTCCAAATCGATGGCCCCTTTGGGGTGCTGTCTTCGCACAGAGCCATAATGAGGTGACCTTGGATGCCTGAGTCCGGAAAGAACAGAAAGAGGATGTCAGAATCGTAGAAATTGCTAAACTGATCAAGGCCTACACAGTGCCTTCAGGCTCGCTCCTGGCCCCGAGATGCTTTGCCCACGGATTCTGTAACTGTACGTTCCTCTTGCCTCACCGTGCCCGAACAGTTACAATCATTAGTCTCTGAAAAAAAAAAAAAATTCCTTCCCTTATTCAACAGATATTCATGGAAAAGCTTCATCGTAATGTCACTTAATAAATGAACATTTCCTGGCACAGGGAACTCCAAGAAGATTGTAGGATGTCCCTTGTCCTCTACCAGCTTAAGAGTCTTGCAGGGGAGACTTCAAGACACCCAAATTCTATTAGTGCCCGCGATGGGGCTGGCAGAGAGAACCATAAAGAGAACAGAGGCAGTGGAATTGAAAGCAAGCTTGCCCTCTGGATGTTAGGGAAGCTTCCCAAAGTAGGGGGCATTTTTGTTGAGTTCTGAAAGTCAAGTAGAAGCTGTCCAGACAGGGGAGAAGAAAAATGACACCTAGGTGGGATGAAGGGTTTACGACATATACAAAAGTGTAGAGATGCAGAGATGCTGTTATTGGAAGATGCAGAGTAAGTGTCACAGAAGACAAATATAAGGGCTGGAAAGAATAGAAAAGGATACTCTCATACATTGCTACCAGGGGTGGGAATTTACTATGGAGCATTTTGGGAAGTGATTTGGCAATATCTATTCACTTTTAAAATACACATGACATTTAACCCAGAAATTCCACCTTGGTTTGCTTGTTTGTTTGTTTTTTGAGAAAGAGTCTCACTCTATTGCCCAAGCTGGAGTGCAGTGGTGTGATCTCAGCCCACTACAACCTCTGCGTCCCGGGTTCAAGTGATTCTCCTGCCTCAGCCTCCCGAGTAGCTGGGATTACAGGCACCCGCCACCAGGCCTGGCTAATTTTTTGTATTTTTTAGTAGAGACAGGGTTTCACTATGTTGGCCAGGATGGTCTTGAACTCCTGACCTCAAGTGATCTGCCAGCCTCGGCCTCCCAAAATGCTAGGATTACAGTCATGAGCCACCATACCCGGCCCAGAAATCTTGCCTTTGGAGCTCAAGCCTGTAGATATTAAAAACAAAAGCAAAAAGCACTAGTATCAAAAGCTTATATTATACTTAAGCTGATATTTATTGTAGCATTGATCATTGTGGGAAGATAAAAAAGAAACCACCTGAAGATCTGCTGACAAGGGATTGGTTAAATAAAATGTGGCATATTCATATCTTGGAATTCCATGGAGCTATTAAAAAGGCAGAGAGAGTAGTCTCTCTAGCCACTGGTCTATAAGAATAAGTCTGGTACATCACGGAAGCTCTCTTCTTCAACATAATGGGGATAAGAGTCAATTAAAAGTCATAAAAAAGACACATTGCTTTAAAGCTTAAAAACCTCTGAGTTGTTTGCCATTCTTTGGATGTAAGGCCCAAGTCTTTTTACTGGACATTTGCTGCTAATTGGTATTCCATGTTACCTTTCTTGCACAAACCATTTCTATAATATGTAATCTACAATTTTCTGTTCTGTTTTCTTTAAAGTGGGGTGAGAATTTAAAGGCAGTGGTAAAGCAATCTGCATATAGAACACCACTAGATTTTTATGATATCCCCTCTTGTGTTAAATTGTGAAATATTGCCAGAGCTTCCTCCCATGCCAGTAGGCATAAGCTTTTGTGATGTGGTGTTGCTGCTCCTCCTATCAAGAGGTGAAGCTTATTTCCCATCCCTCAAAGTGAGGATGACCTTGTGACTTGCTTTGGCCAACAGAAAATGAGGTCAGGCTAGAGCTTAAGAGAACTTGCTCTTTTCTGGTTTGGGCCCTGTTGGACTGCTGCCCTGAGGCCACCATGTGAGGAAGCCCAGCTAGTTCAGGATAAAAGGCAATGTGAGGGGTCAGTGGATGGCCAGCATCAACTGCCAGACAGATGGAGAAGGTCATCTCGGACTTTCCAGCCCAGTCAGCTCCAGCTGAATGCAGCCTTGTGAGAGAGTCCAGGCAAAACCAGCAGCCCATGAAATTATGAGAAATAATAGACCATTATTGTTCCAAGCCACTATGTTTTGGGGTGGTTTGTTATACAGCAAAAGGTAACTGATATACCCCAGATCTTTATTGTCAACTGGGTAGCAAATGTTTTTAGAAAGCAACATTGAGCAAATATTTCCGGGGCATTTAACTTGATTTTCATAGAAACGTGATGGTCTTCGTTTTCTGCTCTAATTGCACTGATTTATAAAGTATTTGATGAAAGTATAGAATTACAGTTATAATCCCAGTGGTATAAACAGGCTTAAGGACCAATACAACCTGACTCTGATGAGCCCAGAAGTCACCTGGTGGGAGCAGAAGGATGCAAACATACCAGAAAGCAGCCAAAGCTTGTTAGCACCATGGGTGTCCAGGAGCATCAGAGGAATGGAGAGCACTGGGGAATCCAGCCACTCTCTGTAATAGAGGTTGGTAAAGAGAGCTTTTACCCTGTTGTTAAGAAAGAAAATTAGCTACAGAGAAATTCACTTGGTAGGATCCAACTGTAGAAAAACAAAACCAACATGTCTGTTCATGTTAGTATGACAACACGGAGAATGATCTAGAAGGATACATGCCAGACTTGTCATGGCTACCTCAGGGCTAAGAGTGGGAATAAAGAGGGAAAGGAGACATGGGGCAAAAGCACTGTAGCAAAATGCAAAATGTACATGGCTTTAAGTAAAAACAAATAGAAAGTAAAATCAATGAAAGATGATGGGATAGTAGGCAGTTCTGAGCTTGAATTTTCTTTCTTTAGTAGTTTTTATAATAAAGAGCAGAGGAAAAAAAACTACACTCTCAGATATATGCCATAGTATCTTGTGATTTTTATGCCAATGACATATTGTTATAATCCACCAAAAATAATTTCCCTCTGCCCTATATCTGCATATTCATTAGTTGGTATATTTTCTATAATATTTAGCACTTTCTAACTGGCTTTATTTGCATATATTTTTATATTTTGTTATTTGATTATAAGGTACTTGAGGGTACAAAATGGTACCTTACATAACTGGGCATCTTCAAAGTGCCTTGTTCATAATAGGCGATCAATAAATGTTTCTTAGATGAAAGGGGAAAGAAAACCTCACTCTGATGGCAGTTGACTAGGGAGAGATCCAGGAGGTAGTCAATTCAATCTCCGGAAGAGCTCGCAGCAAGTGCATTAGTCAGGGCACAGCAAATGACAACAGAGCCAGACTCTCACCTGCTTTTTAAGCAATGAGGAAATACATTTTCTCACATAGCCTGATGTCCGGAGGCAGGAGAGCTGCAGTTCCCAGCAACTCACCCAGATTCAAAGTGCCCCAGAGAAGATGAGAAGTACTTTCTTTCCGTGTTATTTTCTTAGAAATATGGAAACCTGGTGGAGACTCATATAAAAATGGTGGATAGGAGGCAAGACTAACTTGCAGCTCCCATTCGGATGGACAGAGTAGCAGGTGGAAACTCACGTGAACTTTCGCTCTAAGAACTACCAAGGGAACATACCAGGAAAGCCAAGAGAATGAGAATCCACAGACCCTTTAAAGGAGGTGGATTGCCACCGCGGGCTGCGTGGAACTGCCAAGGAACTGTGAGTCTGCTTGTTTTCTCGGCTGGGAGGCTTGTAGCCTGGGGCAAGTTCTCAGCCCTGCTCACCCGCTGCCTGTAAATAAATCCTGTGCTGTTGGGGGTGCATGGTGAGAGTGGCCTTTCAGGCTGTGGGCTGCATGGGAGCTGGGTGAAGCCTGTGGCTGCCAGCTTTCCCCCAATTCCCTGGTAACCTGTGTGACACAGCAGAGGCAGACATAGTCCCCTGGGAACATAAATCCACTGGCCTGGGAATCACACCCCCATCCCCCACAGCAGCTGCAGCAAGCCTGGCCCAATGAGAGGCTGAGCTCAGACATGCCTAACCCTTCCCTCACTTGGTGGTCTTTCTCTACCTGCCCTGATAGCTAAAGACAAAGGACATAATCTCCTGGGAGCTCTATGGCCCCGCCCACTACCTGACCGTAGGGCAGTCTTGTATCTTTCCTCTACTACTGTAGCTGATGAGCTCTTGAAAATGTCACCTCCTGGCCAGAGGCCAACCAACTCAAAACCAGTGCACTAAACAAAAATACAACCCAGGGCCCTCAGAGTCGACTTCACTCCCCTGCTACCTCCACTGGAGCAGGTTCTGCTATCCACAGCTGAGAGACCTGAAGACGGTTCACATCACAGGACTCTGTGCAAACACCTCCAGTACCAGCCCAGAGCCTGGTGGCCCTGCTGGTTGGCTAGATCCAGAAAAGAAATAACCCTCATTGCATTTCAGCTCTCAGGGAGCCCTATCCTTGGGAGAAGGGGAGAGCACCAAATCAAGGGAGCACCCCATGGGACAAAAGAATCTGAACAGCAGCCCTTGAGTCCCAGATCTTTCCTTTGACATAATCTACCCAAATGAGGAGGAACCAGAAAAACAATTCTGGTAATATGACAAAACAAGGTTCTTTAGCACTCCCAAAAGATCACATTAGCTCACCAGCAATGGATCCAAACCAAGACAAAAATCTCTGATTTGCCAGAAAAACAATTCAGGAGGTCTACTATTAAGCTACTCAAGGAAGCACCAGAAAAAGCTGAAGTCCAACTTAAAGAAATAATAATAAAAAAAGATACAGGATATGAATGGAAACATCTCCAGTGAAATAGATAGCATAAATTTTAAAAATTCACAACCTCTGGAAATAAAGGATACACTTAGAGAAATGAGAAATGCACTGGAGAGTCTCAGCAATAGATTGAACAAGTAGAAGAAAGAACTTCAGAGCTCGAAGACAAGCCTTTCAAATTGACCCAATCCAACAAAGAAAAATAAATTTTAAAAAATTAACAAAGCCTCCAGGAAGTTTGGGATTATGTTTAAAAGACCAAACCTAAGAATAATTGGTGTTCCCAAGGAAGAAGAGAAATCTAAAAGTTTAGAAAACATATTAGAGGGAATAGTCAAGGAAAACTTTCCCAGCTCTGCTAGAGATCTAGACATCCAAATACAAGAAGATCAAAGAACACCTGGGAAATTTGTCATAAAAAGATCATTACCTTGGCACATAGTCATCAGATTATCTAAAGTCAAGACAAACAAAAGAATCTTAAGAGCTGTGAGGTGAAAGCATCAGGTAACCTATAAAGGAAAACCTATCAGATTAACAGCAGATTTCACAGCAGAAACCCTGCAAGCTAGAATGGGATTGGGGTTCTGTATTTACCCTCCTTAAACAAAACAATTATCAGCCAAGAATTTTGTATCCAGTCCTATGTTTGCCCTCCTTAAACAAAACAATTATCAGCCAAGAATTTTGTATCCAGCAAAACTAGGCTTCATAAATGAAGGAAAGATAATCTTTCAGACAAACAAATGCTGAGAGAATTTGCCACTACCAAGCCAACACTATAAGAAATGCTAAAAGGAGCTCTAAATCTTGAAACGAATCCTCGAAATACACAAAAATAGAATGTTCTTAAGGCATAAATCTCACAGGATCTATTAAAACACACACACACACACACACACACAATGAAAAAAAAAAACACAAGGCATTTAGGTAACAAATACCACAATGAATAGAATAGTACCTCACATGTCAATACTAACATTGAATGTAAATGGCCTAGATGCTTCACTTTAAAGATACAGAATAGCAGAATGGGTAAGAATTCATCAACCAAGTATCTGCTGTCTTCAAGAGACTCACCTGACACATAAGGACTCATATAAACTTAAGGCAAATGGGTGAGAAAAGATATCCCATGCAAATGGATACCAAAAGTGAGCAGGAGTAGCTATTCTTATATCAGACAAAACAAACTTTATAGTAACAGTTAAAAAAAGACAAAGAGGGACATTATATAACGATAAAAGAACTAGTCCGACAGGAAAATATCACAATCCTAAATATATGTTCACCTAACACTGCAGCTCCCAAATTTATAAAACAATTACTACTAGACCTAAGAAATGATATAGATGGCAACACAATAAAAGTGGGGGACTTCAGTACTCCACTGACAGCACTAGACAGAGCATCAAGACAGAAGGTAAACCAAGAAACAACGGACATAAACTATACCCTAGAACAAATGGACTTAACAGATATTTACAGAACATTCTACCTAACAACTGCAGAATATACCTTCTATTCAGCAGCACATGGAACATTCTCCAAGACAGACCATATGACAGGCCACAAAACAAGTCTCAACAAATTTAAGAAAATCAAAATTATATCAAGTGTGCTCTCAGACCACAGTGGAATAAAATTGAAAATCAACTCAAAAAGGAACCCTCAAAACCATGCAAATACATGGAAATTAAATAACTTGTTCCTGAATGATCATTGGGTCAGCAATGAAATCAAGATGGATATTTAAAAATTCTTTGAACTGAAAAATAATAGTAAGCCTATCAAAACCTCTGGGATACAGTAAAAGCAGTGCTAAGAAGAAAGTTCATAGCATTAAATGCCTACATCAGAAAGTCCAAAAGAGCATAAATAGGCAATCTAAAATCACAACCCAAGAAGCTAGAGAAACAATCAAACCCAAATCCAGCAGAAGAAAATA
Source organism: Homo sapiens (assembly GCF_000001405.40). Taxonomy (NCBI): domain Eukaryota; kingdom Metazoa; phylum Chordata; class Mammalia; order Primates; family Hominidae; genus Homo; species Homo sapiens. Next base: position 173,651,346 of record NC_000005.10, on the reverse strand, counting down.
AATAATCAAGATCAGAGCAGAATTAAATAAAATTGAAACCAAAAAATACAAAAGATAAATGGAACAAAAAGCGTGTTCTTTGAAAAGATAAATAAAATTGATAAACCATGAGATTAACCAAGTAAAGAAGATAGAAGATCCAAATAAGCTCAATTAGAAATGAAACGGGAGATATTACAACTGATACCACAGAAATACAAAAGATCATCCAAGGCTACTATGAACACCTTCAGTTGCATAAACTAGAAAACCTAGAAGAGATGGATAAATTCCTGGAAATATACCACCCTCATAGATTAAACCAGGAAGACATAGAAACTCTGAACAGACCAATAACAAGGAGCAAAATTGAAAAGGTAATTAAAAAGTTACCAACAAAAAAAAATCCAGGACCAGACAGATTCACAGCTGAATTATATCAGACATTCAAAGAAGAATTGGTACCCATCCTATTGACGCTATTCCAAAAGATAGAGAGACAGGAAACCCTTTCTAAGTTATTCTATGAAGCCAGTATCACCAAAAACAGGAAAGGACATAACAAACAAACAAACAAACTACAGACCAATATCCCTGATGAACACAGATGCAAAAATCCACGAAATACTAGCTAATTAAATCCAACAGCATATCAAAAAGATAATCCACCATGATCAAGTGGATTTCATACCACGGATGCAGAGATGATTTAGCATACACAAGTCAATAAATGTGACACACCACAAAAACAGAATTAAAAACAAAATTCACATGATCATCTCAATAGATGCAGAATAAGCATTTGACAAAATCCAGCATTCCATTTATACATCCAGCAAAGGACTAATATCCAGAATCTATAAAGAACTCAAAGAAATCAACAAGTAAAAAAAAACAAGCAATCTTGTCAAAAAAGTGGAATAAGGACACAGACAATTCTCAAAAGAAGATCTACAAATGGCTAACAAGTATATGGAAAAATGCTCAACATCACTAATTATCAGGGAAATGCAAATCAAAACCACCATGAGGTACCAGCTTACTCCTGCAAGAATGGCATAATCAAAAAATAATACATGTTGGCTTGGACATGGTGAAAGGGGAACACTTGTACACCGTTGGTAGGAATGTAAACTAGTACAACTACTATGGAAAATAGTGTGGAGATTCCTTAAAGAACTAAAAGTAGATCCACTGTTTAATCCAACAATCCCACTACTAGGTATCTACCCAGAGGAAAACAAGTCATTATATGAAAAAGATACTTGCACACACATGTTTATGGCAGCACAATTTGTAATTGTAAGAATATGGAACAAGCCCAAATGCCCGTGAGTCAACAAATGGATAAAGAAAATGTTATATATATATATAAAAAATGAAATACTACTCAGCTATAAAAAGGAATGAAATAATTGGAGACCATTATTCTTTCTTTTTTTTCTGTTTTTTTGAGACAGAGTCTTGCTCTATTGCCCAGGCTGGAGTACAGTGTTTCTACCTTGGCTAACTGCAACCTCCACCTCCCAGGTTCAAGCGATTCTCCTGCCTCAGCCTCCCGAGTGAGACCATTATTCTAAGTGAAGTAACTCAGGAATGTAAGTAACTCAGGTATGGAAGTAACTAAGTGAAGTAACCCAGGAATGGAAGTAACTCAGGAATGAAGTAATTCAGGAATGGAAAACCAAATATCATATGTTCTCACTCATTAGTGGGAGCTAAGCTATGAAGATACAAAGGCATAAGAACCATACAATGGACTTTGGGGACTCCGGGGAAAGGGTGGGAGGGGGCAACGGATAAAAGACTATGCATTGGGTACAGTGTACACTGCTCGGGTGATGGGTGCACCAAAATCTCAGAAATCACCACTAAAGAACTTATTCATGTACAAAAACATTAATTAATTTTTTTAATGTAAAAAAAAAACAGAGATATGGAAACCTTTCCAGTAGCCCCATCAGACTCCTCTCATGTCTCATTGCCCAGATTTGGGCCACATGCTGAAACTGAGACCAGTCACTGGTTCATGAAAGAGGATTAGCCTGATTGGCCTAGACCATCCGTGGGTCCATATGTGGTCCTATTTTGCACATGATAAGCATGCAGTTTTATCATATGGAATTTACCAGGTAATTTTGACAGCACCTATACCCTGTTCAACAGAGGAATCCACTGTTCACATGTTTGGATGCCATAGCAAAGTCAAATAGCTATAAAAGTTTCTAAACACTCTCCGTTTCTATACTTATTACACAGCAGTAGTAAATAAATAGTTCGCTGCAGAACAGCACTGCTCAATGGACCACACTTTGAGTAACACTGGCTTAGACTGCTCAGAATCACCTCCTACACCTAGGATGGAGTCAGCTCCCTGACACATGTGAAGCTAGGGTGGAGAACTTAGAAAATCAGGGATATGTTGTCAAGGCACAAAGGCAGAAAGGAAGCTGGGTAGGCAACTTGTAGTTCATTACACTGCACTTCAACAACCAGCTGAGAGCGGGTCACCATTCATACACAACTTTGAACACAACTCCACACACTGAGACGGTGTCCTCACTGCATACAGCCGCCTTGTCCTTCTCTAAGGCAGAATGAGATAATACTCCTATTCCTGACTAGAAGCAAAGAATCTGGCCACAGGTGGTAGGGAGGGAAAAGATTATTTGGAGTATCTGGCCTGGGTTAGTTAGGCTAGGCTAGGCTGCCATAACAAACAACTCCAAATTCCCAGCAGTTTACGACAATAATGGATAATTTCTCACCCATGCTACATGGCCACTGTGAGGTGGCTGTGGCTCTGCCCCACATCTGCCTTATCTGGGGACCCAGGAGGATGGGGCAGCCTTTATCTGGAACGGTGCTAATTTTGTGGCGAAGGGGAAAAGAATATAGGAAGCCACAAGATGATTCCTTAAGCTTTTCCTAGAAGTATCAATCTTCACTTCCCTCACATTGCATTAGCCATAACAAGTCACATGGCAAAGCCTGAAGTTAATGGGACAGAGAAGTAGAATCTTCCCTAACGAGGACCATGGACATTTTTGAACAAGATCACAATCTCTCATGGCCCCTTCCTGAGCCCAGGTGCCACATCCATGGAGAATGGTTTTTTTCCCTACATCATCTAGATTGGAAAGTCTTTCCTGGTTGAAGACACCATCGATGTTTTGTTGTGACTCTCCTCACAGAATAAATACTCCGAGGTGGCTTTTCCCAGCGAAATAAATACAGAGGTGCAAAGTGTTGGGGGTGGGGGGTGCTGTGTACCTACTATGTTCTAGATACTCTGCTAGATTCCTTCCACATGGTTTATAAACATTCTTACAGTCACCCTCTGAAAGCAGGCATAACTTTACAGCAGAGGAAACAGGCTCAGGAATAGTGCATAACTTGTCCTATCTGTTAAAGCTAGAAAAAACCATGGAAATAGTGATTGTTTATACTATCATCAGTATTATTAAAATGACTGCCTTTTATCAAGAATTACTCCATACCCTGTAGTGTTATTTACTTCACTTGGATAATCTCATTTGAATTTTACAACAATCTTATGGCAGAATTGCTATTATTTTTATTATTCTATCGGTGAGGAAATTGAGGCTTAGAAAGAAAAAGAAAGTTGCGCCCAACTTGTGAAAAAGGGGCAGAGTTCAGAGCAGAACCCAGATGCGCCCAGGGTCATTCTCTAACCCCCAGAACACAGCATTTCTCAATGAGTAAAGAACTCACGAGGGCATCAAAGCTTTCCCTGGACCATATAGGAAGGAATGGGGAAAAGCCTCCCCTGCAAGCCAGAGAGGAGAGGAAAAGGAATGCCTGGTGGGGATATGAGTGCAAGGACAGGCATTGGGCCATTTGCATTCCACATCCTTCTAAAGAAGACCCCTCTGCGGCCAGGTGTGGTGGCTCACGCCTGTAATCCCAGCACTTTGGGAGGCCGAGGCGGGTGGATCATGAGGTCAGGAGTTCGAGACCAGTCTAGCCAACTTAGTGAAACCCCATCTCTACTGAAAATACAAAAAATACCAGACATGGTAGCAGGCGCCTGTAATCCCAGCTACTCGGGGGGCTGAGGCAAGAGAATCTCTTGAACCTGGGAGGCGGAGGTTGCAGTGAGCCAAGATCGTGCCATTTTTACTCCAGCCTGGGCGACAATGCGAGACTCCGTCTCAAAAAAAAGACCCATCTGCGTCTTCTTCAATGTGTTGTTTTTGTTTCGTAATATCGTGGCCATAGGATGCCCCAGCTGAGGTGGACATACGTTGTTTTCCTGCCTAGAGTTCCCTCTTTTAAAAACAGCACCTCCCTTTTCCTTTGGGGAACAGCCTCTTCCACCTGGGTCTGTGTGGGCCGCATGGTCATCGTGGAGCAGACATCTCCACTTTGAGCAGCGTCACTTGTGATTCATCTTAGCTATGGAAATGCCAGCCAAGGAGACACCCATTGCCCTGGGGGAAGATAGGATTTATTTGAGAGCCATTGTCTGTCCCTCTTCAAATTCTTTGACACACAGAGGTCAGAAGTCACCAAGGAGGAGGGGGGCAAATTTGCCCGGAAGCCGTGGTGGTCATGGATCATGTGTTTGGGCTGCTCATTTTGGGGGGAACCCTCTACCACAGAAGCCTGCATGGTGGGTAAAGACTTCTACTACAAAAGCTGACATTCACTTCCCAGCCTCCTTCGTGGCTAGGAGCTGGCACGTGGACTAGGGCTTCTCCAATCAGACACGCCCCTCTCAGGACATCAGCATGGGCACTAGTGACGCGAGAAGCAGGGTCTTCATGGAATCCATTCTGGCAAGGAGCTGTTCCTCCACTGGGCAGAGACACAACCCCCTGCGTCACCAATAACACCCGACAGCTACTGCTTGATAAATATTTCGTGGGTGAATTAACCAATAATACTAGTAGCAGCCCTGGTATTATTGGTGATGCAGGGTGTAGCGTCTCTGCCCAGTGGAGGAACAGCTGTGTCCTCACAGGACTGGCTCTGAGGTGTGGTTTGGGAACTTGTTCTGCCTGGGTGACTCCATGCCTGGGTCTCTGGCCCGCCCAAAGACTCCGGGAGCTACTCGATAAACAGGCCTTTAAGAAATACTTTTCTGCTTCACCTGGCCAGGTTTGGCTCCTGTCATGTGTGTAAGGATCCTGGCTGAGGATAGAGAAGGCAAAGCGGGTCACGAGCAAAAGGATCTGAGAGGATGGGGCCCTCCAGAGCTCACGTCACCTCTCTCTGGCTGCAGCCTGAGCCCTGGAGAATGATGGTTCTTGCATAATGTTAAGGGAGGAAGGGCTGAGGCCAGAAGAGAGATGCTGACCATGCTGCTCAATTAGGCAATGGGGCTTCAAGGCACAGGTTAAAAACACAAGTGACCTCTTTTGGGCACCAAGCTGGAGAAAAAGTTATACCAGTTACCCTTCATCACTTCAATAATACCTCTTCAGAGGTGAAATTCAAGCACTTGTGGTTAGTTGAAGGAGGGGGAAGATGTGAAAATTAGGGACAATGGAGCGCCCCCCGCCACCCTCGAACTGAGAAAAGGGCAAATTGATCGTCAACTCCACCCACAGGTCCTGGAGCTAAGTGATTGTCTCAAGTATGAGCCAGACATATGAGGAAACTGGACAAGGGCCCTTCACGAAGGGCAGGGCACCATAGTCCTGGGTGCAGAGAGCCCCCAGGGCCCCCAGCGACAGCCCCTTCTGTGTCAGCACATGCCACAGAGTCAGGCTTCCAGAAAGCCTTGAGCTTTACAAACACAGGGTCTGGGGAATTCCAGACATTCTGAGTGGCCACATGGTCAGCACACCCCGTGTTCCAGCTAGGAAAGCCCTCCAAAGGCTCTCCTGGAATTTGAATTATTTGCCTGTAGGTTGTTTAGAGATTTTCCGTGGAGAATTGGGGTTTTAATTCAGAGATGCCGAGCATACACATTTAAAGTGCCAATAAGCAAAAAGCTAGTTATTGATATGTCAAGAAAAAGTCAGGCAACCCACACAGAAATCTTCAGCTCTAAATTTACAACTGCAGCCAACTTCTGAACTTCGAGTCCTCCTACAAAGCCGAGGTCGGTGGGCCCCCACGCTAGAGAAATGAGCCTGTTTTTTCTGATGCAAGTGTTCTAAAATGGATGGTTCTGATGTTTGCACAACTCTGTGAATAGACTGAAAAGCATTTGCATGTACACCTTAAAAGGGTGAATTGTATGGTATGTGAATGATATCTTAATAAAGCTGTGACCGCATTACATACAAGGGGCACAGAGAGTGTAGAGTAGGGTTTGAATCTCAAACCTCCCACGCACTGGCTGCGGGACCTGGAGCAGGTCACTAACCCTAGATGAGCTTTGCTTCCTCAATCTCTAAAGTGATGATCAAATCATAGTTATGTCTTGGAATCAACATACAGGGGAAATGAGAGCTGTCTGTGACATTGCCTGGCCCATGGAACGCACTCTATGAATGTGTGCCTTACCAAGTCCCTGTTATTGCCAGACATAGGGGACACAGAGATAAATCAGGCTGCACTCCTGCCTTCAAAGAGGAAGCAGCTGTTTGGAAGACAAGTTTGGGAGACAAGCAGTGACATTTTAGGGTCATCAGTGCTGTGATTCAAGGACAAAATCCATGCAGTGGAACCAGAAAATGGAGGGGAGGAGGGCTGGAGGGCTCAGGGAGGACAATGCCACTCCTTGGACCCAGCTTCCCTGACCACCGAGTCTCCACAACCCCATTACTGCCTGTCTATTGCCCTCCTTTGTTTCTCCCCGGCATCACCTGAATGTGTTCTCATTCATTTACTTGGGCGCTCCCTTGATGCCTGTGTCACTCCCACCTAGACTGGCAGCCCCATGAGAGCAGGGACCTTGTCATTCTTGGCCACTGCTGTGTCCCTGGTGGCCAGAATGGTGTCCTGTGCTTAGTAGACACTTGGTATTTGCTGGAGGAAATACAGCATTAAGATGAGGCTTGGAGGGTACCTGGGAACTAGCCAAGTGAAGAAGCCAGAAAGGGCATTGCAGGCTGAGAGCACAGCAGCCAAGCTACCATTGCTGGAGACTGCACAGACTAAGGAGGGGGACAGGAGGGGGATGGCAGGGGATGGAGATGGAGACACAGGGAAGGGCAGCCCCAAGATGAAGCTTGGCTCTCACTCCAGGGCTCTCACCACTACAGAGTTCCCCTTCTCTGTTGGCTCCAGTCTATGAAAAACCCCCACAGATCCTGGTAGGCGTGCTGAGTGCAGCTGGTGCATTTCTATAGCAACCGTCACCATGGCACCAGAGGCCTGGATCCAACTTCCGGCTCTGCTGAAGCCCTGAGCTCCTGTTACCTGCACCCCCTACCCTGAGCATCCTTTATCCCACAAGGTAGAAAGATGTGGCTGGGGTCCTGCCAGGAGAGCTGTGGCCAGGATGCAGGGCACAGGGTCACAGGATTAAACATCACATGTGTTAGGACAGACAAAGTTGCCAAAGGTGGACACAGACTGAATGCTCACTGGTGATTCCAATTTGCATTGCTTTTCTCAGATGGGGGTAGGGGGTTGGATTTGAATATGCAGCGAGGCGTGGAGCAGACTGGCCTCCATGTGGGCTGGCAGGGAGTGGTGGGGGGCTCTGGGTAGGAGGCCTAGGATGTAACCCCAGCCCCAGAGGCCCCCAGACCTGTGGCTTCTCTGAGCTTCACTCTCCCAGTCTATAAAATGGAAAGGGTAAACACTGATACTATCAGCCCGTTTCAGATATCAGAGAAATAAGCACATGCCTTGCACCTTGTAGGTGCTTGATAAATATGCCATGAGTGAATTAATAAGTAATATTAAAAGTAATGTCACCTCTCAGTCAACAAAGCTGTGAGCCCCAGTCCCCTTCTCTCCTCCCCGCTCCACATTCTGTTCAAACCCAATTCTGTTGCATCAGCTTCAGACCCATCTCCTCCTCTCTGCCATGTCCCTGCCTCTCACCTTAGAGGTCAGGTCGCAGAGGAAGCACTGGTTACCAAGTCGCAGACCTGAGTTCTAATCCACCAATATAAGTTGCTGGCCTTGTGACCCTGGGCAAGTTGAGTCACGTGCCTGGGCCCCAGTTGCACAACTGCCTGCTTCTACCGAGATCCCTTTGGTTGAAAGACTCGGAAACCAAACCAGGCTGGCTTAAGCCCAAAGGAAGGATAAGGTGAGGGTTGTGAGATTTAGCAAATAAAAATACAGAATGCCAGCCCAGTTTGAATTTTGGATAAAGAACTAACAATTTTTTGGCCAAGCATTGTGGCTGACACCTGTAACCCCAGCACTTTGGCGGGGAGGACGAGGCAGGAAGATCACTTGAGGTCAGGAGTTCGAGACCAGCTGGGCCAACATAGTAAAACCCCATCTTTATTAAAAATACCAAAAAATAAAATTTGGCCGGGCGTGGTAGCATGTTCCTATAATCCAGCTACTCAGGAGACCAAGGCAGAAGAATTGCTTGAACCTGGGAGGCGGAAGATGCAATGAGCCAAGATTGTGCCACTGCACTCCAGCCTGGGCAACAGAGTGAGACCCTGTCTCGAAAAAAAAAAAAAAAGAACTAATAACTTTTTTAATATAGGTATGTCTCAAATATTGCACAGGGCATACTTGTATTAAAAAAATCATTATCGGACAATCAAATTGAACTGGGCAACCTGTTTTCTCTGGCAACCCTAGGTGGGCGGATACTTACCAGCTCATGAAACAAGCTGGACCCAGGAGCTCAGGTGACATCGTGACATCATGAGGAGGCTCTGTCTCCCCGACTCCCATCTCTGGGCTTTGCTTCTGTAGCCTCAGGGAGGCTTATCCCCTGTGAGGGTAAAAATAGCCATCAACTGCCCCTGCTCCTGAGGACCGGTTACAGAAGACTTCCTCCCTCCTCCTCTCCTTCCCACCCTGTGCCCACGCAGAGCCCTAGCCCTGCCTCAGGGATCACCCTTGTTTACCAAGCTGCAGCTTTCTGCTTGGGCAGCTCTTCAGAGGCCGCCTCTGACCTGGCCATCCACAGCTAGCTCTCCACACCTAAGCCACTTCGCCTCCAGATTTTAGTTTCCTAATCTGTGGTGTTAGAGGACTTGACCTGCCAGGGGTCACAAACTCAAACAACACTAGAGTTTAGGCCAGGACTTTAAATAAATAGGCTCCTGGAGACAGCAGCCTCATCTAAAGGGAGTAGGTACAACTCAGCTCTTGTTCTTTGCTGTCAAGCAGGAAAGCAGGCCCAGGATTGCCAACACTTCAGATTCTCTGAAAGAACTAGAAATCTGGATATTTAAGGAAAAAATTCCCAATTATGAGTGGTGGTCCCCTATTGCAATCTAGAGCTGGGCTCTCAGAGGGATTGCTGGAAACTGCATGCCGTGGAATGCCTGAGGGTGCTATTTAAAATGCGGATTCTCTGGCCCCACACAGAACCTCTGGAACCAGCACCCAGAAATCTGCCTTTTAGCAGGCACCTTCAGATGAGGCTTAGGCCCATTAAAATGTGAGAACTACAAATCCTGGATTTTCCATTTTAATAAAGTTGGCCCTTCATTTGCACCCATTACAATGGGGACAGGATCACCTCTCGTTTAGCATTTTCTCCCCAATCATTCCACCCTCCATCCCAGTGCAACCTCAGAGCTTAGCAGGTGAAGGAACCAGGGCTTTGTGGAGCAGGAGCACCTGCCACCTGCACAACCCAGAGGGAAAGGACTTCGATCCCCATTTTATTCACAGATGAGAAACCTGAGGCTCCAAGAGGGGAGGTGACTTGCCCAAAGTCACAAAGCCAACAGTGGAGGAGCTGGAGTTCAAATCCCAGTCCATGTGACATCAGAGCCCCCTGGGGAACTTTCCACCAAGCCAAACGGTCTCTTCTCAAGCGGAAACAGAAGAAAGGCAATCATCATGTTGAGAGAACACTATTGGTTCAGAGATCTTCTCTCCCAAAGTCAGCTGCTAGCATGACCAGTGCAGAGCGGCTGATCATCTGTGACAGAGGAGGGGGAACTCACCAGGGTCCTGAGAAGGAGAAGGGGGAGGCAAGGCAACCTTGATAAAAGCGAATGGCTCCCGGGGACAGGACAAGGGCTGCTACAGACATCAGTTCTGATGCACCCCCATGTCCATTCAGTGCCCACGGCATCTCCCAGAAACACGGGGAGTGGCTGTCTGGCTCTGATCTTCACCATCTAGCCCCCACGCCCACCACCTGGCAAGTTTAGCTTGAGTTAACTATTGCAACTGTGAAGTCTTAAATCACAGGGAGATCAGGCATTTGGCAGCTGGGGGTCCCACTACACTTCGTTGTGGTCTCTATGTCTGGCTACCATTAGGTCAATCAGTGCACATGCATGTCATCTGGCCATGGTTTAGTGAGGTGCAGATTTGGAGTGAACATTCGCTGAGTACCTCCTGTATGCGCTGTGCTTTGTTAGGCACAAATGACTGGAATTTGATGTGCTGTGTTCCAATAGAACACAAAAGGCAAGCTGCCCCCAAAGCGCTATCAGAATAGACAGGAGAGAGGTGACCTTCACGTGGGAAGAATGCAGGGCAAGCTTGTGAAGGAGGTGGCCTTGGAGCTGGGATGGCAAAGATGTGTTGGAACTGAGCCACACAGAAATGAGAAGGTTAGGGCATTCTCTGTGGCATAAACTGTGAGCCAAAGGCATGGAACCGATTCTAGCCCCATCAATTCTGCCTCCCTAACACTTCCTGTCTGTCCCGGAAGCCCAGCACATCCCAAATCTCAATTATTCACACAAACCCCTCCTGGTGGTTGCTCTATTCACATACAAATTGTGCTCTTATTTGTTTCACATTTTTCTTTAAGTCAACTCACCAATTTTTATTTTATAGAATTTATGTGAAGAAGAATCTCTCACAACAGTAATTGGAAAATAGGTTGCACTTGCTATAAATAGATGGCCACCATAAAAATAAGAATACCCAAAGCAAAAGAATGCTACTGAAATGCAGCCAGATTTCTGCTGCCCTGGAGAGATGCTGAGTCTGCAGCCTGTTCTCTCTCCGGTAAAGAGAATCATGAGTGTTAAGAGGCATTAGGGACACCCCAGCACCGTCATGAGACTCTCCTTGATCTAATCAGAAGGATAGAGAGAGGACTGAATAAGAGAACTACTTTCTTTAATGCTTTATCTGTGTCCCTGAAGAAACTCTAGATACTACTAGCATTCCCCACCCTCATTTTGGGAAACCGAGTCCCAGCTGAAACCTGAGACCAACTAC